>NC_000014.9:103550715-103853715 GCF_000001405.40 Homo sapiens
GCACAGAGGGCCTGTCGGGAGCACTGGAACCCAGCGGCCTGGGAGGGGCCCAGGTCTGACGCCTCATCCTGCACCAGGCTCGCTGCAGGCCTTCAGCTCCAGAACTGTGTTCTCAAAATCCTGTTGATGCTGCCACAAGTGGGCTCTCTCCTCCCCCATTCCGGGAAGGTTCTGGGTGAGTGGCTAGCCATCCCTCCCACTGGGAGCTCCAGTATCTGAACTGCCAGCCACCTGCAGCCGCCACCTCACCCCAGGCGGTGCTGCACCCTGGGCTGGTGGGACCAGCCTGGAGGGCCCTCCTGGGGCTCTGGGGCTCATGGACAGCCTCCCACAGAGTGTCTCGGCTGGTCTCATTTCTGTCTGGGAGGGAGTTGGGTGAGCACCAGGGAGAGGCTGAGTGGATGCCCGCCCACCTGGAACAGTGCTAGGTGGGGATGGGGGGGGGGCATCACGGGGCACACACAAGCTGTCGGAAGGGCCGATGTCCACAAGGGACGAGAGTCAGGGGCGCGGCTGTGGGGGTGGAGGCGGCCTGGAAGAGCAGGCATGGCACAGCGGCCGCTGGCTCATGTGGACTGGCGAGGCACTGTCCTGCTGGGGCCGTCCCAAAGGGAAGCATGGCCCGTCACTCCCCAGGCTAAAAACCATCCACGGCTGCCCCTCCTCATGGCTGAAGTGCAGCTCCTAGGCCCTACCCCGACGCTCTCAGGTCCCCTTCTCTCCCTCACCCTGTGGAGAGCGGACCTGCCTCCTGTCCCTCGGAGGACTCTCAGGCCCCAGCCCTGCCGCAGCAGCTCGTGGTCCAGCTTGGCTGGCCCTGCCTGGCCCTCCCGGCTCCAGCAGCAGTGGTGGCTGCCAGCACTCTCACTCTGATGAAGCTCCCAGCCCGCCGACTGGAACAGTGTGTTCACCACTACGGTCTTGCCTGGGAAGAGACGAACTCCTGCACTTCCTGTCACGTTCCACTTCTTGTCCGTGACCAGCTAACCTCCCACCTCCGCCAGGAAGCCTCCCTGGGCTTCTCAACCACCCCATCACATCCGGCCAATGCTTCTTGCGATGGATCCCTCAGAAAGCCACGTGACCTCTGCAGGGGCCCTTGCCCCAGGTCCACGCCTTTGCCCCCAGCACCTCACAGGTACTCGGCAGATGCTAGTTAAATGGAGACTCCACCCCAAGGCTCAGCTACCCTCCCTCAGTCCTCCTCACCCCATGGGTTAGTGGGTTTCCTTCAAGTACCTCACCCAGCAGCCAGGAAGATTCCTCTTCATGTCAAATCGGTCTGAAGGGCACACTAGGCACGCGGTGGCCCTGACACTGCCCCTCCCTGGTCCTTTCCAACAGCACCGAGGACATGGAGGTCGGCCCAGGCTCAGGAATCACAGAGCTAACTGCTCATTTCGGCATCACAAGCACGAGCAGACGAATTTCAGAGACAGAAGCCAACATCCCCACCCCTCATCTTCAGAGGCTCCAGCCTGCCTGGCCTCTGTGGCTGGGTGGCCAGCCAAGGGCTCTGGAATTGGAGAGGCCTTGCTTCTCTACAGCAGGGTGTGACCCGCTCTGGCCTGCTGGCCCTCCTGCCCCAGGGACCGAGTAGGAGGCACTTTTGATTCCACCCGGGCTCTCAGGGGGATGAGGTGGCCTCAGGTGAGAGATCCTGATTGGCCACCCCAGAGCCCCGGTGGAAGGTGCAGCAGAGAGAAGGTCCTTTGGATCCGATAAGCAGAAGGATTTTAAACACTCTCTGAAGCTGTCTGAAGATCTGAGATTTTTCCACTCATTTATTCAGCAAGTATTCGCCGAATGCCTATTACATGCCAGGAGCTAAGGACACTATTTCCAAAGAACAGCTCATCCAAAAGGCATGTGAGTGCCCATTACTGCCAGGACCTGAGGCTGCATGGATGAAGAGACAGATCTTGCCTTGAAAGGCACTGTGGCCTGGCATGGGAGAGACAGGTGAGCCACTGTGTTAGGAGAGCTATTAATAGGGTACAGGAACAGAAGAAACGCTCCACGGCCCAAGGGATGGGCAGGGAGGGCTTCGGATGAGAGCACCAGAACCCAGGGCCATGAACAGCAAAGTCATCTGATGACCTTACTCTCCGCTCAGCACTCAGAACCACCCAGCTCCATGTCCCAACACCCACAGAGGACTGAGGTGGGGCAGACACCAGTGTGAGATGGAGACAGAAGGTGGGGAACTGGCAACATTCATCTGAAAATGCAGCCACAGGGAAACGGCTCGAGACTGAAAGGGTTCTAACACACACTGAAAACCTACCATTCGCTGTGACCGCAGCGGGGACCAGAGATGGAGAGGCAGTGTGCGGCACTGAGTCCTTACCAAATGGGGTCACAGACCCCTGGCAGCTCCGGAAAGACCAAAGAATCCGAAGCGGGGAAATAGCTTCACTTCACTTCAACCTTACTATAGAAAGATACATTTTTGCAGTTGTAATTCACAAGTGGAAGACGTACGGACAGAATAAAGCACTCGTTTAAGACAGTCTTTCCACGATGAGGGATGCCGGTTCACTGACACAGTGACTTTGAGACATAATACTGGAGCTGAATGTTTCACATTAACCAGCTGAATCCTTTAAACCTAAGTGCTAAGTACTGCCCACCTTTCAGAAGAAACTGAAGCTCAAGGGCTCAGCTTTGAAAGTGGCACAGCTCGCCGGTCACGGTGGCTCACACCTGTAATCCTGGCACTTTGGGAGGCTGAGGTGGGCAGATAACGAGGTCAAGAGATGGAGACCCTCCTGGCAACATGGTGAAACCGTGTCTCCACTAAAAATAGAAAAATCAGCTGGGCGTGGTGGCGCACGCCTGTAGTGCCAGCTACTTGGGAGGCCGAGGCAGGAGAATTGCTTGAACCCAAGAGGCAGAGGTTGCAGTGAGCCGAGATTGTGCCATTGCACTCCAGCTTGGGCGACAGAAAAAAAAAAAGAGAGAGAAAGTGGCACAGCTGAGATGTGAACCTAGCAGTCTGGGCCCCAGCCTGCTTTTAGCCACTTGGCCAGCATTCCCTGAGGTGGGAGCTTTCAGAAATCCTGATGTCCAGACTGTACCCTATCCCGATGAAACCAGAATCGCTGGGGTGGGCCCCAAGCACCAGCCATTTCTTCAACTCTCCAGGTAAGTCCATGACTCATGAACTGTAACCAAATTGTCCTTCCCTCCTTTGCCAAGTGACTCTGGGCAGTTCCCTGGGCAAGGGACCACCTGAATCTCAGAATCACCTATGAAACAGATAGTATGAAAAACCTGCCTCAAGGGGTGCTGAGAGCTTAAAATGTACATAGAACATTTTGCACAGATGGCTGGGCAGTGGAGATGGGGCTGCTGGGGCAGCCTGGACCACACCACTCAGGGCCTCGCAGGGACGTGGCTGGGTGAAATAGTGGAGGCCACTGAAGGTTTTCATTCAGAAAAGCCATATGAGCAGAGCCGTGCTTTTAGAAAGACCAAGAGGGCAAATAGGTGAAATAGCCTGAAATAGCCTGCTGGTGACTGGCATAAAAAAAGGGCACAAGCTGAAGAGACCTAGAACTAGGGACACAGAGTCCTAAGGCTGCCTGGTGACCCCCACCCCCACCCCAAAATCTGTGCAATGATAACTACACAAAATGGAAAAGCAAGGCCAAGTGCAGTAGCTCATGTCTGTCATCCCAGCACTTTGGGAGGCTGAGGCAGGAGGATCGCTTGAGCCCAGGAGTTCGAGACCAGCCTGGGCAACATATTAAGACCCTGTTTCAATAAAAAAACAAAAGAACCCAAAACATTTTGTAAGATGCCCTCAGACATGTCCTGACCAGCAGGGGCGACCCCAGACCTGCATATAAGAGGCCTTCAATTAGGGCTCAGCTTGTACCCAGAATCAAGAGCCAAGCTTGCCAGGGCACTGCCCCTCAGCCCCTGCCACCTCGTTCCAGCTCAGCCCACTCCAGGGTTTCTTCTTTAAAAAAAAAAAATTATATTGATTTTTTTGTAGAGATGGGGTCTGTGTTGCCCAGGCTGGTCTTGAACTCCTGGGCTCAAGCAGTCCTCTCACCTTAGCCTCCCAAAGTGCCATGATTCCCGGTGCCACACCCACCGTCTCCTGTCCTACTTCTAACCAGCCTTGAAGGGCCAGTGAGACCCCTCCCTAAGCCACTGGTCTTTTTCCGGCTTGCACTTGACACCTGACCTGACACCAGACATTCACACCTGAGACAGACCAGGCGCAGCTGACTCCCCTCATCCCTTCTCTGACTAAACTGGAATTTCTCCATGGCCACTGGTGGCATGATGGATTCTTCAATCCTCAGCGCAACACGAGGATACACTAGGAGCCTGGTTAATGCTGTTGCCAGTATAAGTGATAAGAATCCTCACGTGTGGCCAAGGATTTATTCAAAAGCTCACATTTCCCCCAGAGTGTTTCTCTTCAACCTATACACATCGTTGTTCTTGGCTCTGGGCCTATCATGCGTTTGCAAGGCTTGCAAAGGCTGCCCCTGTTTGGATCACCTGGAAGATAAAAGCAGGCAGAGAAGACAACAAAAATACAATGGAAGGCCGGGCGCGGTGGCTCACGCCTGTAATCCCAGCACTTTGGGAAGCTGAGGCAGGTGGATCACGAGGTCAGGAGATCAAGACCACAGTGAAACCCCGTCTCTACTAAAAATACAAAAAATTAGCCGGGCATGGTGGCGGGCGCCTGTAGTCCCAGCTACTCGGGAGGCTGAGGCAGGAGAATGGCGTGAACCCGGGAGGCGGAGCTTGCAGTGAGCCGAGATCGCGCCACTGCACTCCAGCCTGGGTGACAGAGAGAGACTCCGCCTCAAACAAACAAACAAACAAAACGCTCCCCCCAAAAAAACAAAAAACAAAAAACAAAACAAAAAATACAATAGGAAAGGGCTAAAAATAGGAAAACTTATTGCTGTCACATAGCGGACTTAAAATAGACAAACAACTGCCCGAAGTGAGCCAGGCACGTCTGCAGTCCAAGCACACGGGCTTCACTAGACTTAGGGCTGGGAGAGGGCCGGAGGCCGGAGTCAGAACACCTCACACAGCCGGGAAGGGCCGAATAGACAGAAAGACTCCCACACCTCCGTCACAAAGCAGTGAAGACGGTTTCATAGCACACTATCACAACTCTCCTCTGGAGAGTGGATCTTTCAAGAACTGTCTCAGAGGTTCTTCTTTCTAAAAATAAAGTCAATTCTTATTTGAGACCCAGGCATCCTCCTGAGGGAGCAGAGCATGAGGCCCCCACCCCCATCACACACATACTTCCTAGGCTGTCTCAACAAGAGCACAGTGACCTGGTCACCTGGGCCTGGGTCCTGGCCCACACACAACCACCCTCACCTCCTTACAGCATGGCCACCAACTGCAGCCAAGGAGGCCACCTGCCCCCAGGCCTGCCTGCTGTGGGCTCCATTAAGGAAGGACTCCTCAGCTGGGCACGGTGGCTCACACCTGTGTCCCAACACTTTGGGAGGCTGAGGCGGGTGGATCACCTGAGGTCAGGAGTTCGAGACCATCCTGGCCAACATGGTGAAACCCTGTCTCTACTAAAAATACAAAAAATTAGCCAGGCGTTGTGGCAGGCACCTGTAATCCCAGCTACTCGGGAGGTTGAGGCAGGAGAATTGCTTGAACCTGGGAGGCGGAGGTTGCAGTGAGCCGAGATCGCGCTATTGCACTCCAGCCTGGGTGACAGAGCCAGACTCCGTCTCAAAAAAAAAAAAAAAAAGGGCTCCGCACCCAGGTCAGACAGTTCATGAAGGTGATAATATATAGAGAACACACACCTCAGACTCACAGCCTTTCTCCACTGCAAGCGTAAGAGACTGGTTTTATTTCAAGAATAACTAAGGGTATATTAACACATGTATCTCAAAGTAACATTGAATTATTGAAGACATACTGTTCCAATACTCAAACAGTTCACAGAGAGGGGACAGGAACCAATGTACTGGAAAAACACACTTGTATTATATGTAAAAATCGATGGCCAATATTTCTCTTATTAAGAGAAAAATACCCAACAAATTAAAAGGTGAAAAGCTGTGCTCAAAAAAAAAATAAAAAAACCCAAAACCTTGCATGCACAAGCTAAGCTCAGACCCTTAAAAACCAGATAGAAATTGACAAAGTCAAACAAAGGAGAAAAACTAGCTGAACTTCTCAAACTAAATTATATCAAATATATGTGCATTTTAGCAAAATAAACCACTAAACTATACTTTGTAGACATATTCATTACATTTATTTTAATAACTACTTCATTATAGGCTGACTGGCTTTCCTGTGTGGATAAAGTGTGATCTGAAAGCAACGCTGACTGAATGTAAATAAAGCAAACGTTCCCAGCCATTTTTGGCATGAACATGGACTACAGCGTTTAATGCAGACCCAAAGCCACACATTTTTGGGGAGTAGGTTTTACTTGCAGTACAGATTCTTTTCATTACAGATCACAAAAATACAATACAATGTGACAAGCCCAGTTTAAGAATTACATGCAGTAGCTCATATTAACACAAACAGCTCCCCACGAAGGCCGACAAGAGCTAAATCCGGTGTCAACAGGGTTCATTGCAGGAGTAGAATAATCCGGTACAAGGAACGAGAACAGATTGAAACCAGAAACAAAGCCATGCCTGACAGTCAATCAAGGTCAATCTGATCATTTCCATGACCAATTACCCATGTGAACAATTCAAAATGACGGTGGAAGAGCTGAGCACCCTGTACTCACACACGATGCCCACAGCTTGGCAAAAGGTACACAAACACTTGTTTGAAAAGAATGACTGAAACGTCTACTTTCAAAGAACAATGGACACTTTTAAAGGGAATGCTGACATTTAACTTTACAAAATGAAATTTAAAATGTAAGTAGTACTCTGGGGAAGAATATGCCTGAAGCGTAACCATGATTTCCCAGTGGTATAATTAAACAGAGCTCTAATTTAAAAACTCTTCCTGGGCTGGGCGCCGTGGCTCACACCCGTTAATCCCAGCACTTTGGGGGGCCGAGGCGGGCGGATCACGAGGTCAGGAGTTCGAGACCAGCCTGACCATCATGGTGAAATCTCAACTCTATTAAAAATACAAAAATTAGCCAGGCATGGTGCCACATGCCTGTACTCCCAGCTACTCAGGTGGCTGAGGCAGGAGAATCGCTTGAACCTGGGAGGTGGAGGTTGCAGTGAGCTGAGATGGCACCACTGCACTGCAGCCTGGGCAACAGAGACTCCATCTCAAAAATAAATAAAAAATAAAAACTCTTCCTCAAGATTTTAAGAGCATTCTAAAATTATGATACAGAAAAGCAATCCTACAACTACTGTGGCCAAAACGTGGATTCCAATGACCTGCCTTGAGCCCGCGGTTGCCAGGAGTTGGACCTGCAGTAGTATGGGAAGCTCACGGCCTAAATACCGACTGCCCTCTGACCCCACCGTCCAGCGATTCTAGAACATTTCTAGTAGGAAAGACATAGCAAGGGATTTTCATGATTGGGAAATACTGAGAGACAAGCTGAAGATTTGTTAAGGGCTATGCTTCTGTCATCTTTTAGGTATTTAAGGCTACTCCTTTAGCTAGCTACTTTGAGCTGTTTAAAGTGACTATCTCCCTACACAGAGTTACACAATGAGCATCTCTGAAAGAGAATATTACCCTGGATTTCCAAAGATGTACTCTAACAGGATGACCAGGCAAAAGGTGACCCGGGGGAGGAGTCTGTTATAACACTCGGACCCACATGTTCTCAAGGCACTTCAGAACTTTGGGAAATCATTTTGTACCGGATCCTCAGAAAGCATTTATGGAAATACACATCCTTTAGAAGAGAGATGCTTCACGCACGACTGACTTTAATGGCTCTTTCAGGCAACAGAGAAACCACCACATGCCCATGACATGAGCTCAGTTGTTCAGCAGGCACCCAGAGGAAGCCTTTAATTCCGAGCAGGTTTCACTGATTGGTCCTGGAGCAGGTGTAGTTATGACATTTACTAAGTGAGTGGTTAACAGCTGACTGCCTAGAAAACCTAGGAAGGCCTGGTCCCTCTGGGTTACTGACAGCGTCTACCCTCACGTTGTAAAACAGCACCGGGGAGGTGTGACAAGGCTGTCCATTTTACAGCCTTGGACAACAGAAGAGAACCATTATGTGCTACATTCAGACTTTCTGATTTAGTTTTAGTATAACCTGACATTGGTAACCCGTCTCCAGTATTCATCCTCCAACTACAGGTATGAGTGTTTCCTTTTTTTTTTTTTAAAGGCCCATTAACTTAATTTAAATGTTCCCATCCTTATGAATTTACTCACTAAGGAAAACTATAAGCTCAGATTTTACAAACAAAAGCAACTTACAAGGTATTATTGCTGGTCCTTTATCCCTTCTCTTTAATGCAATCTCAAAGGTTTTTTGGCTATTAGTTTTCATAATTTTCTTATGTTGCACACAAAAACAAGATTCCTCTCTAAAACGTAGAGGATGGGGAAAATGCAGATGCTGTTTTTCCAACTAAAAATGTTTACAAAAGAACAGACTGTCTGAACAAACAAAAAAACCCCACCCCGTTAAGCTGGGTAGGACCAATCAGGCCTTATAAGTGAAAAAAAAGCCTTCTATCGAGCATAATGAAACAGAACATGTACTGCTTGTGTTTGAACCTTACTCTTATTTAACCAAAAATTTCCCCTTTCTCATAATTTTCCTAGTATTATGTAAGGTTATGCCTAGTTCTAGATTCTGAAAGACCTGCATTTTAATGCTTGCACAACCCATTTAAAATCTACAAAAGCTGCCTCTATTTTGTTTTCTGATTAAAAACGCAAAAAAAAGGACAAACCAAACAAACCACACCACATCATACAGATAATGATCCGAATGGAAAAGTTAACGTGCTGTAATGATATTTGTCTTGCAACATCAAAAGCAGCAGATACTGAATAGAATTTGCTTCAATCATAAATACTGAGACTGAAATATGCACGTATAAATCAATGAACTGAAAGCTCTCTATACATAGAAGCACATATGAAGTGCAAAACAGTATCAAAAGTGAGATCTCTGGTATTTCAGTACTCCCATTCATCAGATTTCAGGTCGAGATAGCTGAGAATATTCTGCGCAAGCCTCACAGCTTGTTTCCTGGCAGCCTTACACTTCTCTTCTCCCTGCGGATCAACAGCATCCAGGGCTAGCAGCTGCTTGGTGAGCAGCTCTTCCAGCCGGATGTAGTTCTTATCGGTTCGATTTCCATCAAATGAAAGAACTTCTCCCTGGATCTCAGACAAGTTTCCAAGGACGTTCCAGACGGCTTTATGGGATGGGTGCTCCTCACAAGCAAACAGCTTTCTTTTCTCAAGGGCCTCCTTCAAGTCAATATATGTGATCAGAGTTTGCACCTCGATCACTGCTCTTCTCCTGGCTTCCCGGATGCAGGGGTTTTTTTCAAGACTTACCTCATCCAACTGTCCAATTAAACCCTGCAATTCTGTTTTGGAGCTCAGGTACAATTCAGAAGGGTTTTGTGCTTGGAGAAGTTCATTTTTTATTTCTCTCATTCTCTTGAGGACCTTTTCTATTTTTAAAATGGAATGATTCTGTCTCAGGTCAAATGCTTTAGTTGTGTCTGCTTCCTCTTCCAAATCCAGATATTTCAATAATTTGTTGATATCTTCTACTACCTCCCTCCGATAATTTCTGATTTCTGTCCGGCCGCACACATCTAGAGCATCCAGGTCAGCGATCAGCCCCGAGAGCACACAGGATAAGTGCCTGCAGGTCTCATTGTTGTTCACACCCATCAGAAGTGCAATCAGGACCCCTCGGGCCTTGTTCACCTCACACATCACGAAGTTGATTTTGGCAACGGAAGGATGTGCATCCTCGGAAAGCGGCAGGGAAGGCTGCTTTTTCATGCAGTCTTCGATTATCTCTTGCACCGCACAGATTTTGGTTAAAGTGTGATACCTTGCTTTCCGCAAGGAGATTTTTCCTCCAGTTTTAACATGTGTCAGCCTCAGAATGATATCTTGGATGCCTTCTTCAAACTCATCAGTTACGCAGTTGCCTCCATTATAAAATGGCACAATTTTCTCTCTCACGAGGGACTGGGCTTCCTCAAAAATGTTCTGTATTTCAATCCGGTGTGGGTGGTTTGCATTCTGCTCCAACTCTTTGAGAAGACGTTCTGTCTCCTGTGCTGCCCGCTTCCTAGCTTGCTGAATATCTCCTTTTCCTTCAGTATCTACAGAGTCTATTTCAAAAAGCTGTTTTGTTAGAATCCTCTCCAGTTTCTTGTAATTCTTGTCATCTGACAGACCACTGAAGCCGATAACTTGCTGTTCTACACTTTTTACTTCCTTTTGGATTTCCTGAAGCCTACTAATAGAAGGATGTTGGTTTCCCATATCCATACTTTTGTTGTGTTCAGTTTCACAAGCACTAAAAGACGACAAGAATGATAACTTACTACAGCACAAGGCTTCTGCAGAACACTAATGGTATATTAAGTCATTCTAAAATTCTCATTTTAAAAAGGTATACTTCTGAGCAGTCATCCCACCTCAGCCTCCCCAGTAGCTGGGTCTACAGTCGTACACCACTACGCCCAGCTAATGTTATTTTTAGTAGAGACAGGTCTCACTATATTGCCCAGGCTGGTCTCAGACGATCCGCCCGCCTCCGCCTCCCAAAGTGCTGGGATTAAGGTGTGAGTCACCGTACGCGACACAAACTATTTGGAACCAGCAGGGCACCTTTATGAAAGGTGAAACAGTAGCTCTTGTAACCTTCCGAACACTAACAGTACCCCGCCCCGCCACACAGCTATGCCTAGTTTCCAGAAACTCTAAGCAAAAGAAAGAACCAGAACAAAAACCAGTGGCTCTCAGACATCCCCAAGGTCCCCGCTTCTTCGTTTCTCTCCATCCCTTTGTGCACTTCCCCTCCCCACCCTTTTAGCTCCTCACACATCTTCCCTCACAGAAGTCTCCCTGAAGAGATTAAAACCCCACAGGTAAAGAAGAGCGACCGGGACAGCGCTGAAGGGCACCACCTTGGGCTTTCGAGGCCCAACACCTCCTCAGCCCCCAACATGCTCCACTCTCTCAAAAAAAAACAACCCGCGAAAACGTGGTAACTATGAATAATTCATTCACTCGCCTCCCACTGGGAGTCCACAATGGCCTAATGCACGTTTCAAGCTCTTGGTTTCTATCAAACGGCTCGCTCAAGGTGGGTAACCAATGGAAACGCATAATCTATCCCCGGCGGATGTCCTGGAGGCCACGGAGGGAAGGCGGCCCGAGCTGCTTCCTCCCCGCCTCGCCCTTCCCTCTTGGCCCTTTACCCAAAAGAAGTCTGAATTGGATGCGGTCTTGGCGTCCCGTGGCTGAGGTGGCGAGGTGGAAGATCAGCCCTTTACGGGGTGCGGCACCGGAGCTGGGCCCCCAGCTGCATGCCTCGCACCCCTCCCGACTAGGTCTGAGCGGGGCAGCCGGTGAAGGGGCCGCTACTGGCTGCAGCAGCCGCTCCGGGCGTCTTGGCCCGGGTGCCAGGGCGCGCCTGCAGGACGTGACCTCACAATGGGCGCGCGAGGGGAGCTCGGCCCGGCCGGGGGAAGCCGGGGGAGGAGGGGAACCGAGGCCCGGCCGGAGACACCAGAGACCAGGCCCGGCCAGCCCCGGTCGCTTCCGACCCCAGGGGCGGGGACAGCGCCGAGACCGACTCTGCCCTGCCTGATCCGACAGGCCGCACGGGGCTGGGCGCTGGCGAAGGGGTGGCCCAGCGGGGAGCCCCGCGCGGAGGTGGTGCCCCACTCGTCCCCCCGAGAGAGGGAAAAGGCTACAAGCCGCGCTTCGCTCACCTGTCCCGCCCGCGCCATCGCGCGATGCGTCGCCGACGCTTCCACGACTTCCGCAGCTCCGGCAGTCGCCCGGGCCCGGCAGCCCCGCCCCTGGCCGAACACCCCTAAACCCGGGGACACCTCCTCCGGCGTCCGCGCCTAGCCGCCGGCAGCGCCACGCCCACCGCCAGCGGCGCAGCGAGGCAGCCTGGAGTGACCGCGACCAAGGAGCGGCCGCCCGGGTCAGCCCGCGCCGCCCGCCGCCCCCTCACCCCGTCGCACCGCTGGGAAAGCGCACGGTCGGCCGCGCCGCCGCGCTTCCTCGGGCTTCGCGACCCTGCCGTAAAGCGGCCCCTCGCGCCGTCGCAATGCTGCCGTGCGCCGCGGGAGCCAGGGGGCGTGGGGCCATGGTGGTCTTGCGGGCGGGGAAGAAGACCTTTCTCCCCCCTCTCTGCCGCGCCTTCGCCTGCCGCGGCTGTCAACTCGCTCCGGAGCGCGGCGCCGAGCGCAGGGATACGGCGCCCAGCGGGGTAAGCAGGGGCCTGGGGACATTGGGCCGGGAGGGGTGACCGGAAGGGAAGACAAACCCGGGCCTCGGGGCCACTCCCTGTTCTGCACAGCCGCCTCAGGCCTTTGTCCAGGTGCTCTCGCGTCCTATCCCGAACAGTCCCGCAGCCCCGAGGCTCCCGCATCAACGCCCTCAGTCGGATGGGACTGAGGGTGCCGCCGCCACCACGCCGGGGACTGTTGACAGCCAGAACCTTTAAGCGTAACAGAGTCACCTGGCAAGTTTGTACCTACCTTATTTGTTCCCGAGAATGATTATTTTTTATTTTTAAAGAGCTCTTGGCTTACCGTGCGTTTTTTTTCGTTGTGTGTGTGTGTGTTTTGGCTTTGTTACAATTATTAGTGCTTTTCTTCAAGCGGCGAGCACTTTATCATCGTACTTTTGTAGCACTTCACGTTGAATAGTTGTTATTTGCAAACTATGTGTGGGTATATGCATGTTACTGGCCAAAGATCCGCAAAGAATGTCTGTAGCAAGAATGTCTGTGGCAAGCAATTTTTATAAGTGGTACTTTTGGGAGGGATGTTTTGTTTAAGGGAGGCCTAGGCCTTGATTCCGTCTGTCAGATGAAAATGTTGACTAACGGTGTGGAATGGGCTGGAGATAAAATATTCAAGCAAAGCATGCAAATACCAAACAGGCTAATGAAGGAGGCTGGAAAACTTGGTTTAAACAATAATTAAAGAAGTATTAAAAAAGTGTTAATTAAAAATTGGACGGGCTCCGTGGCTCACGCTTGTAATCCCAGCACTTTGGGAGGCCGAGGCAAGCGGATCACGAAATCAAGAGGTGAGACCATCCTGCCCAACATGGTGAAACGTCTCTGCTAAAAATACAGAAATTAGCTGGGCATAGTGGCGCGCGCCTGTAGACCCAGCTACTCGGGAGGATGAGGCAGGAAAATCGCTTGAACCCGGGAGACGGAGGTTGCTGTGAGTCGAGATCGCGCCACTGCACTCCAGCCTGGCGACAGAGGGAGACTTCATCTCAAAAAAAAAAAAGCTAATTAAAAATTGCAAATGTACTTGCTTGTACATTTTCATTTCTGTTGGGCTGTGGCTGTTAGTACACTTTCATAATTGTAGCTTTGAAGGTCTATCTAGTTTACAATTTAAACAAGGAGTTACCAGGGCAACTTGCCAACCAGACACCCAAGTGGCTAGCTCAGTTCTGTGTTACAGTGACCAAGTCCTTGCCTTCTATCCCTAGAACATAGAAACCCACCCAGCATCTCTATCTTTGGGCAGAAAGATAGAGCAGGTGTCTGAAAATGCTCTAAGAGAGCAAACGGGAAATCAACCAAGACATTTCCCGGGCGGGGGGGATTTTCCCTAGCTTATTTTGTGAACTTGTGCTGGAAAGAAACAACAGCACCCAAATAAGGATTTCTCTATTGTCATATACACTTCTTTTTTTTTTTTTTTTTTTTTTTTTTGAGTTGGAGTCTCCCTCTGTCGCCCAGGTGGGAGTACAGTGGCGTGATCTCAGCTCACTGCAACCTCTGCCTCCCGGGCTCAAGCGATTCTCGTGCCTCAGCCTTCCGAGTAGCTGGGACTACAGGGGCCCACCACCATGCCCGGCTAATTTTTTTGTATTTTTAGTAGAGACAGGGTTTCACCTGTTGGCCAGGCTGGTTTCAAACTCCTGACCTCAAGTGATGCGCCTGCCTGGGCCTCCCAAAGTGCTAGGATTACAAGTGTGAGCCACCACTCTCAGCCTTAGACTTCTTGTTAAAGTAAAATAAATCTTACCATGGGTCTGTTCTCAAGATGAGAGACCTCTCTGCCTTGTTCGTTTTTTCTTTTTTCGAGATGGAGTTTTTGCTCTGTTGCCCAGGCTGGAGTGCAATGGCGCAGTCTCGGCTCACTGCAACCTTTGCCTACTGGGTTCAAGCAATTCTCCTGCCGCAGCCTCCTGAGTATAGCTGGGATCACAGGCGCATGCTGCCACGCCTGGTTAATTTTTTTTTCTTTTTTTAGTAGAGATGGGGTTTCACTATGCTGGCCAGGCAGGTCTCGAACTCCTGACTTCAGGTGATCCACCCGCCTTGGCCTCCCAAAGTGCTGAGATTATAAGTGTGAGCCACCATGCCCAGCCAGCACCAGCTTTTAATTGAAAAATATTATAGAACTTAAGAGTCAGGCACCATTCTTCCTTCCAAATCCATCTTTAAAACTCAGCTTTTCAGAAATATAACTGCTTTTGGTAAAGAAAAAAAAATTAAGACTTTTAAATTCTGTTCCCTAGCCACTTCATGCCTGCTTATGTCTTACCTATGTAGTTTGCATCATTGGTTCCTAAACTTGTTTGCACGTAAGAATTAGTCTGACTCTTTTAGTTCTTTTTTTTTCTTTAATCCGGAAGTTCCTGAACCAGAATAGGTTCAGAGATACTCCCTTTTAGTTCTTTTTAATCCATAGGTTCTGCCTCCATCACCTCCCCACCTTTTTTTTTAATTTTTTTTTTTTTTTGAGATGGAGTCTTGCTCTGTCACCCAGGCTGGAGTGCAGTGGCGTGATCTCAGCTCACTGCAACCTCCACCGCCCGGGTTCAAGCAATTCTCCTGCCTCAGCCTCCTGAGTAGCTGGGATTACAGGTGCCTACCACCATGCCCGGCTAATTTTTGTATTTTTTGTAGAGACGGGTTTCACCATGTTGGCCAGGGTGGTCTTGAACTCCTGACCTCAGGTGATCTGCTCACCTCAGCCTCCCAAAGTGCTGGGATTACAGGTATGAGCCACTGTGCCTGGCCCAAAGTCACTTTTAGCTTCAAAAATGAGCTGTAGGGTATGCCTTCTTTTCCTGTTTCCGTGGATTGTTTACTAAGGTTTGAATTTTTCTGTGACTGGTAGAACCTACAAGTCATTTGAACCTGAGTTTTCATAAGAACAAGCCATTTTAACCCCATCTTCTTTTTGGTTAGAGTTTAACCCCATCTTCTTTCTGGTTAGAGTTACTAAACTGGTAAATAAGAGTGATCCGGCCAGGCATGGTGGCTCACACCTTGCCAGCACTTTGGGAGACTGAGGCAGGCAGATCACCTGAGGTCAGGAGTTCAAGACCAGCCCGGCCAACATGGTGAAATCCTGTCTCTACAAAAATACAAAAATTAGCCGGGCATGATGGTGGTACCTGTAATCCCAGCTAGTTGGGAGGCTGAGGCGGGAGAATCGCTTGAACCCAGGAGGCAGAGGTTGCAGTGAGCCGAGATCGCGCCATTGCACTCCAGCCTGGGCGATGGACCAAGACTCATTCTCAAAAAGAAAAAAAAGAGTGAGCCATTGCATATTGATTTAAACAAGACATCTGATAAAGTCTCATGTATTTTTGAAAACCGTGTCCTGTATTGTGGTGCTTAAAACACCAATGGAAACATTTGTCTCAGGGTGGTTGGCATTTCCTGCACAGGTTCTTCATGAGGTGCCAGAGATACAGAAATGAATGTGTGTGCCTCTTTTCACACATGCACAGATGGCTCTCCAGGCAGGAGCTCTGCATGCTAACACATGCCTCCCTGGTGCCTAGAGCAGTGCTTGGCCTTTGCATGGTGGTGCAGGGGCAGGCAGGTTGATGCTTATGGAGAATGGCTGAATCCACCATGTCCATCTTTGGAATCTATCAGAAGTTTATTGTTTGCAGCTCCAGGCAGGGTCTCCTGAGGATGCAAGGGAGCACCACCCTGGGCCTGCCTGTTGGGCACCTAACTTCTGAGAGGAGGAGGGTTGGAACAAGTCCACAAATAACCATATTTTTCCCTTTTTTGGACATAGGGTCTTGCTCTGTTGCCCAGGCTGGAGTGCAGTGGCACAAACATAGCTCACCACAGCCTCAACCTCACTGGCTCAAGTAATCTTCCTGCCTCAGCCTCTTTAGTAGCTGGGGCTACAGGCATGTGCCACCGCACCTGGCTGATTTTTAAAATTTTTTTGGCAGGGCGCGGTGGCTCGTGCCTGTAATCTCAGCACGTTGGAAGGCCGAGGCAGGTGGATCATCTGAGGTCAGGAATTCAAGACCAGCCTGGCCAACGTGGTGAAACACCGTCTCTACTGAAAATACAAAAATTAGCCGGGCGTGGTGGCGCATGCCTGTAATCCCAGCTACTCGGGAGGCTGAGGCAGGAGAATTGCTTGAACCTGGTAGGCGGAGGCTGCAGTGAGCCAAGATCGCGCCACTGCACTCCAGCCTGGGCAACAATGCGAGACTCTTTCTCAAAAAAAAAAAAAAAAAAAAATTTTTTTTTGTAGCTTTGCACAGCGGCAGTATTGTAGCCAATGAGATTTATCTGAGGTGTGATTATTGATAATTGAAAACTTTTCCCAATACCCTGCCGTGATGACTTGCAATATAGTCAGCACTGGCAATTTTTGACAGTCTCTACAGAGACTGAAAACAAAAATTTTTTTTATAGAGATGGGGTCTCACTTTGTTGCCCAGGCTGGCCTCAAACTCCTGAGCTCAAGCAGTCCACCTACCTCGGCTTCCCAAGGTGCTGGGATTACAAGTGTAAACCACCAAGCCCAGCCCACAAATCATCTTTAGACAAATTGTCTAATCATCTTTAGACAATACTGAGGTGCAGGCCTTGTGTCTGTTGGTGGTGGGAAAGAGATGGTTGACTAGGGCCTTAAAGATAATAAAAATAATTAACGTATGTATACAGCAGGGGTGGCTTCCTGCTGTGGTCACTCCAGCGTTGGGTGAAAGTGTTCCAGCCTGGATAGCTCTCCCATCTCGTTGGCATTCCTGAAATTAGGAGACTGTTTTCATTGACTTTCTAGTGTTTGCCCTTCTGGTGGATTATCCTTCTTTTATATTGCTGGATCGGGTTTGCGGATTTGTCTAGCATCCATGTAGAATAGGGGGCTGGGGACCCTAACCCTCAGTAAATATGAAGTTCCTGACTCCTTCTCAGATGGGAACTCAAAGCCTTTATAGAACTGAGAGTTAGAACAGGAAGCAAGAACGCTAAGAGCTTGCTAACATTTTTCTCTTCATTATTCCCTGGTGGTTTCCCCATGGTAGCTTTGTGTCATGTACGGGCACTTCCAGGAATAGGGTGCAGGAGAAACGTCTCAGTGTCTCCCCTTCCGAATCTTGGCTTCTGGAGGGAGAGATGCTGGGGTGGGAGTGCTCCTTGGTGGAGTACTCAGGAGCTTAGTAAAAGCAGAGGGGGCTGGAGAGGCAGGCCTGGCCTGCAGAGCCAGCATGGAGAAGCCTGGTGTAGGGCTCTCCAGCCTGCCAATTTACAGTTAAGAAGAAAGGAGATATGTATATATATATATACACACACATACATACATACATACACACACACATATATACACACATATATATACACACATGTATACATATATATACACACACATACACATATACACACACATGTACACATATACACACATATATACGTGTGTGTGTATATATATATATATGTATACGTATATATATATGTGTGTGTGTATATATATATATATATATATATATAGTGACAGGGTCTCACTCTGTCACCCAGGTTGGAGTGCAGTGACACGATCTTGGTTCACTGCAACCTCCGCCTCCCAGGTTCAAGCAATTCTTGTGCCTCAGCCTCCCAAGTAGCTGGGATTACAGGTGCACACCACCACGCCCAGCTTATTTTTTGGTATTTTAAGTAGAGGCGGGGTTTCACCATGTTGGCCAGGCTGGTCTCGAACTCCTGACCTCAAATGATCCACCTGCTTCGGCTTCCCAAAGTGCTGGGATGACAGGCGTGAGCCACCGCGCCCGGCTGAAAAAAGATTTTCACAAGAACCGGAAGGTTAACTCCCCTCCCAGACCCAAAGATGCAGATTCGGCCTGACCAGTAGGAATGCACATGTGCCTCTCTGTGACAAGGGCAGAACTGAGGCTGCTTCTCAGGAGACTGTGAGGGTCTAGCGTGCCCTCCCCGCAGACATGAGGGCCGGATGGAAGAGCCTTCTGTCCCCAGCATAGCCAATGGGACACCATGAATCATAGGCTTGTACTGTGGAAACTAGCAATTATGGTAATTATTCGCACTACAAAGGGCTCTTCCTCTTACCAAAGGACATTTTCCTCCCCCAAGCTGCTTGTCCTCGCTTTTAAATAGTAGCTCCTCCGTGAATAAAGGCAGAAACATGTGGTTATAGGGAAGAACAAAGGAAGATAACATCTCTCACATTATAATGGCAAACAATGATTTGAAAATATCGGTACACCAGCTTTATCCGTAAAGCAGTTTATGTGAGTGATAACTGGTAGATAAATATGGAAAAGTAGCCGAACACACTTGACACCTCTCTGAGCTTGCTTTGTGATATGTGGGCAGCTAGAAAAAGCAGCTAATTATTAGGTGGCTCCTTTAACATTTCCTGATGGGGAGCCTGTGAGCAGAAAAGAGCGGGTGCAGCCCTGGACAGTGGTCATGCACGGTTAGCGCGAAACCCACTGAGCTGCAGACACCCGGGTCAGCTCGGAGGAGGGAAGGAGTCGCCGTCCTGGGCCACAGTCTAGGGGGGTGGACCGTGGTGCCGTCCCTTTGGTGGGACTCACCTTAGTTTCTACCAACAGCTAAATATCACAGATGCAAAGACTTGGGGGAGAAGCCCATGAACATTTTCTGAGTCCTTTAATGTATGATAAGGAAAAAAATAATAAAAGTCAACATTTGTAGAAATCTAGGTTTTGGTTTTTTGTTTGTTTGTTTTTTTTTGAGACGGAGTCTCGCTCTGTCGCCCAGGCTGGAATGCAGTGGTGCGATCTCGGCTCACTGCAACCTCTGCCTCCCAGGTTCAAGCAATTCTCCTGGCTCAGCCTCTCATATAGCTGGGACTACAGGTGCCGGCCACCACGCATGGCTAATTTTTGTATTTTTAGTAGAGATGGGGTTTCACCATGTTGGTCAGGCTGGTCTCGAACTCCCGACCTTAGGTGATCCACCCACCTCAGCCTCCCAAAGTGCTGGGATTACAGGCGTGAGCCACCGCACCTGGCTAGAAATGTAGGTTTTATTTTTTTAATGGGATATTTGGTGATTGTATATAGTTTTTAGACTGATGGGTAAAATGTTGAAGGTCTGTATTGCAATCCTGCCTTTACTTTCTAAAAAGGATTCCTAAATTGATCCAGCATCAAATCAGTGTATTTTAACCCTGACGATGAGCAGTATAGTTTCAGGTCTTGAATAGCAGGGTCCCCCCACTATAACTCCCTGACAGTTCTTCTTGCCCATTGCACAAACAAAACCAGTTCATGGAGACCATGGCATTGCAGTAAAGAAAGAGTTTAGGGCCAGGCACGGTGGCTCACGCCTGTAATCCCAGCACTTTGGGAGGCTGAGGCAGGCAGATCACCTGAGGTCAGGAGTTCAAGATCAGCCTGGTCAACATGGTGAAACCCCATCTCTACTAAAAATGCAAAAATTAGCCGGGCGTGGTGGCATATGCCTATAATCCCAGCTACTCAGGAGGCTGAGGCAGGAGAATCGCTTGAACCCGGGAGGCGGAGGTTGCAGTGAGCCAAGATCACACCACTGCACTCTAGCCTGGGCGATAGAGCGAGACTCCATCTCAAAAAAAAGAAAGAGTTTAATTGATGTGAGGCCAGCCATGCTACATGGAAGAGTTATTACTCAAATCAGTCTCTCCTCGCATCTGGGGGCTAGATTTTTTCAAAAATAGTTTGGAGGAAGGGGTGGAGGTGGCTAGGCAATGGGTGCTTGCTGCCGATTGGTCTGGGTGCAATCACAGGGGTGTGGGACTCATCCTCCTGCATGCCGAGTGGCTTCTGGGCGGGTCCAGGAGGAGCCATCACGTTGGACTTGCAAAAAACCTGAAAAGATATCTCAAAAAGCCAATCTTAGGTTCTGCAATAGAGATGCAGGAGTAATTGGAGAAGTTGCAGATCTTGTGACCTCTGGAATGATGGCTGGCACCTTACCAGAATTCAGACTCCTCACCTCCTCCTAGCCTGGTAGGGTCTCTCATTAGCTTAAGAAAGCTTAGCTCCATCCTGGCTAACAGGGTGAAACCCCATCTCCACTAAAAAATACAAAAAAATTAGCCGGGCGTGGTGATGGGCGCCTGTAGTCCCAGCTACTTGGGAGGCTGAGGCAGGAGAATGGCGTGAACCTGGGAGGCGGAGCTTGCAGTGAGCCGAGATCTCGCCACTGCCCTCCAGCCTGAGCGACAGAGTGAGACTCTGTCTCAAAAAAAAAAAAGAAAGCTTAGCAAAGGTGGTTGAGTTTCGGGAAAGGGCTGTTATTATTTAAACCAGAAACTAGGCCCTGTGTGGTGGCTCCTACTTGTAATCCCAGCACTTTGGCTGAGATCACGCCACTACACTCCAGTCTGGCAACAGAGCGAGACTCCGTCTCTAAGTAAATAAATAAATCCAGATTGTACATTTTATAATACTAGAGATTCATTTTGTCATATGTTAATCCAATTTACTTTGTTAAAGGTCTCAAGATTCTGCCCTCCAAGAAAGTCTTGCCATGATTGGATAGGACCCCCAGATAAATATTCAAACCTTCGACCTGTTCACTTTTACATACCTGAAAATGAATCTCCATTGGAACAAAAGCTTAGAAAATTAAGACAAGAAACACAAGAATGGAATCAACAGTTCTGGGCAAACCAGAATTTGACTTTTAGTAAGGTAAGTTTAAGTTTTAGATCAGAACGGAAGGGTGCGGTGGCTCACGCCTGTAATCCCAGCACTTCGGGATGCCGAGGTGGGCAGATCACGAGGTCAGGAGATCGAGACCATCCTGGCTAACACGGTGAAACCCTGTCTCTACTAAAAATACAAAAAATTAGCCCGGCGTGGTGGCGGGCGCCTGTAGTTCCAGCTACTCGGGAGGCTGAGGCAGGAGAATGGCGTGAACCCGGGAGGCAGAGCTTGCAGTGAGCGGAGATTGCGCCACTGCACTCCAGCCTGGGTGACAGAGCCAGACTCGTCTCAAAAAAAAAAAAAGAAAAAAAAGTTTTAGATCAGAATGAGAAATAACACAGTTGGCCACTTGAGGGTGCTAGGTGTTTAGTATATTGCTTTGCTATTTGTTACGTGGTAGTACTGGGTCTCAGTCCATCCCCCGCACTGTATGTACATATATGCATATAGTTTTAAAAACTAATATGTAACTGTATATAAGAAATGGTCATTCGTAGAACCACAGATCTTGAGACTTTGAAGGATGCAATGTGTGAGCAGCAGAGCCAGAACTAGAAGTACATGTTTTACACACATAGGTGTGTGTGTTTATCTTTATGAGAATACCGGTTTTTTTAGGTGGGGCATGATGGCTCTGCAATCCCAGCACTTTGGGAGGCTGAGAGGGGTGGATCACTTGAAGCCAGGAGTTTGAGAGCAGCCTGGCCAACGTAGCGAAACCTTATCTCTACTAAAAATATAAAAATGAGCCAGGTGTGGTGGCATATGCCTGTGATCCCCATGACTTGGGAGGCTGAGGCACAAGAATTGCTTGAACCCAGGAGGCGGAGGTTGCAATGAGCCGAGAGCGCGCCATTGCACTCCAGTCTGGGTGACAGGAGTGAGACCCTCAAAAAGAAACCCGTTTTTGTGATGTGTTGTCATTCTTCCTGAGAATTCAAAAAAAAAAAAATTTTTTTCTTTTTTGAGACGGAGTCTCGCTCTGTCACCAAGCTGGAGTGCAGTGGTGCGATCTCAGCTTACTGCACCCTCCACCTCCCAGGTTCAGGTGATTCTCTTGCCTCACCCTCCCGAGTAGCTGGGATTACAGGCACACACCTCCGTGCCCAGCTAATTTTTGTACTTTTAGTGGAGATGGGATTTCACTCTGTTGGCCAGGATGGTCTTGATCTCCTGACCTCGTGATCCGCCCACCTCGGCCTCCCAAAGTGTTGGGATTACAAGCATAAGCCACCATGCCCAGCAGAGAATTCAAAATTCTTAACAGGATACTTATAAATAAACTGTGTAAGAAAGAAGTATAAATAGTCTAAACCAGAAGAAAAACATTTAACTTTTTTTTTTTTCTTCTGAGATGGAGTTTCACTCCTGTTGCCCAGGCTGGAGTGCAGTGACATGATCTCAGCTCACTGCAACCTCCACCTCCCTGGTTCAAGCGATTCTCCTGCCTCAGCCTCCCAAGTAGCTGGGATTACAGGCGCCCGCCACCACACCCGGCTAATTTTTGTATGTTTAGAAGAGATGGGGTTTCACCACATTGGCCAGGCTGGTCTTGAACCCCTGACCTTCAGGTGATTCGCCTGCCTTGGCCTCCCAAAGTGCTGGGATTACAGGCATGAGCCATCGTGCCCGGCAACATTTAAACTTTGACTTTCCATTTGAGTGGGCTATGTCTGGTGGGGTATATTTATCATATTCTGTGGAGGGTTTTTTTTGTTGTTGTTGTTTTTGTTTTGAGACAGAGTCTCACTCTGTTGTCCAGGCTGGAGTGCAGTGGCGTGATCTCGGCTCACTGCAACCTCCGCCTCCTGGGTTCAAGCAGTTCTCCCGCCTCAGCCTCCTAAGTAGGTGGGATTACAGGTGCCCACCATCACATTGGGCTAATTTTTGTATTTTTAGTAGAGACGGGGTTTCTCCATGTTGGCCAGGCTGGTCTGGAACTCCTGACCTCAGGTGATCCACCCACCTCGTCCTCCCAAAGTGCTGGCATTATGGGTGTGAGCCACTGTGCCTGACCTATTCTGTGGATTTATAAACAAACAGCGTCTCCCAAAGTTTATTGAACATCTTCTCAAATCCTGTTTCAAGCACAAAACTTTTAACCACATTCAGAGGGTTTTAAACGAGCTTTGAGATGGGTCACTAGCTTCTCAGAAAATCCACATCTAAACTTCTCCAGTACACCGTGAGCTGTGCTCTAGCCAAAGAAAAATGGAAAGACAGAGAAAGGAGTTCTGAGAGCCTTTTTTTTTTTTTTTTTTTTTTTTTAAGGAAAAAGAAGAATTTATTCACTCAAGACTAAAAACTAAAGGCCTGGGCCTGAGAACTGAATCAGGTTAGTGTGTTTGTTTGATTGTTTTTTTTGCTTTCTTTGCGTTTGAGCTAGTCCATGAAAAGGGAAAGGAAGGGCGGTGAGAGAGGTGGGGAAGTTCAGGGCGGTCCTTGGCCTGCTTTGGGGCAGTGCTCGGCACACCCCTGTCCAAGTTCTCTTGCACACCCAGTTCCCAGGCATGGCTCTCCAATCTCAGCTCCCTCCTTTCTCTCCGGATTTTAGGTGGTTATGATGGATGACCAACCTCTGACCTTTGACTTTCGTACTGAGGTCTCAGCCTTTGCAGCTTCTCCCTCCAAAGCAGCTTTTCTTCTGATTCCTGATCTCAGTTCAGTGCTCAAAATAGCCTCTCCTTATTTTCTCCTGGTGTCAGTGTTAGGCCTGAATAACATCTCATGCTGTTCGTTAAACAGATGTCTGCTGCCAAAAAGTTGTTCTGATAGAAAATCCAAAATCATCGACCCCAAAAGCCAAGTCTGTCATTGGGCTAAAGTGCCATTCCTACTAATCCTTTGCCTCACCTGATTCATTTGGAATAAAGGGCCAGGAGCTTGAGTCACCCCCATGCCAGGACCTCTGTTGCTATTTGCTGGCTGCTGGAGAGGTGGGGTCTTGCGGGCCCTGGAGAGGTGGGGTCTTGTGGGGCAGAGCTGGAGCAGATGCTGCATCCAGCAGTAAGCATGAGAATGAGCACTCACAGTTTTGGGTCCTGTGCTGGACACTGTGCAAGTCCTGTGCATATATCACCTGTTGCATTTCCCACAGTGACCCAATGAAGTAGATACTGTTATCTTTACCATTTTATAGATGAGCAACCTGAGGCTTCACCAGAATTGCACAGTGAGAATGTGGCGTGGCCTGGATTCTCACGTCGGGAGTCGGATTGCAAAGCCTTACTGGGCCTCGCCGCGCCCCATGGCTGTCAGCGCATTCCATGCTGACCTGGCCGTGTATGCGTGCGTGTGTACGCATGTGTGTGCGTACGTGCACGTGTGTACATGTGTGTGTGCTTGTGTGCACACCACATGTGCCGTGTCCATAGGTCTGTCATCATATCAGGTAGGACTAGGTCGGCTCATAGCTTGGAAGGGCTTTGGAGACAGCCACTCTCCTAACAGATGGGAGAAGTTGTTTTGATTCTTACTAAGGTCCCAGAATCCTATTGATGGCTTTGCTGAGTATTGAAAGGCTGGCCTTAAATTAGGTTTGAAACTGAATTTGGTAATAGGACAGGATGTGTTAAGGAAGGGAAACATACAGGGAGCTGCCTGCTCTGGCAGCTGTTGAAAGTGAGCAGGCCACGGTGCCTGCAGTGGGAGTGGGGCAGCAGGCGTGTCACCTTGGGCCAGAGCACATGTCTTGTACACGGTTGCACCAATGCGTGAGGATGTAGGTCCCCAAGAGCCAAGAGAAGGGGAGCTTTGTTGAATACGTGATATTGGAGAAAGCTTTGGCCCAAAAGAACAAATTTAGATTCGTTCTCTCTGCAATACAAATGTATTCCAGTGGGTCAAAATGTTAATTATTATTAATTTCTTTTTTTGTTTCTTGAGTCAGGGTCTCACTCTGTCTCCCAGGCTGGAATGCAGTGGCACCATCTAGGCTTACTGCAGCCTTGACCTCCTGGGCTCAAGTGATCCTCCCACTTCAGCCTCCCAAGTAGCTAGGACTGCAGGTGCACGCCAGCACCACACCTGCCTAATTTTTGTGTTTTTTGTAGAGACGGAGTTTTGCCGTGTTGCCCAGGCTGGTCTCAAACTCCTGAGCTCAAGCAGTCCACTCACCTCATCCTCCCAAAGTGCTGGGATTACAGGCGTGAGCCACTGTGCCTGGCCAAAAAGTTAATTATTAAAAGTCAGGCCGGGCGCGGTGGTTCACGCCTGTAATCCCAGCACTTTGGGAGGCTGAGGCAGGGGAATCACAAGGTCAGGAGTTCGAGACCAGCCTGATCAACATGGTGAAACCCCGTCTCTACTAAAAATACAAAAATTAGCTGGTCGTGGTGGCACTTGCCTGTAATCCCAGCTACTCAGGAGACTGAGGCAGGAGAATCACTTGAACCCAGGAGGCGGAGGTTGCGGTGAGCCGAGATTGCGCCACTGCACTCCAGCCTGGGTGACAGAGCGAGACTCTGTCTCAAAAAAATAAAAAAAGAAAGTCGATTGTTTATGGATTAAAGAGTTAGATACATAGTTCGCAGCTGTAGAGCATCTAATAGGATATAACAGACTCACCATTATCTGGAGGAATGATACCGTCCTGAGCTTGAGGGTGAAGACAGAGATATTCAAGAACATAAAAGCTGAAAACGTCTGTGTTAAGACTCCTTTTGATCCAGGTTTCTGGACAGGAGAGTTTGCTGAGCATATGTGGAGGTGGCTCAGTACCCAGAGGCGGGTGGAGCTGGCCCCAGTCATGGCCTGTGCTCAGACGCTAGGACCAGAGCAATTTCTTCCTCATGTTTAAACTTTTCTCCTAGGCCACTGCCTTACCTTTCTCATGCTATAAACTGGCTTTCTCTGCCTCCTTGTTTATCCCTCCTAAGTTCAAAGAAGCAGTCAGCTGAGGAGGCTGCCTTTCCTCAGGCTGGCTCCAGCCCGGTTGGGAGGTGCCCGGATTAGCTGAGGCAGAGGTGGGGCTTGTGCAGAGAGCCTGGCTGCTGCCATGGAGACGGGAGGAAGCAGGCAAAAGAGCAGGCCTGCTGGCAAAGGATCAGAGGGCTGGGTAGGCGCAGGGATCAGTGTCCCGGAAATGTGAGGAAGGGCAAGTGCTGGCAGCAAAACAACATGGGCAATTTGGACTTCAGGAAAAGCTGCCACAAATACTCAGAAATAACACACATTTATAGACAAATAACGTGACTACAAGAAGAAAAAATTGTTCAAACTCTAAATTTTACAAGGCATATTTGTTTATTTTTTTGAGATGGAGTCTCACTCTGTCACCAGGCTGGAGTGCAGTGGCGTGATCTCGGCTCACTGCAGTCTCCACCTCCGGGTTCAAGCAATTCTCCTGTCTCAGCCTTCCAAGTAGCTGGGATTATAGGCACCCGCCCCCACACCTGGCTAATTTGTGTGTGTGTGTGTGTTTCGTAGACGGAGTTTCACCATGTTGACCAGGCTGGTCTCAAACTCCTGACCTCAAGTGATCTTCTCATCTCAGTCTCCCAAAGTGGTGGGATTACAGGCATGAGCCACCGCGCCCAGCCTACAGTGCATATGCAACAAGAAGTCATCATTTCATGCTTACTCAGTTCATGGGGGAATGTTTTCAGTCTTGAGACTCAGTGCTGGCGGAGTTACATCAAAGGTGGATGGCAGCAGAAAATCCTCAGCCCCTTTTCCAGAAGAATTTAGCTACACATATTTACATATACCCCAGGAAGCAGGCAAATGATGCTCATGAATCATCTCTAAGAATTCATGTGAGAGCCAGGCTTGGTGGCTCATACCTGTAATCCCACCACTTTGTGAGGCTGAGGTGGGTGGATCACTTGAGCCCAGGAGTTTGAGACCAGCCTGGGCAACATGGTAAAACCCTTTGTCTACAAAAAATTTAAAAATAAAAATAATTAAGGCCGGGTGCGGTGGCTCATGCCTGTAATCCCAGCACTTTGGGAGGCTGAGGCAGGCGGATCACCTGAGGTCAGGAGTTTGAGACCAGCCTGACCAACATGAAGAAACTCCATCTCTACTAAAAATACAAAATTAGCCAGTCGTGGTGATGCATGCCTGTAATCCCAGCTACTCAGGAGGCTGAGGCAGAAGAATCGCTTGAACCCCGGAGGCGGAAGTTGCACTGAACCGAGATTGCACCATTGCACTCCAGCCTGGGCAGCAAGAGTGAAACTCCATCTCAAAAAAAAAAAAAAAAAAAAAAAGCCAAGTTTGGCAGTATGTGTCTGTAGTCCCAACTACTCGGGAGGCTGAGGTGGGAGGATCACTTGAGCCCAGGGGGTGGAGGCTGCAGTGAGCCGAGATTGTGTCACTGCACTCCAGCCTGAGTGACAGAGCCAGACTGTCTCCAAAAAAAAAATTCATGTGGGGAAACATGGGAAGAGTTCAGCTGTGTGTTCCTTGCAGCACAATCTTTCATTGCAGAAGAATGGGAAGAATGGAAATGCCCAGTACTAGAAGAACGGATAAGGCTGTGGTGGCCTACGCACTTACTGGCCTTCACCGGAATATTCTGCAGCAGTGCAGAAAAATGAGTGATTGAATTTGAAGTGCAAGCAGCAGAATACTGTGATTTCAGTTCTGCCAGTCTCAAAATTAAATCTCATTTGTAAGGCAGGCAGTATTGTGGGAGAATTCCTCTAATGTATTTCATTCCCAGAGTGTTTATGCAGTGGCAGGAAGAGTACCATCAAGATGGGTTTAGTTTAAGTCAGTCTCCTAAGTATTTATGAAACACCCACTCGGTTTTCAGTAAGTGTGGTGAACTCGGTGTTTTGCCTCTTTCCCTGAACTTAGCGGTAGGTTCGGTATTAAGCTGCAGTGCTGCAGTGTGGATGGTGCCCTGCTTAGCAGATATTACAGTGCTTCTGCTGCTTGTTGAGCCTTGGCCTGGGGGTGTTTGAGCCAAATGCAAGGAGACCTGTCCTGAGGGACGCCCATGTCAATGGAGTCAGGTGGCAGCAGCTGGTACCCCTGCCTTTGGGATACTCCCGTGGTCACCCTAACAGCAGTGACCACAAGCAAGCACTTCTGTGCCAGCCGCGCCCCTCCTGCCACACTGACGGAGTGTAGCTTCATGAGGTGCGCGGTTGCTGTCACACACTAGAGAGGAAGAAACTGAGATGGAGGTAAGTCACAGCTCTGGGGCCACACAGCCAGGTGGGGACAGTCTTGGCCTCTGTCCATCCCAGATGAGGTCTCGCTATGTTGACCAGGCTGGCCTCAAGCAGTCTTCCTGCCTCAACCTCTGAGTACGGACACAGTTTTGAGCGCCCTATATGTGTATTAACAGTAACACATGAGACAGAGTAGGCCCTCTTTATCCGAGGGATACATTCCAAGACCCCCAGTGAATGCCTAAGACTGAGGCTAGTACCAAGCCCTGTATGTACACTAGGTTTTTCCCTACACGGTTGTCCCTCCCCTATGTCCTCAGTTCAACCAACCACAGATTGAAAAATATTGAAAACAATAAACATATAAACAATAAAATATTGAAAATAAAAAATACAATTTTTTCTTTTTAGATGGAGTCTCACTCTGTCACCCAGGCTGGAGTGCAGTGGCACGATCTCGGCTCACTGCAAACTCTGCCTCCTGGTTCAAGCGATTCTCCTGCCTCAGCCTTCTGAGTAGCTGGGACTACAGGTACACACCACCACACCTGACTAATTTTTGTATTTTTAGTAGAGGCAGGGTTTCACCATGTTGGCCAGGCTGGTCTCAAACTCCTGACCTCAGATGATCCACCCACCTCGGCCTCCCAAAGTTCTGGGATTATAGGCATGAGCCACCGCGCCCGGCCAAAAATAGAAAAATTTAGAAGTACAGCATAACGGCCGGGCACGGTGGCTCACGCCTGTAATCCTAGCACTTTGGGAGGCTGAGGCGGGCAGATCACCTGAGGTCAGGAGTTCGAGACCAGCCTGGCCAACAATGTGAAATCCCGTCTATACTAAAGACACAAAACTTAGCTGGACGTGGTGGCGTATGCCTGTAATCCCAGCTACTTGGGAGGCTGAGGCAGGAGAATCATCTGAACCTGGGAGATGGAGGCTGCAGTGAGCCGAGATCATGCCACTGCACTCTAGCCTGGGCAACAAAGCAAGACTCTGTCTCAAAAAAAAAAAAAAAAAAAGTACAGCATGACAACTGTTCATACAGCATTTACATTGTATTAGGTATCATAAGTAATCCAGGGATGACTTAAAGCATATGGGAGGATGCGAGTAGGTTATTTGCAAATATTTGGAGACAAAGCCTTGCTCTGCCACTCAGGCTGGAGTGCAGTGGCGCGATCGTGGCTCCCTGGAGCTTCAACCTCCCAGGCTCAAGCCATCCTCCTGCCTCAGCCTCCCAAGTTGCTGGGACTACAGGCACATGCCACCATGCCTCGCTAATTTAAAAAAAAATTTTTTTGTAGAATTTTTTTCTATGTTGCCTAGGTTTATTACAACATTATATTTTATTTTATTTATTTTTCGAGATGGAGTATCAATCTGTCACCCAGGCTGGAGTGCAGTGGTGCAGTCTCTGCTCACTGCAGCTTCCGCCTCTGGGTTCAAGCAATTCTCCTGCCTCAGCCTCCCAAATAGTGAGGACTACAGGCATCTGCCACCATACCCAGCTAATTTTTGTTTTTTGTTTTTTGTGGTTTTTTTTGTTTTTTGAAGCGGAGTCTCACTCTGTCGCCAGGCTGGAGTGCAGTGGCCCTATCTTGGCTCACTGCAACCTCCACCTCCCGGGTTCAAGCAATCCTCCTGCCTCAGCCTCCTGAGTAGCTGGGACTACAGGTGTGTGCTACCACACCAAGCTAATTTTTTTTGTATTTTTAGTAGAGATGAGGTCTCCCATGTTGGCCAGGATGGTCTCAATCTCTTCACCTCAGATCCACCCACCTCAGCCTCCCAAAGTGCTGGGATTACAGGCGTGAGCCACTATCCTTGGCCTGTTGTTTTTTTTTTTTTTTTGAGACGGAGTTTCATTCTTGTTGCCCAGGCTGGAGTGCAGTGGCGCAATCTCAGCTCACTGCAACCTCTGCCTCCTTGGTTCAAGGAATTCTCCTGCCTCAGCCTCCTGAGTAGCTGGCATTATAGGCATGTGCCACCACGCCCGGCTAATTTTTTTTGTATTTTTAGTAGGGATGGAGTTTCTCCATTTTGGTCAGGCTGTTCTGGAACTCCCAACCTCAGGTGATCCGCCCGTCTTGGCCTCCCAAAGTCCTGGGATTACAGGCGTGAGCCACCGCGCCCAGCCTGTTACACCATTTTATATAAAGGATTTGAGCATCCTGAAATGTTGGTATCTGTAGGAGTCCTGGAACCAACCTCCTATCGATACCAAGGGACAACTTTTCATTTTTAGCTATGATAAAGTTTATAAATTAGGCATGAGAGACTAGCAATGATAACTAATAAAATAGAACAAGTGTAACAATATGCCAGCATCTCTAATCTTGTATTTTGCAACCATTACCAAGTAAATAAGGGTTACTCAGACACAAGCACTGCTGTACGACGACAGTGGATCTGATCACCGAGACGGCTGCTGAGTAACTAACGAGTGGGGCGCGTCTACACTGTGGAGGTGCTGGACAGAGGGAGGAGTCGCCTCCTGGGCTGGTCGGAGTAGGACCTTGGGAGGTTTCATCACGCTACTCAGAACAGCATGCAGTTCAAAACTTATGACTTGTTCATTTCTGGAATTTTCCATTTAATATTTTCAGACCCCACTTTACCTCGGGTAACTGAAACCATGGAAAGAAAAACCATGGATGGAGGGGACAGCTGTGCTGCCGCCATCTCCCTTACACAGTTGAGTAAACCGAGGCACAGAAGAAAATGAAGTAGCCCCAGATGACGTAGGAAATGGCAGAACTGAAGGGAAAAGCAGAGCAGGGGGCTGTAGAGTTAAACTGTTCTTCATTCCGGTGGCACTAGACCTGCCCGGGCGGCCAGAGGACACGTGGCTCCTGTCCTGTCTGCCGTGTGGCTAGGGGACAGCCGTGCTTGTGCTGTGCCGTCTGAGTGTTTGTTTCTGTCTGTGGGAATAAAGGGGTTGCCAGACACCCTCCCTGCTCTGTGGAGGGAGGGTGGAATCATGCCTTTGGCCACTTTGCCCACTCCCCCTTGGGCCGGAGCATCAGCATTAGCTGTGCCACAGGGTGGTATGCGCTCTGCTGAAGGTGGCACCTTCAGGGAAAGGCAGTCTGCCGGGGAGGCTAGCGAGCACCCTGGGTAGGAGCTGAGCGTGGCCTCCGCGCCTCCTCATGGGAAGTGCTGGAGATGCAGGAGCCCCTGAGCCAGAGCCCAGCGCTCTTACAAGAGACCTCACTTCCTGTTCGGGGACTGGGGCTGCTAAGTCAGAGTGCGCCTCCTGCACCCGCCACCCTGGATGTGGTTCCATTCCCTGGTCCCTGAGCCATAGCTGGGGGGCATGAGACTGTCCCCTGGGCTGCTTTGGGGACCCTACTTCAGGGCAGCCCTGCCACTCCCTGTAACGGGCTGTGGGTCCTGCCCTGTGGCCTTCCTACCTCTCTTGCGTGTGGGTGAGCCTGAGCGTGGCCACCGCCCTGGGAGTGCCACAGAGGCAAGCGGCACTGGTCCTCATGTGTAAACAGCCCCACCAGCACGCGGGGCTGGAGTAGTCAGGCCGGGACCTGTCCCAGGAATGGGCAGGCTGTTAACCTAGGATGCATTCAAGTTAGGACACATTTCATTCCCGTGTAGCGGTGGCTCCCAGTTCCTCCGCAGAACCTGCAGGAGTGTGCGTGATGAAACCCGTCACTCGTTGTGTATGGTAGACATACCTGCCTGGGTCGTAATCACTTGTGAAGAAAATGAATTATGCTGTGACCTTTAGATACGATTCACATACCATAAAATTCACCCTGCCTTTTTTTTTTTTTTTTGAGATGGAGTCTCCTTGTCGTGCCCTGCCTAAATTCACCCTTTTAAACTGTATAATTCCATGGCTTTTAGTAGTCACAAGATTGTACAACTACATCACTAATTCTGAACATTTTCATCACCTCAAGAAGAAACCCCACACCCATTAGCCAGTCTCAATTCCTGCCTCACCTAACCCCGGCAGCCCACTTTATATCTCTGGATTTGCCTATTCTGAACATTTCCAGATAAATGGAATCATACAATATGTGGTCTTTTGTGTCTGCCTTTTTTTCACTTAGGTTCATAATGTTTTCAAGATTTATTTATATTGTCTCATGTATTAGCACTTTGGAGATTTTTTTAATGGCTGTATAATATTCTATACGGATATACCATGTTTTGTTTATCCACTTACTAGTTGATGAACATTTGGATTATTTCTACCCTTTGGCTATTATGAATTATGCTACTGTGAATAATCCTGTGTATACCTACAGGTGAACTGCTGAGTTAAGAGTCTTTTTGGCCTGGCGCGGTGGCTCACGCCTGTAATCCCAGCTCTTTGGGAGGCCAAGGTGGGCGGATCACTTGAGGTCAGGAGTTCATGACCAGCCTGGCCAACATGGTGAAACCCGATCTCTACTAAAAATACAAAAAATTAGCTGGGTGTGGTGGCGGGCGCCTGTAATCCCAGCTACTCGGGAGGCTGAAGCAGGAGAATTTGCTGGAACCCGGGAGGTGGAGGTTGCAGTGAGCCGAGATTGTGCCATTGCACTCCAGCCTGGGCAACAGAGCAAGACTCGATCTCAAAAAAAAAAAAAAAAAAAAAAAAAGAGTCTTTTTTCCTCCTGAGACCAAATACCTGGTGTCTTCTCTAATTCCACTTCTCCAACTCCTCAACACCAGCTATAGGTGTCCAGCAATTCAGTTCAATTCTGACACTGTCTACTTGGAGTTCATGTCTGATGCCACAGGTTAAAGACCCAGTCCCACAAGATTGCCTCCACTGAGGCAGTCTTTCTCTTTGGATAAATTCCTGTTTACATCCTTTGCCGGTTGCCAGTCCTGGGCCACTTGTCCCTCTGCCTGACAGGCTATAAATCAGACTATGACCCCCTCCACAGGATTGATAATTTGCTAGAATGGATCACAACATTCAGAAAGGTGTTTTACTTACTCTTAGCGGTTTATTATTAAGGATACAACTCAGGGACAGCCAGATAGCAGAGATGCACATGGCAAGGTATGGGGGCATGCGGAGCCCCTGCGCCCTCTCTGGGCATGCCATCCTCCCAGCACCTTTTGTTTGTTTGTTTGTTTTTTTGAGCAGGTCTCACTCTGTCGCCCAGGCTGAGTGCAGTGGCATGATCATGGCTCACTGCAGCGTCAGCCTCCTGGGCTCAAGCAACCCTCCCTCGGCCCCACAAAGCACTGGGATAACAGGCGTGAGCCACCGTGCCTGGCCTCCCAGCACCTCAATATGTTCAGTAGCCCGGATGCTCTCTGAACCCCATGGTTTAGGGATTTTTATGGAGGTCTCATGAGGTAGGCATGGTTGATTAAATCATTGGCCGTTGGTAATTAGCTCAATCTCTACTCCCTCTCCTTTCCCCAAAACTGAAAGTTTTGAGCTTCCAATCAAGGCTTGGTCTTTCCGGCCCCCATCCCGAAGCAGTACAGGAGCCCACCAGAGCTGCCCCATTCGAACAGGAGCAGCTGCTATCACCCTTCATCACTCAGGAGATTCTGAGGTTTTAGGAGCTCTGTGCCAGGAACAGGGGACAAAGACCAAATACCTCTCTATAATGCCACGTGGGTCTTATGATCACGAACTCTGTGTTTAACTTTTTCAGGAATTACAAAGCTGTTTTTCAGAGTGGCCTGACCTATTTTTTTATTTCCACCAGCAATGTATGAGAGTTCTAATTTCTCTACATCCTTGTCAACACTTGTTATTGTCTGTGTTTAATAATAGCTATCCTAGCGGGTGTGACGTGGCATGCCTTTGTCTTTCTGATTTCCCGTGGTGTTGAGCATCTTGTCATGTGCTTATTGGTTGTTCGTGTATCTTTTTTGGAGAAATTCCTGTTTAAATCCTTTGCCCATTTTAAAAGTGGATGATTTGGCCAGGTGCAGTGGCTCACTCCTGTAATCCCAGCACTCTGGGAGGCCAAGGCGGGCGGATCATGAAGTCAGGAGTTCAAGACCAGTCTGACCGATGTGGTGAAACCCCGTCTTTACTAGAAATACAAAAATTAGCCAGGTATGGTGGTGCGTGCCTGTAATCCCAGCTACTCAGGAGGCTGAGGCAGGAGAATCGCTTGAACCCAGAAGGCAGAGTTTGCAGTGAGCCGAGATTGCGCCACTGCACTCCAGCCTGGGTGACAGAGCAAGACTCTGTCTCTAAATAAATAAATAAATAGGATGATTTGTCTTTTTGTTGCTGAGATAAAAAGAGTTCTTGGCCAGGCGCGGTGGCTCACGCCTGTAATACCAGCACTTTGGGAGGCCAAGGCGGGTGGATCACCTGAGGTTGGGAGTTCGAGACCAGCCTGACCAACATGGAGAAACCCGTCTCTACTAAAACTACAAAAAATTAGCTGGGCGTGGTGGCACATACCTGTAATCCCAGCTACTCGGGAGGCTGAGGCAGGAGAATTGCTTGAACCTGGCAGGTGGAGGTTGTGGTGAGCCGAGATCGTACCATTGCACTCCAGCCTGGGCAACAAAAGCGAAACTCCGTCTCAAAAAAAAAAAAAAAGTTATTTACATATTCTCGATACTAGACCTTTATTAGATGGATGATTAGCAAATGTTTTTCTCCCGTTCTATAGGTTTTTTCTCTTTTTTTTTTTTTTTTTGAAACAGAGTCTCGCTCTGTCGCCAGGCTGGAGTGCAGTGGTGTGAACTCGGCTCACTGCAACCTCCACCTCCCGGGTTCAAGCAATTCTCCTGCCTCAGCCTCCCGAGTAACTGGGACTACAGACGCACGCCACTACACCCGGCTAATTTTTGTACTTTTAGTAGAGACGGGGTTTCACCATGTTGGCCAGGATGGTCTCGATCTCCTCACCTTGTGATCCACTTGCCTCGGCCTCCCAAAGTGCTGGGATTACAGGCGTGAGCCACCATGCCCGGCCCGGCCCTTTTTTGTTGTTTTTTGTTTTTTTTTGTTTTGTTTTTGGAGACGGAGTTTCGCTGTTGTTGCCCAGGCTGGAGTGCAATGGCACGATCTCGGCTCATTGCAACCTCCACCTCCTGAGTTCAAGCAATTCTCCTACCTCAGCCTCCTGAGTAGCTGGGATTACAGGTGCCTGCTACCATGCCCGGCTAATTTTTGTATTTTTAGTAGAGACGGTGTTTCAGCACGTTGGCCAGGCTGGTCTCGAACTCCTGACCTCAGGTGATCCACCCACCTCAGCCTCCCAAAGTGCTGAGATTATAGGCGTGAGCCACTGCACCTGGCCTTTTTTTTTTTTTTTTTTTTTTAACGAGACAGGGTCTGGCTCTGTTGCCCAGGCTGGAGTGCAGTGGTATGATCATGGCTCACTGCAACCTTGAACTCCTGGGCTCAGGTGACCCTCCTTCCCCGGCCTCTTGAGTAGCTAAGACTACAGGCATGTACCACCATACCTAGCTAATTTTTTTATTTTTTGGAGAGATGAGGTCTTATTATGTTGCCCAGGCTGGTCTTGAACTCCTGGTCCCAAGTGATCCTCCTGCCTCAGCTTCCCAAGTAGCTGGGACTACAGACGTGCACCACCACGCCCAGCTAATTTTTGTATTTTTAGTAGAGATGAGGTTTTACCATGTTGGCCAGAATGGTCTCTATCTCTTGATCTTCTGATCGGCCCAGCCCGGCCTCCCAAAGTGCTGGAATTACAGGCATGAGCTATCACGCCTGGCCTTTTTTTTTTTTGATTCGGAGTTTTACTCTTTTGCCCAGGCTGGAGTGAAGTGGCATGATCTGGGCTCATTGTAACCTCTGCCACCCCCCACCGGCCCCAGTATTTTTAGTAGAGACGGGGTTTCACCATGTTGGCCCAGCTGGTCTCAAACTCCTGACCTCAGGTGATCCACCTGCCTCGGCCTCCCAAAGTGCTAGGATTACAGGCGTGAGTCACCACATCTGGCTAATATTTGTATTTTTAGTAGAGATGGGGTTTCACCATGTTGGCCACGCTGGTCATGAACTCCTGACCTCAAGTGATCCTCCCACCTTGGCCTCCCAAAGTGCTGGGATTATAGGCGTGACCCACTGCACCTAGCCTATTTTGTATTTTTCAGTGTACACATCTTACACGTCTCCTCTCAAATTTATTCCTAAGTCTTTTATTATTTTTGATGCTATCATAAGTAGAATTGTTTTCTTGATTTCATTTCAGACTGTTCATTGCTAGTGTATAGAAATACAATTGATGTTTGTATATTGGTCTTGTATATATCCTGCAAGCTTGCTGAACTCATTTATTAGCTCTAATAGTTTTTTGTTTATCCTTTCTCCTTAAGTCTTAATGTTTAAGCTGAAATTACCTTTCAGGTCAGAAAGCAACATTGAATGCAGAAGAAATGGCGGACTTCTACAAGGAATTTTTAAGTAAAAATTTTCAGAAGCACATGTATTATAACAGGTAGGTGTTTACTCTTTTCCTGAAAATTTGAATAGCACATCCAGATTAGGTAGGAGTGTTTTCTTACCTGAATTTAACAACATTCATGTTTATATCAGAGGTAGAAGTTGCAAGACTTTATCAACTTTTTTTTTTCTTTTTTTCTTTTTTTTTTTTTTTTTGAGACGGAGTTTCGCTCTCTCGCCCAGGCTGGAGTGCAGTGGCGCCATCTTGGCTCACTGCAAGCTCCGCCTCCTGGGTTCACGCCATTCTCCTGCCTCAGCCTCCCGAGTAGCTGGGACTACAGGCACCCGCCAGCACGCCTGGCTAATTTTTTGTATTTTTAGTAGAGACAGGGTTTCACCGTGTTAGGCAGGATGGTCTCAATCTCCTGACCTCGTGATCCGCCTGCCTTGGCCTCCCAAAGTGCTGGGATTACAGGCATGAGCCACTGCGCCTCGTCTATCAACTTTATTTTTTAAGTGACTGCAGTGGCTTAAAAAGATACCAATTTTTTTAGGTCGGGTGTGGTGGTTCACACCTGTAATCCCAGCACTTTAGGAGGCCAAGGTGGGCAGATCACCTGAGGTCAGGAGTTCAAGACCAGCCTGACCAACATGGAGAAACCCTGTCTCTACTAAAAATACAAAATTAGCCAGCTGCTCCGGAGGCTCAGTCAGGAGAATCGCTTGAACGTGGAAGGTGGAGGTTGCGGTGAGCTGAGATCGTGCCATTGCACTCCAGTCTGGGCAAGGAGAACAAAACTCCATCTCAAAAAAAAAAAAAAAAAAAAAAAACGGGTTTTAGCTGGTTACAGATAATAATGACCTGTATTTACAGGTGAAATTAATAGGACATGATATCTGAGATTTGCTTTAAAATATTTGTAGGCTGGATACGGTGGCTCGCACCTGGAATCCCATGACTTTGGGAGGCCAAGGTGGGTAGATCACTTGAGTCCAGGAGTTCAAGACCAGTCTGGGCAACATAGTGAAAGGCTTGAGCTAGGAGGACCACTTGAGCCTGGGAGGTTAAGGCTACAGTGAGCCGAGATCCGGCCACTGCATTCCAGCCTGGATGGCAGACAGAGTAAGACCCTGTCTCAATAAATAAATAAATAAGTAAGTAATTAAAAAAATATATATATATATATAAAACAGTTCCAGAGTTACAAAGCCTGATGGGCAGGTGAAGCCAGACTTCAAGAATGTCGACATGGGCCAGGCACGGTAGCTCACACCTGTACTCCCAGCACTTTGGGAGGCCAAGGCAGATGGATTGCTTGAGCCCAGGAGTTTGAGACCAGCCTGGACAACATGACAAAACCCTGTCTCTACAAAAAATACAAAAATTAGCTTGGTGTGGTAGTGTGCACCTGTAATCCCAGCTACAGGAGGCTGAGGCAGGAGGATCCCTTGAGCCCAGGAGGTGGAGGTTGCAGTGAGCCGAGATCCCGCTACTGCACTCCAGCCTGGGCTACAGAGTGAGACCCTAATAAAAAAAGAGAATATAGATACAGTCAAAGGCTGGATGGACTCAGTGAGGGACAGTCTGACCTAAAGATTAGTCCTGAAATATCTGGATTCCATTTCTAAGGTTGTCATGTATTACTCTGAATTAGTTAAGTCATTCAAACAAGCGAGTATAATCTTTCCCTGGTCTTTGGACACGTAGCTTGTTTGCACGGGGCACAGTCTCTGATGGGCTTCATGTTTTCTCTGTGGCACTCGGGTGAAGAGGACCAGCCTTACCCAAGATCAGGCCTTAGAGGAGCCTGGCCCCCACCACCACCTCCTGCCCCTGCCTTCCCTGTGGCAACAGCAGAAGTGTAGCTTGCTTTTACATGTCATAGAATCAGGTCGTCTGTATTAGTGAAATGGAATATGGCTTTTCCTTGAAGAACTGTAATCCCCATGGGCTACCGGTTTTCTTCTCCTGGAAGCGCTTATTTACTTTGGGCACTGCTCCTCATGACAGCATTGCTTAAGTAGGTGGAGGTGTAAAGGTGGTTTGCAGGTGGAGAGGAACTTTCTGTCCTGCCATGCAGAGCCTCCAGAGTGGTCGTGGCCCATCACATCCCTAAAATGCTGCCAGCTCGGCAGGCCTGGGGTTTCCAAGGGCTCTCTTGGATCTTTTAGCAAAAATCAAAGGAGTACTTAAGAGGCTGAGGCAGAAGAATTACTTGAACCCAGGAGGCAGAGGTTGCAATGAGCCAAGATTGTGCCACTGTACTCCAGCCTGGACAACTAAGCAAGATGAAAAAACAAAACAAAAAAAACTCCAAAGGAGGGGCCGGGTGCGGTGGCTCACACCTGTAATCCCAGAACTTTGGGAGGTTGAGGCAGGTGGGTCAGGAGATCGAAACCATCCTGGCTAACACGGTGAAACCCTGTCTCTACTAAAAAAAAAAAATACAAAAAATTAGCCGGGTGTGGTGGCGGGCGCCTGTAGTCCCAGCTACTCGGGAGGCTGAGGCAGGAGAATGGCGCGAACCCGGGAGGCGGAGCTTGCAGTCAGCCGAGATCGCGCCACTGCACTCCAGCCTGGGCGACAGACCGAGACTCCGTCTCAAAAAAAAAAAACACCAAAGGAGGATGGTGGCGGCCTCCAGAAACAGGGCTGGAGAGGACTCCAGGCGTCGCCAGTGGGCCTCACTCTCAGCCTGAGGAGAGGCAGGCCTCTATGAATAGTTTAGCTTTAACAAGGGCAGGGAAAGGGCAAAGCAGTTGAGGCCTGGTCAGTTGAACTCATCCTCAACTGGGAGCCACTTCTGGGCCAGGGCACCAAGCCTCAGTCCCTGCCACCGTGTCACCTGTGCATCCTCTGTTTCTCTACAGAGATTGGTACAAGCGCAATTTTGCCATCACCTTCTTCATGGGAAAAGTGGCCCTGGAAAGGATTTGGAACAAGCTTAAACAGAAACAAAAGAAGAGGAGCAACTAGGAGTCCACTCTGACCCAGCCAGAGTCCAGGTTTCCACAGGAAGCAGATGGAGCTCCTTTCACAGGGGCTCTGAGAAAAACTGGAGCTGATCTCAAGAAGCCCCACATCTTCCTAAGGGGCCCCATGGCCTGTTTGGGGGCAGGGTAGGTCCTGGGGCACTGTGGGCCGCCTGCCTGCTGATGTGGGCTCTAGGCCAGCTTGTTGTCACGTACGTGGTGTGAAATAAAGCCCAAGCACTGGGTGCCCGTTTCCTGTGTTTCGAATTATACCAATTCAAAACAGAACTATTTAAAAATATTGGCCAGGCACGGTGGCTCACACCTGTAATCCCAGCACTTTGGGAGGCCGAGGCGGGTGGATCACTTGAGATCAGGAGTTCAAGATCAGTCTGGACAACATGGCAAAACCCTGTCTCTACAAAAAATTAGCTGGGTGTGGTGGCACGCACCTGTAATCCCAGCTGCTCTGGAGGCTGAGGCATGCGACGCTTGAACCCAGGAGGCGGAGGTTGCAGTGATCCAAGATCGCACCACTGCACTCCAGCCTGGAAGACCAAACGAGACTCTGTATCAAAAAATAATAATAATTAATAAAGTTTTACTGGAAAAAAGAAGTCTGCTGACGGGAATGATGTGGAAGCTGACTGCCAAGCGATCGGTGTGCTGGCCGTGGAGTCAGCACCACCCTCACTGTGAGTCGTCAGCTGGTGGGTCCTCACAGGCTGCGTCCTGAATGCAGTGCGGTGTGAGGACATGAAAGCAAATGCAATTTTATTGCATGCCAAAAAGTTTAACTTGATTCTTGGTGTTAACTATGTTAGTAGATTCTTCAATGCTATAAGCAAATTAACAAGAAACAGCAGCACTATTTTCCTCTTTTCTTAAACACGAAGGTTAAATGGCCAGGCATGGTGACTCATACCTGTAATCCCAACAATTTGGGAGGCCAAGGCAAGCAAATCACTTGAGCTCAGGAGTTCGAACCAGTTTGGGCAACATGGCGAAACCCTGCCTCTACAAAACATGCAAAAATTAGCTGGGCATGGTAGCATGCGCCTGTAGTCCCAGCTACTCGGGAGGCTGAGCTTCGAGGATTGATTGAGCCAGTGAGGTCCAGGCTGCACTAAGCCAAGATCCTACCACTAGGCAACAGAGCCAGACCCTGTCTCAAATAAAAATTTAAAAAAATAATAAAAAAGGCCGGGCGCACTGGCTCACGCCTGTAATCTCAGCACTTTGGGTGGCCAAGGTGGGCGGATCACCTGAGGTCAGTTCAAGACCAGCCTGGCCAAACATGGTGAAACCCTGTCTACAAAAATTAGCCAGGCATGATGGAGGGTGCCTTTAGTCCCAGCTCTTTGGGAAGCTGAGGCGGGAGAATAGCATGAACCAGGGAGGTGGAGGGTGCCTGTAATCCCAGCTCCTTGGGAGGCTAAGGCAGGAGAATAGCATGAACCCGGTAGGTGGAGGTTGCAGTGAGCCGAGATCGCGCCACTGCACTCCAGCCTGGGCGACAGAGCAATACTCCCGTCTCAAAAAAAAAAAAATTAAATGATTGTGATATGTGTTACTTTTGGTCACAAATAAATTGTAATTAAGATTATTCTGGCCAGGTGCGGTGGCTCACGCCTATAATCCCAGCACTTTGGGAGGCCGAGGTGGGCAGATCATGAGGTCAGGAGATCGAGACCATCCTGCCCAACATGGTGAAACCCCGTTTCTACTAAAAATGCAAAAATTAGCTGGGTGTGGTGGCGTGTGCCTGTAATGCCAGCTACTCGGGAGGCTGAGGCACGAGAATCACTTGAACCCAGCAGGCAGAGGTTGCAGTGAGCCAAGATTGCGCCACTGCACTCCAGCCTGACGACAAAGCGAGACTCCGTCTCAAAAAAAAAAAAAAAAGATTATTCTAGGCCTGGCACGGTGGCTCACGCCTATAATCCTAGCACTTTGGGAGGCCGAGTGGGTGGATCACTTGAGGTCAGGAGTTTGAGACCAGCCTGGCCAACATGGTGAAACTTCGTCTCTACTAAAAATATAAAAATTAGCCAGGCGTGGTGGCACATGCCTATAGTCCCAGCTACTTGGGAGGCTGAGGCAGGAGAATTGCTTGAACCTGGGAGGCAGAGGTTGCAGTGAGCTGAGATAGTACCACTGCACTCCAGCTTGGGTGGCAAAGCAAGACTCCATCTCAAGAAAAAAAAAAGATTGGCCTAGCGCAGTGGCTCACGCCTGTAATCTCAGCACTTTGGGAGGCCGAGGCTGGCGGATCACGAGGTGGAGAGATCAAGACCATCCTGGCCAACATGGTGTAACCCCAGCTCTACTAAAAATACAAATATTAGCTGGGCATGTTGGCGCACGCCTGTAGTCTCAGCTACTCGGGAGGCTGAGGCAGGAGAATCACTTGAACCCGGGAGGCAGAGGTTTCAGTGAGCTGAGATCGCACCACTGCACTCCAGCCTGGGTGACAGAGCAAGACTCCATCTTAAAAAAAAAAAAAAAAGATTATCCAGCTGGGTGTGGTGGCTCATGCCTGTAATCCCAGCACTTTAGGAGGGCGGATCACCTGAGGTCAGGAGTTCGAGACCAGCCTGGCCAACATGGTGAAACCCCGTCTCTACTAAAAATACAAAAATTAGCCGGGTGTTGTGGCAGGCGCCTGTCATCCCAGCTACTCAGGAGGCTGAGGCAGGAGAATTGCTTGAACCTGGGAGGCAGAGGTTGCAGTGAGCCGAGATCGTGCCACTCACTCCAACCTGGATGACAAGTAAAACTCTCTCTCCAAAAAAAAAAAAAAAAAATTAACCCAAAAATTTGTATGCTCAAGTTTTTTTTTAATTAGGTTAATATAATTGTAACAGCCATATTCAAATAAAGTATTTCTGTGGGCTTTTAAATAGTTACAAAATAAAGCTTATCTCAGTGATGTGGGTTTTTGGTTTTTTTGTTGTTGTTGTTTTTTGAGACGGTGTCTTGCTCGTTCGCCCAGGCTGGAGTGCAGTGGCGCGATCTCAGCTCACTGCAACCTCTGCCTCCCAGGTGCAAGCGATTCTCCTGTCTCAGCCTTCCAAGTAGCTGGGACTACAGGTACGTGCCAACACACCCAGCCAATTTTTGTATTTTTAGTAGCGACAGGGTTTCACCATGTTGGCCAGGATGGTCTTGATCGCTTGACCTCACGACCTGCCCACCTCAGCCTCCCAAAGTGTTGTGATTACAGGCGTGAGCCACCGCGACCAGCCCACTGATGTGTTTTATACCACTTTTCCCACAAAATGCATGTTTGTTAAAATTCCAAATATTTTAAATATTTTAATTTGGAGTTTAAAAGCAAAATAATATTGAGTCTCTTTCTCCCACTTTGTGTGTTGGGTGGTCTTTGTAGAAACTGATTTTTTACCTGCTCATATTCACCCAAAAAAAGGAGCCGGATGTGGCTAACAGAAGTTCAGCAGGACTCACGAGGGCTATCTCAGGTCAGTGAAAACAGGATATCTAATGCCTTTTCCTCTTTCTGTTTTGTTTTGACACGGAGTCTCGGTCTGTCACTCAGGCTGGAGTGCAGTGGCATGATCTCTGCTCACTGCAGGCTTCACCTCCCGGGTTCAAGCAATTCTCCTGCCTTAACCTCCAGAGTAGCTGGGATTACAGGTGTGTACCACCACGCCTGGCTAATTTTTGTATTTTTAGTAGAGATGGGGTTTCACCATGTTGGCCAGGCTGGTCTCAAACTCCTGACCTCGTGATCTGCCCACCTCGGCATCCCGAAGTGCTGGGATTACAGGTGTGAGCCACCGAGCCCGGCCTTCCTTGTTTTTATTTAATCCTAATAATGTACCGGAAGCTGCACCTGCCTGCAAGCCTCAGCTCCCTTGAGGCCATCCCGTAGCTCTGGCAGAGCCCCCAGCAGGGCTCCAGTTGGCGTCAGGTACAGCATTTGCTCTGCACAAATGCTGGAGTTATAATGATTAATAGAAGCATCTTCAAGAAAAACCTCCCCAGGGAAAGGCCGCCGTGTGGGGAGCATCTTTAGGAGCTGCAGCTGGAGGACCCGGGCCTGCCCACACACATGCTGCTCTTTAAAGGAAGCGGAATTGCATCAGGGCTACGGAGAAGCCTTGCCTTGGGGCAGCAGTGCTACCCTGCTTCGATCTTTTGCGCCTAAGAGGACAAAGCTTGAGAGCTGTTTTCTGACAAGCCCTTTAGTCTGCTTCCAGCACGGGGAAGTGGCTGCTTCCAAGCCTTTGTGCCTCAGGCACACGCTGAGCCTTCCGCCCCCAGCAGAGGAGTGAGCCACAGAAGGCCCTTTGTTCTGTACATTTGCAAGGAGTATTTTAGACTTCTGATTAATGGAGAAACCACGCAACTCCTGGCAGATTGTATGACAGTTTTCTGTTTGCTGATTTTTTTTATTTTTATTTTTGCTACCAGCACTTTTTTTTTTTTTTTTTTTAAGAAAAACAGCAACAAGGCCGGGTGCGGTGGCTCACGCCTGTAATCCCAGCACTTTGGCGTGACCCCCGCACGAGGTCAGGAGTTTGAGACCAGCCTGGCCAGTGTGGTGAAACCCCGTCTCTACTAAAAATACAAAAATTAGCTGGGCCATGGTGGCGCATGCCTGTAACCCCATCTACTCAGGAGACTGAGGTAGGAGAATCGCTTGACCCCAGGAGGCAGAGGTTGCAGTGAGCCGAGATCGCACCACTGCACTCCTGCCTGGGCGTCAGAGTGAGCCTCCGTCTCAAAACACAATCAAACAAACAAACAAAAAACAGAAACAAAAATAGCTCTATTCTGCTGAGATTTTTAAAGTTAAAATTGTAACAGTGTGTCTGGTTAGGAAATCGGAGCAGCATAGGAAGGAGTAGATGACAAAGGAATAGGCTTCCTTTCTAAATCCATAATTAATTTTCCTGAAGGTGAGGCTGGAGGTTCCTGTTCTGAAAGCCCCCTTATTGGGAGGCAGCCAGTAGAGTTTGGGGTCTGGGTGCTGCTGGCATTTTCCTCCCCGTGGCCCACTGGGTTCGCCTTCCCAGAGTCTTATTAGATTCCCTCTCAGGCTCCCCCATGCTTGCATTATTTTTTTGCCTTTTAACATAGATCCCTTCTGAACGGTGTGCTACAGCGCCTTCATTCCTTTCCAGAGTATTTTCCTCTGTGATGCATGCTCTGCAGTGGATCAGCTTTTGTCGTGGATGGCTGAGCGTGAGGCTGAGCCACCCCTGCCTCCTGGTGGATGTGGGCCGCACCCCTCCAGCTGGTCCCACCTGCCGACCAGCTGTTCTGGTTGCTCCCTCATCTATAGGCTGCAAGCGTTTGAAGGGAGGAGATGTGGGGAATGGTTAAAATCTGTCAATGTTTATTCAGCCGAGAAATACTGAGCACCTGCTCTGCTGGGCACAAGGGCCCCGATGTTGGTAGTTCATTGTTGCTCCCCCTGCAAAGACTAGCAAGATTTAAAGTAAGAGAAAAAAGCCAGCCACATAATGTAGACCCCACCAGAATGTTTTACAGAATCAGCTGATCTGACTCATGTTTACATTCCCAGTTAATCATAGATTTCAATTATATTCTTTTTTTTTTTTTTGAGACCGAGTCTCGCTCTGTCCCCAGGCTGGAGTGCAGTGGCGCGATCTTGGCTCACTGCAACCTCCACCTGCTGGGTTCAAGCGATTCTTCTACCTCAGCCTCCCGAGTAGCTGGGACTACAGGTGCGCGCTACCACCACCAGCTAATTTTTGTGTTTTTAGTAGAGACAGTGTTTCACCATATGGGCCAGGCTGGTCTCAAACTCCTGACCTCATGATCCGCCTGCCTCGGCCTCCCAAAGTGCTGGGATTACAGGCTTGAGCCACCGTGCCCAGCCTATTCTTAACTTTCAATTGCAGAAGGCTCTCTACTCACAAGGTCCAGCAATTACATCTGAGTGCTCATTAATAAAAATGATTTCTTGCTATGTCACAATGAAAGCACTGTGAAATTAATAGCCAAGTTTTAAGACATGAAATTTCTTTTTTTTTGAGACAGGGTCTCACTCTGTCCCCCAAGCTGGAGTACAGTGGCGCACTCTCCGCTCACTGCAACCTCTGCCTCCCAGGTTCAAGCGATCCTCCTGCCTCAGCCTCCTGAGTAACTGGGAGTACAGGCACTGGCCACCACACCAAGCTAATTTTTATACTTTTGTAGAGACGGTTTCACTATGTTGGCCAGGCTGGTCTCGAATTCCTGGGCTTAAGCGATCTTCCCACCTCATCCTCTCAAAATGCTGGGATTACAGGCATGAGCCACTGCTCCCGGCCAAGACATGAAATTTCAAGTAGGGATGTACATACAATTACAGGAGCCCTTCAAGTCACCTGTCATACTCCGTACCTGGCCTCATCTATCTGGAGCCTCAGGTGTAGCCTAGAATGCCCTCACAACCACTCCCCACTGCACAAAGACACGGCTCCCCTATGAAACCGCAGTCTCCCCTGGCTGGACAGGTGCTCCTGCTCTGTGCCCCTCAGTGCTCTGGACAAGCCTCAGTGATTTACAGAACTCTGGCCAGGCAAGGTGGCTCACGCCTGTAATCCCAGCACTTTTAGGAGTCTGAGGCAGGTGGATCACCTGAGGTCAGGAGTTGGAGACCAGCCTGGCCAACATGGTGAAACCCCATCTCTACGAAAAATACAAAAATTAGCCAGGTGTGGTGGTGGGTACCTGTAATCCCAGCTACTTGGGTGGCTGAGGCAGGAGAATCATTTGAACCTGGGAGCCAGAGGTGGTAGTGATCTGAGATTGCGCCACTGCACTCCAGCCTGGGAAACAGAGAGAGACTCTGTCTCAAAAAAAAAAAAAAAAACAAAAAAGCCTGGCACAGTGGCTTATGCCTGTAATCCCAATACTTTGGGAGGCCACTGCAGGCAGATCACGAGGTCAAGAGATCAAGACCATCCTGGCCAACATGGTGAAACCCTGTCTCTACTAAAAATACAAAAATTAGCTGGGTGTGGTGGCACACATTTGTAGTCACAGCTACTCGGGAGGCTGAGGCAGAAGAATCGCTTGAATCCGGGAGGCGGAGTTTGCAGTGAACCTTGATCGAGCCACTGCACTCCAGCCTGGCGACGAGCAAGACTCCATCTCAAAAAAAAAAAAAAAAGAGTCTGGATGCAGTGGCTCACGCCCGTTATCCCAGCCCTTTGGGAGGCCAAGGTGGTTGGATCACCTGAGGGCGGGAGTTCGAGACTAGCCTGACCAACATGGAGAAACCCCATCTCTACTAAAAATACAAAAAATTAGCCGGGCGTGGCGGTGCATTCTTGTAATCCCAGCTACTCAGAGGCTGAGGTAGGAGAATTGTTTGAACCCGAGAGGCGGAGGTTGCGGTGAGCCAAGATCACGCCATTGCACTCTAGCCTGCGCAACAAGAGCAAAAGTCCATCTCAAGAAAAAAAAAAAAGAAAAGAAAAGAAAAATTCTAGATTTACAGAACCCACTCGGCCGTCCTGTCATTGGTAATGTGTCAGCCTCTCCACACACACCAGCATCTGCCTGGCGGGGGTGAGTCATACTCATCTCGGGTATCCAGGAGCCTCCCACTCAGAGCACTTGCTCCATGAATGAATGCAGAGGCTCATGAGAAGAGGAGTGTAGTGAGGATAGACTTGTGCTTGCCTGGCATTTCTGGGGCCCAGGCCTCCCCATTCTGTGCCCATGTGGCTCTAGAAAGGCCAAAGCCACCTCCTCTACAGAGCTGGGCACACTAGCCAGCATCGCTGGCCAAAGCTAGCCCAGGCCTTCCCAGAGCAATGAGGAAAAAAGACCCAGCACTTTCTTCCCAGGGGGTTCTGAAGTCAAGGGTGTGAGTCTGGTAGTGATCCTGCCCAAGGATGAAGTCAACTCTGCAGAGCAGTGCTGAGAAATGGAAAGAGGAAGATTCCAGACAGGAAGGGTGGAGTGCCTGGATCCAGCCATGCCTGGGGCCTCAGATCACCCTCCAACTTTGAGGTATTTGCTTGAAATTTGATTCAAGTTTCTTTACCTGCACCCCAGAAGCCTGACTGACCCAGATTACCTCAAATAGCACATGCCTAGAGTGGCCTCTGAGGTCTCAGTTCTTGGGGTGGGGGTAGTAAAGGGGGTGGTGTGATCCGAGTACATTTCAATCAACATCCAGTTGGCTCTGAGTCCTGGGGTCCACCTGAAACCAAGCCAGGCTGGCAGAGGCCATGAGCCCATCTCTGGGCCTGACCATCAGAGGCATCCCCAGTTGATTTCGAACAGCCTGAGATACCCTCTGGGAAGGGAGTGTGGGTGCCAGGAGTCTGTAATGAGATAATCATCACACAGTGAGAAGGAGAGGTCATCCCAGTAAGCACCTGGGGGGCTTGGGATGCTGGCACAGTGCAAGAGGCCTGTCCCTCGGGGATTCTTAGCGAATGAGCCTTGTCACTTGAAAATGAATGTGCCATTGTAAAGAACTCAGGCAGGGGCAGTGGTTCATGCCTGTAATCCCAGCACTTTGGGAGGCCGAGGCAAGCAGATACTTGAGGTCAGGAGTTCCAGACAATCCTGGCCAACATGGTGAAACCCCTTCTCTACTAAAACTACACAAAAATGGCCGGGTGCAGTGGCTCACGCCTGTAATCCCAGCACTTCGGGAGGTCGAGGCAGGTGGATCACCTGAGGTCAGGACTTCGAGACCATCCTGGCCAACATGGTGAAACCCCGTCTCTACCAATAATACAAAAAATTAGCTGGGCATGATGGCAGGCGCCTGTAATCCCAGCTACTCGGGAGGCTGAGGCAGGAGAATCACTGAAACCCGGGAGGCGGAGGTTGCGGTGAGCCGAGATCGTGCCGTTGCACTCCAGCCTGGGCGACGAGTGAAACTCCGTTTCAAAAAACAAAAAAATTAACTGGGTGTGGTGGCTCGTGCCCATAATCCCAGCTACTTGGGAGGCTGGGACGGGAGAATCTCTTGAACCCCGAGATGGTGGTTTCCATGAGCTGAGATCACGCCACTCCACTCCAGCCTGGGCGGCTGAGCGAGACTCCATCTCAAAGCAAAAACAAACAAACAAAAAATTAGCCAGACATGGTAGTGGACACCTGTGGTCCCAGCTCCTGGGGAGGCTGAGGCATGAGAATCACTTGAAACCAGGAGGCAGAGGTTGCAGTGAGCTGAGATCTCACCATTGCACTCCAGTCTGGGCGACAGAGCGATATCCTGTCTCAAAAAAAAAAACAAACAAACAAACAAAAAACTGATGCCACTACACACCTGTTAGAATGGCTGCTGACATACAAAACATTGACTGCTGGGTGAGGTGTCAAAGCTCCAGCATCAGAAAGTGGTCCACTCGAGGGTTGGTAAGAAAAATTTACTGGCGACAGTATAGGTTTGAAAAAGGAACGTTTGGCCTGATGTGGTGGTTCAGGCCCGTATGTAATTCCAACATTATGGGAGTCCGAGGCAGGCGGATCACTTGAGATCAGGAGTTCCAGACCAGCCTGGCCAACGTGGCAAAACTTTGTCTCTATTAAAAATACAAAAATTAGCTAGGCGTGGTGGTGGGCACCTGTAATCCCAGCTACTCGGGGGGCTGAGGCAGGAGAATCGCTTGAACCCAGTAGGTGGAGGTTGCAGTAAATGGAGATCACACCACTGCACTCCAGCCTGGGTGACAGCAAGAATCTGTCTCAAAAAAAAAAAAAAAAAAAAAAAAAAAAGAAAAGAAAAAGGAACGTTTTATTGGAAAGAAAGAACACTGAAGAAGAGGGCATCAAGGTGCCTCAGTAACAGAGGACCGAGTGAGCTTCGGTGGATTTTTCCTTAGGGGCATTTATGGACCTTAAGGTGGGAGCTTAAGGGTAATTTGAACCATATTAGCGATGTAGGTCATGATAAATAATTACATTTGTAGACATTTGGTGCCTTAATGTCAGCAAGGGTTGCACAGTGAGTTCTGACATGCATGCATTCTGGAGAGCTACAGAAATTGTAGTTACTTAGATATTTTGGGGAAAGGGCCGGGCACAGTGGCTCATGCCTATAATCCCAGCACTTTGGGAGGCCTAGGCAGGTGGATCACCTGAGGTCAGGAATTCGAGACCAGCCTGGCCAACATGATGAAACCCTATCTCTACTAAAAATACAAAAAATTAGCTGGGCATGGTGGTGAGTGCCTGTAATCCCAGCTACTCAGGAGGCTGAGGCAGGACAATCACTTGAACCCGGGAGATGGAGGTTGCAGTGAGTCGAGATTGTGCCATTGCACTCCAGCCTGACTCAAAAAAATTTAAAAAAAAATTTAAAAAGAAATTTTTGGGAAAGAAACCTAGGACCAGATCCCTGCTTTAGATAATAGGGAAGCCTAATTACTTTTGAATTCCTCAGATAAGAAGTTTTGTTTCTGGATGGCCTTCCTGATGATCACCACCAGGTGATCTTTGCTCTCCAAACAACACCAAATGCAGGTGAGGATGGAGCAACAGGAACGCTCGTTCATTGCTGGTGGGAACGCAAAATGGCACAGCCACTGTAGAAGAGTTTGGCAGTTTCTTACAAAATTAAACATACTCTTATCATGCATTCTAGCAATCATGCTCCTAGGTATTTATGCAAATGAATTGAAAACTTATTATTATTATTTTCTTGAGACGGAGTCTAGCTCTGTCGCCCAGGCTGGAGTGCAGTGGTGGAATCTCGGCTCACTGCAAGCTCCACCTCCCGGGTTCACACCATTCTCCTGCCTCAGCCTCCTGAGTAGCTGGGACTACAGGCGCCCGCCACCGCGCCCGGCTAATTTTTTTGTATTTTTAGTAGAGACGGGGTTTCACCGTGTTAGCCAGGATGGTCTCAATCTCCTGACCTCGTGATCTGCACATCTCCGCCTCCCAAAGTGCTGGGGTTACAGGCGTGAGCCACTGTGCCCAGCCAAACTGAAAACTTATATCCACACAAAACCCTGTACCCGGATGTTTATTGCAGCCTAATTCATAATTGCCAACATTTAGAAGCTATCAAGACAGCCTTCAGTTGGTGGTACATCCAGATAATGGAATATTATTCAATACTAAAAGGAAACAAGACATGGAGTAATTTTTTTTGAAACAGGGTCTCACTCTGTTGCCCAGGTTGGATGCAGTGGTGCCATCTCGGCTCACTGCAACCTCTGGCTCCCGGGTTCAAGCAATTCTCCTGCCTCAGCCTCCTGAGTAGCTGAGTCTACAGGCGCATGCCACCATGCCCTGCTAATTTTTTGTATTTTTAGTAGAGACATGGTTTCACCATGCTGGCCAGGCTGGTCTAAAACCCCTGACCTCAGGATCCGCCCGCCTCAGCCTCCCAAAGTGCTGGGATTACAGGCGTGAGCCACCACACCCGGCCAGGGGAATCTTAAATGCATATTACTAAGTGAAATATGCATTTAGCCAATCTGAAAAGGCTACATACTGTACAATTCCAACTGTATAACATTGTGGAAAAGGCAAAACTATGAAGACAGTAAAAAAATGAGTGGTTGCCAGGGGTTAGGAGGGAGCGGGATGAACAGGCAGAGCACAGAGACTTTTTAGGGCAATGAAAATATTCTGGCCAGGTGCAGTGGCTCACCCATGTAATCCCAGCACTTTGGGAGGCCGAGGCGGGCAGATCACCTGAGGTCAGGAGTTCGAGACCAGCCTGGCCAACATGACAAAACCCCATCTCTACTAATAATACAAAAATTAGCCGGGCGTGGTGGTGCACACCTGTAGACCCGCTACTAGGGAGGCTGAGGCAGGAGAACTGCTTGAACCCAGGAGGGGGAGGTTGCAGTGAGCGAGATTGTACCACTGCACTCCAGCCTGGGCAACAAGAGCGAAACTCCATCTCAAAAAAGAAAAACAATTGCCTGGCATGATGGCATGTGCCTGTAGTCCCAGCTACTTGGGAGGTTGAGGTGGGAGAATCAGTTGAGCCCAGGGAGATTGAGGCTGCAGTGAGCCAAAATCATGTCACTGCACTCCAGCCTGGGAAACAGAGTAAGACCCTGTCTCACAAAATAAATAAAAGTGGCCGGGCATGGTGGCTCATGCCTGTAATCCCAGCACTTTGGGAGGCCGAGGTGGGTGCATCACCTGAGGTCAGCAGTTCAAGACCAGCCTGGCCAACATGGTGAAACCTTGTCTCTACTAAAAATACAAAAAATTAGTTGGGCATGGTGGAGGGTGCCTGTAATCCCAGCTACTTGGGAGGCTGAGGCAGGAGAATTGCTTGAACCCAGGAGGTGGAGGTTGCAGTGAGCCAAGATCTTGCCATTGCACTCCAGCCTGGGCAACGAGCGAAACTCTTGTCTCAAATAAAATAAAATAAATAAAATAAATTTTGGCCAGGCACAGTGGTTCATGCCTGTAATCCCAGCACTTTGGGAGGCCAAGGTGGGCGGATCATTTGAAGTCAGCCAGACCAGCCTGGCCAACATGGTGAGACCCCGTTTCTACTAAAAACAAAAATCGGCTGGGCATGCTGAGGTAAGAGAATCGACTGAACCCAGGAGGCAGAGATTCCATTGAGCCAAGATCACACCACTGCACTCCAGCCTGCGCAACAGAGTGATACTCTGTCTCAAAACAAAACAAAACAAAACAAAACAGCGGCTGGGCACCGTCGCTCACACCTGTAATCCCAGCACTTTGGGAGGCCGAGGCAGGCAGATCACTTGAGGTCAGGAGTTTGAGAATAGCCTGGCCAACGTGGTGAAACCCCATCTCTATTAAAAATACAAAAATTAGGCCGGGCACAGTAGCTCACGCCTGTAATCCCAGCACTCTGGGAGGCCGAGGCGGGCAGATCACGAGATCAGGAGATCAGGAGATCAAGACCATCCTGGCTAACACGGTGAAACCCCATCTCTACTAAAAAATACAAAAAATTAGCCGGGCGTGGTGGCAGGCGCCTATAGTCCCAGCTATTCAGGAAGCTGAGGTAGGAGAATAGCGTGAACCCAGGAGGTGGAGCTTGCCGTGAGTCGAGATTGCAACACTGCACTCCAGCCTGGGCGACAGAGTGAGACTCCGTCTCAAAACCAAACAAAACAAAACAAAACAAAACAAATACAAAAATTAGCTGGGCATGGTGGTGGGCGCCTGTAATCCCAGCTACTGGGGATGCTGAGGCAGGAGAATGGCTTGAACCCAGGAGACCCAGGAGGCGAAGGTGCAGTGAGCCGAGATCATGCCACTGCACTCCAGCCTGGGTGACAGAGCAAGACTCCATCTCAAAAAAAAAAAAAAAGCTGGGCACAGTGGCTCATGCCTGTAATCCTAGCACTTTGGGAGGCCGAGGCGGGCAGACCACCTGAGGTTGGGAGTTCAAGACCAGCCTGACCAACATGGAGAAACCCTGTCTCTACTAAAAATACATAATTAGCCGGGCTTGGTGGCACATGCCTGTAATCCCACCTACTTGGGAACTTGGGAGGCTGAAGCAAGAGAACCGCTTGAACCCGGGAGGCAGAGTTTGCAGTGAGCTGAGATCACCCCACTGCACTCCAGCCTGGGTGACAAGAGTGAAACTCTGCCTCAAAATAATAATAATAATAAATAGGCTGGGTTTCGTGGCTCACACCTGTAATCCCAGCACTTTGGGAGGCTGTGGGGGTGGATCACTTGAGGCCAGGAGTTCAAGACCAGCCTGGCCAACATGGCAAAACCCCATCTCTATTAAAAATAGAAAAATTAGCCGGGCATGGTGGCACACTCCTGTAGTTCCAGCTACTTGAGAGGCTGAGGTGGAAGAATTGCTTGAGCCCAGGAGGTGGAGGTTGCAGTGAGCCGAGATCGAGCTAGTGCATCCAGCCTGGGGGACACAGTGAGACTCTGTCTCAGAAAATAATAAGTAAATAAATAAATATGACAGTGCGTGTGTACAGTTTTCCATTCTAACCACTTTCCTTTTTTTTTTTTTTTTTTTTTTTTTTTTTTGAGACGGAGTCTCGCTCTGTCACCCAGGCTGGAGTGCAGTGGCGCAATCACGGCTCACTGCAAGCTCCGCCTCCCGGGTTCACGTCATTCTCCTGCCTCAGCCTCCCGAGTAGCTGGGACTACAGGCGCCCGCCACCACGCCCAGCTAACTTTTTGTATTTTTAGTAGAGACGGGGTTTCACCGTGTTAGCCAGGATGGTCTCCATCTCCTGACCTCATGATCTACCCGCCTCGGCCTTCCAAAGTGCTGGGATTACAGGCGTGAGCCACCGCGCCCCGCCCATTCTAACCACTTTCAAGTGCACAGGCCACTGTCACTGAGCACGCTCACACTGTTGTACAAGCACCGTCCATCTCCAGAAATCTTTCATCTTCCCAGACTGAAACTCTGTCTCCCTTAAACAACTCCCCAGCTCCCACTCCCAGTCCCTGGCAACCACCATGCCACTTCCTGTGTCTATGAATTTGCCTGCTTTGGGGACCTCAAGCCTAGTGTTTGCCTTTTTGTGGCTGGCTTATTTCACTAGCTTATTTCAGCACAGGTCCTCCAGGTCCATCTGTGGTGTAGCAGGTAGACACCTGTTGCAGACAGATAAGCCAAGTCCCAGTCTCGGCTATGCCACTTGAGCCCTCTGAGCCTCAGACGCTGCTGTAGACTGGGAATAGTGACCCTTCACCACAAAAGGTACATGAGGGGTCCACTTACGTTCCTGGGAGGACAGCAGGGTCCTTGGTGACTTATTCTCTGGATACTTCCGAATACCTCCTGCGTGCCAGGCCCTGCTGTACCCCTAGGAATAGAGCCGTAAAGAAGAGGGCCACCACCCCCCCTCTCCACCCACTTTCCTTCCGCCCAGCAGTACCCCAGCTCAGACACTCCGCTCACCTCACTGGTCTGCCAGGAAAGTCATCTCTTTCCTTTTATGCTGTTGAAAATGGGTTGGTCAATATCCCAGAAGTGTTCAGGGTGCTTCAAGTTGCATTTTGAGCTCCTCAGCTATTGATTGGGAAGAATAATTGTCTTCACTTTATCCTGAGTCAGGCCTTTGGTGGAAAAGTGCAGGAAAGGCTATAGGAGGAGGTGGCCAGGGGGCCTTCTGTCCAGGTATTTAGGGGTTATGAGCTCCTCTGGGCCCACCCCCGCTGACAACATCACACCTCCAGCCAAGCACACACTTGACCCAAAGACCTGAGTTTGCCATCAAAGCAGATCCAGGGTTTGGTTCGGAGTGGAAAGATTAACATGAAAAAAGCTGGAGTGGTAGGCAGAAAGGCCTAGAGAAGATCTGTCTGTCTGTCTGTCTGTTTTATTCCCCCAACCCCTCCCCACCAGCCACACCCAGATTGAGGAGCACCAGCAGCCATGGGCTGGCATGTGACAGGCTGGTCAGTGTGCTGGGAACACAGTTCTGGGCAGAGGATCTGATGCTGAAAAGAGCCTCAGTGTATCTTCAGTGCCTCCTCCCCTGTCCCTGGTGGTCTGGGTGTCCAGTGCAGCCCTGGTCTGGCCCAGCAATCTCTCTGATAGGGTCATGGCAGGATGCCTGTCAGGGTGTGGTGGCACGTGCCTGTAGTCCTAGCTACTTGGGAGGCTGAGACAGGAGAATTGCTTGAACCCAGGAGGCAGAGGTTGCAGTGAGCCAAGATTGCGCCATTGCACTCCCACCTGGGTGACAGAGTGAGAATCCATCTCAAAAAACAAAAACAAAAACAAAACAAAACAAAAACCCAGCCTGGGCAACACAGGGAGACCCCATCTCTACAAAAAATTAGAAAATTGGCCGGGTGCGGTGGCTCACACCTCTAATCCCAGCACTTTGGGAGGCCGAGGCAGGCAGATCACGAGGTCTGGAGATGGAGACCATCCTGGATAACATGGTGAAACCCCGTCTGTACTAAAAATACAAAAAAATTAGCTGGGTGTGGTGGCAGGCGCCTGTAGTCCCAGCTGCTGGGGAGGCTAAAGCAGGACAATGGCATGAACCCGGGAGGCGGAGCTTGTAGTGAGCCGAGATTGTGCCACTGCACCCCAGCCTGGGCAACAGAGCAAGATTCCATCTCAAAACAAAACAACAACAAACAAACCAGCCTGGGCAAGACAGGGAGACCCCATCTCTACAAAAAATTAAAAAATTAGCTGGGCAGGGTGGCACGTGCCTGTGGTCCCAGCTACTCAGAAGGCTGAGGAGGGAGGATCTCTTGAGCCTAAGGGGTCGAGGCTGCAGTGAACCCTGATCACGCCGCTGCGCTCCAACCTGGGTGCCAGGAGCCAGAGATTGCAGTGAGACGAGGTCGCACCACTGCACTCCAGCCTGGGCAATAGAATGCAACTCCGTCTCAAAATAAATAAATAAAAATAAATAAATAAAGTGTGCAGTTCAGTGGCACCAAGTACATTCATGGCAGCCTCGCCACCGTCCATCTTCAGAACTTTGTCATCTCCCCAAACAAGCGCTGTACCCATTAGGCAGGCACTCCCCATCCCCACCCACCATTCACTTTTCTCTCTTTCTTTCTTTCTTTCTCTCTTTTCTTTTTCTTTCTTTCCTTCCTTCTCTTTCTTTTTCTTTCTTTTTTTTTTCTTTTAGATAGGGTCTCATTCCGTCACCCAAGCTGGAGTGCAGTGGCACTATCTTGGCTCACCACCACAGCCTCAGCCTCCCCAAGTAGCTGGGACTACAGGTGTGTACCACCACACCTTGCTAATTTTTAAATTTTCATTTGTTTTAGAGACAAAGTCTCACTGTGTTGCCCAGGCTAGTCTAGGGATGAGAGCCTCCTGGATTTGGGGTGGGGCCCTGAAAGACACAGAGACACACAGCAGGGAAGAGCAGATGAGGTGGAGGCAGAGGCTGGAGGGACGTAGCTGCAAGCGCAGGAGCACCAAGGGCCGGTGGAACCGCAGAAACCGCAGCGAGGGAGCCAGCCCTGCTGACACTTTGATTCCGGACTTCCATCGCAGAACTGAGAGAGAGAATCAACCCCTGTCGTCCTGAGCCCCCAGCGTGTGGTGCTGTGGTGCAGCCGCAGGAAACACGTGCTTTCCAGAATGACAGCTGGTGTCCGCAAGAACAGCAGGAACTCATCAGCATTTGGAAGTGAGACTGGGTGGATGTGCAGTCCCGGAAAAAGAGGCGGAGATTTATGTCTGGTGGCGGGGAGCCCGTGTGTTCAGCAGCTTCTGGAAGGAATTGATAGATGGAAGCTGCTAGAGGCGTTGCTGACAGCCTCTCCTTGAGGCCAGACTCCAGAGCTGGAACCTGGTAGAAGCCTTAGTCTCCTCATTTACCGCAGCGGTGACGGGTGGGGCAGTGTGAGATCTGAGCCGAGGGCCCGCATCAAAGTCCCCTTTCGGCTTCTCCATCTGTGACATGGGTTGCACCTGCTCTGACTGCTGCTTACGAGAGATGGTGAGCAGTGTTCTGTGCTGCGTGGCCGTGACTGCCGAGGTTCTGTGAAGACGGGAACCACGGGCTGAAAGCAATAGAGACCCCAGACCACCAGGGTCAGCTCGCCCCCGCCCCCACCCATCTTCTTTCTGAAGGCTGCGCTTTTCCTTTTCAATATGACCTAAGCCCTTTGCAGGATATCTCCATTCGCACATTTCCTTACTCAGGGTCTGGGTCTGCCCTGCAGAGCTGAGCTGAACGGCACTATCAGGACTTTCTACTGGGACAATTGAATGCGACCCCCCTCCCACCGTCGGCTCTGCCCTCCTCCTGTTTCCACAGGTCTGGAGACGTTCCCTCTGCCCAGGTGGGGGCCGTGGCTGGAAGTCCGCCTCTGCTGGAGGTGCCCGAACCTCATGCCTCTTGCCCCCAGATCGCCTTTCCCTTGGACGTTGCCCGAGGCGTGTGGTCCCAGTTGGCCAACATGGAGCTTAGTTGGGAGGATGTGAGTGGCCCTCTCCTCCCAAAGATGATCGTGAATCCTCGGGGGCTGAGAAACCTGCTGAGAGAGAAAGAAAACAGTGGGAATAGTGCCTACAGCTGCGCTTCCTCAGTAGACAGGAGGCAGGGCTGCTGGGGGAGGGAAAAGGGAAGCCGGCCGGGGTGGGGGTGGAGAAGGTGGGGTCTCTGGAGGAGAACTCATCCTGGAGGAGTTTAACAATAGGAGAGGTGGGTGGGAGCATGGAGGTGTCTCCCATACACCACCCCTGCCTCTGGGGGTAGAGGTGCCACCCCAAGGAACAGGGCTTGTGAACTCAAAGAACACTTGAGAGGATTGGGCCGCCCCAGCCTGCATGCCCATCCCCAGCCTGCTACAGTGTGTTCCTGGGGGGGCCTGTGGGCCTAAGCCAAGCAGTGCCTGGCATTCTCTTGGCCACAGACAAGGGTCCAAGGTGGGCTGGTAACCTTGGGAGGTGGAATCCAAGTGAAGCCTGGGGCATTATCGATGCTTTGGGGGACAAGCTTCTCCTGCTGGACAGTGGGGACTGCAGATACAACGTCTGGAACTGCTCTGGCCATTTCTGCCTCTACAGAGGAGCCAGACTGACCTCCAGCCACACAGCCATGCAGACACTGGGAGGCAGAGCCAAGAAAGCTGTAGGGACCCCCAGTGTAGGGTCCGGGAGCTCAAGGGCAACCACAGCCTGCTCATCTGGGTGCCTACATGAGCCAACAGCCCTTCTGTAGTTTAACCAGTTGAATCATCTAGGATTCCAGCAAGAAATAGGATTCCTGGGCCAGGCACGATGGCTCACACCTGTCATCCCAGCACTTTGGGAGGCTGAGGAGGGTGAGGGTGGATCACCTGAGGTCAGGAGTTTGAGACCAGCCTGGTCAACATGGTGAAACCCCATCTCTACTAAAAATACAAAAATTAGCCAGGTGTAGTGGCGGGTGCCTGTAATCCTAGCTACTTGGGAGGCTGAGGCAGGAGAATCACTTGAACCTGGGAGGCAGAAGTTGCAGTGAGCTGAGATTGCGCCACTATACTCCAGCCTGGGCGACAGAGTGAGACTTTGTCTCAAAAAAAAAAAAAAAAAGAAATAGGATTCCCCCCAGAGGGATTGAAGGAGACTTGACTGAAAGGGCCAGATGGGTGAATAGGGATTTGGAAACAAACCAAGGATATCAGGGTGCCCAGAGACTAGGAACAGAGAGAAGCCAAAGGGACAAGGGGAAGGCATGGCACCTGATGGGAGCTGCCTGGTGAGAGAAACAGTCAGGAAGGACTACAGGAGCTAGGACACCAGGGGATCACATCCTTCCCTAGCACCTTCACGGGGAGTATGGTCCTGCCAACACCGTGATCTAGAACTTCTGGCCTCCAGAACGGTGGAACGATACATTTCTATTGTTTATGCCACTCTGTTTGTGGTACTTTGCTACAGCAACCCTACAAATTAATACCCACCTCTTGGGGCAAACCCAATCAGAAGCCAGGCATTGAAGGAGCCTGGGAGAGCAGTCTGCAGGGAAGGCCTCCCAAGGCATAAAAAGCAGGATTGAGGAGGGGCAGTGTGGCAAAAGGAGAACAGCCAGAATGCCAGATGCCCCTTCGGCTGGAAATGAGGAGAGGGGAGGGGACTGAATACATGGACTGCTCTCTCCTCCCACCCAGGCCTCCTCCTGGGCTTCCCTGTTACAGGTTGAATTGTGTGCCCCCAAAATTCATATGTTGAAGTCCTAACCCCAGTTAGTACCTTATTTGGAACTAGGGTCATTGCAGATGTGATTAAAGTGGGGTCCTACTAGAGTAGGGGAGGCCCCTAATCCAACATGACTGGTGTCCTTATAAAAGGGGAAATGTGGGCCGGGCATGGTGGCTCACATCTGTAATTCCAGCAGTTTGGGAGGCCGAGGTGGGTGGATCACCTGAGGTCAGGAGTTCGAGACCAACGTGACCAATATGGTGAAACCCTGTCTCTAATAAAAATACAAAAATTAGCTGGGCGTGGTGGCATGCTCCTCTAGTCCCAGCTACTCAGGAGGCTGAGGCAGGAGAATTGCTTCAACCTGGAAAGCAGAGCTTGCAGTGAGCCAAGATGCGCCACTGCACTCCAGCCTGGGCGACAGAGCCAGACTCCGTCTCAAAAAAAAAAAAGAGGCAGGGGGTGACGTGAGCTGGGCATGGTGGCTCACATCTATAATCCCAGCACTTTGGGAGGCCGAGGCGGGTGGATCATTTGAGGTCAGGAGTTCAAGACTAACCTGGCAAACATGGTGAAACCCCATCTCTATTAAAAATACAAAAATTAGTGGGGCGTGGTGTCAGGCACCTGTAATGCCAGCTATTTGGGAGGCTGAGGCAGGAGAATTGCTTGAACCTGGGAGGTAGAGGTTGCAGTGAGCGGAGATTGCGCCATTGCACTCTAGCCTGGGTGACAAGAGTGAAACTCGGCCGGGCACAGTGTCTCACGCCTGTAATCCCAGCACTTTGGGAGGCTGAGGCGGGCAGATCACTTGAGGTCAGGAGTTCAAGACCAGCCTGACCAAACTGGTGAAACCCCATCTCTACTAAAAGTACAAAAATTAGCCGGGCGTGGTGGCAGGTGCCTGTAATCCCAGCTACTTGGGAGGTTGAGACAGGAGAATTGCTTGAACCCAGCAGGCAGAGGTTGCAGTGAGCTGAGACCAGGCAATTGCACTCCAGCCTGGACAATAAGAGTGAAACTCTGTCTCAAAAAAAAAAGGAAAAAAAGAAAGAAAGAAAAAAAAAAGGGAAGTGTGGACAGAGCCATGAACACAGGGAAAATGCCATGTGAAGATTTTGAGTTATGCTGTCACAAGCCAAGGAACTATAGGAGCTAGGACACCAGGGGATCACATCCTTCCCTAGCACCTTCACGGGGAGTATGGTCCTGCCAACACCGTGATCTAGAACTTCTGGCCTCCAGAACGGTGGAACAATACATTTCTATTGTTTATGCCACTCTGTTTGTGGTACTTTGCTACAGCAACCCTACAAATTAATACCTCCTTCTTAGGGCAAACCCAATCAGAAGCCAGGCATTGAAGGAGCCTGGGAGAGCAGTCTGCAGGGAAGGCCTCCCAAGGCATAAAAAGCAGGATTGAGGAGGGGCAGTGTGGCAAAAGGAGAACAGCTGGAATGCCAGTTTGGTGGGTTGTCTGTTGACTGCAACCAGAAGTCTCCAAACCTCAACACAGAATTTGGTACCAGGAGTGGGGTGTTACAAGTGAAGAGACTAAAACATGGAGTGGTCTGAGCTAAGGGGGTAAAAATGGAAGATGGTAAGGACCCCACTCTACCGAGTTGGGAAATGGCCATGGGGTAGCACAACAGCTGGTTGTAGCTAAGGTGGGAGGATCACTTGAGCCCAGGTGTTTGAAACTAGCCTGGGCAACATAGTAAGACGTTGTCTCTAAAACAAATAAAAACTAAAAAATTAGCTAGGTGTGGTGGTGCACACCTGTAGTCCTAGCTACCTGGGGAGGCAGAGGCTGCGGTGAGCCAAGATAGTGCCACTGCACTCCAGCTTGGGCGACGGAATAAGACCCTATCTGAAAAAAAGAAAAAGAAAGAAAGGAAAAAGAAAGTGAATGGTGGGTGCCAGGGACTGAGTGAGGGGGATGGGGAGTGCCTGCTTAATAGGTAATGGGAACAGGGCTTGTTTGGGGAGATGAGAAATTTCTGGAGATGGATGGTGGCAGGGCTGCCCAACAACATGAATGTACTTGGTGCCACTGAACTGCACACTTTATTTACTTATTTATTTTTTAATTTTTATTTATTTATTTATTTTTTAGACAAAGTCCTTGCTCTGTCACCCAGGCTGGAGTGCAGTGGCACGATCTCGGCTCTCTGAAAGCTCTGCCTCCCAGGTTCACGCCATTCTCCTGCCTCAGCCTCCCGAGTAGCTGGGACTATAGGTGCCCGCCACTGCGCCTGGCTATTTTTTTTGTTTTTAGTAGAGCCGGGGTTTCACCGTGTTAGCCAGGATCGTCTCGATCTCCTGAGCTCGTGATCTGCCCGCCTCGGCCTCCCGAAGTGCTGAGATTACAGGTGTGAGCCACCATGCCTGGCTCTATTTTTATTTTTTTGAGACAGAGTCATGCTCTGTCACCCAGGCTGGAGTGCAGTGGTGAAATCTTGGCTCACTGAAACCTCCACCTTTCGGGTTCAGGTGATTATCCCACCTCAGCGTCCTGAGTAGCTGGGATTACAGGTCCCAACACTACGCCCGGCTAATTGTTGAATCTTTAGTAGAGGCGGGGTTTCACCATGTTGTCCAGGCTGGTCTTGAACTCCTGACCTCAAGTGATCTGCTTGCCTTGGCCTCCCAAAGTGCTGGGATTATAAGCATGAGCCACAGCGCTCAGCCTAAACTGCACACTTTAAAGTAGTTAAGATGGCACATTCCATGTTGTGGGTATTTTACCACAATGTTAAAAAAAAAAAAGGAAGGCCAGGCACAGTGGCTCACACCTGTAACCCCAGCAGTTTGGGAGGCCGAGGCAGGCAGATCACCTGAGGTCAAGAGTTGAGACCAGCCTGACCAACATGGAGAAACCCGTCTCTATTAAAAACACAAAATTAGCCGGGCATGGTGGCACACGCCTGTAATCTCAGCTACTCGAGAGGCTGAGGCAGGAGAATCGCTTGAACCTGGGAGGCGGAGGTTGCAGTAAGCTGAGATCATGCCATTGTACTCCAGCCTGGGCAACAAGAGCGAAACTCAATCTCAAAAAAAAAAAAAAAGGAAAAGAAAAGAAGCAAGACACTTGTCACCTAAGATCCTATCAGCTAAACATGGTTTCTTTGTACAAATCTGTGTTTTCTGGCTTTTCCACAATAGAGATATATTATCTGTGTAATAAGATAAACACGTGGCCGGGTGCAGTGGCCCATTCATGCCTATAATCCCAGCATTTTGGGAGGCCAAGGTGGGAGGATCACTTGAGCCCAGGAGTTCAAGACCAGCCTGGGCAACAAGGTGAAACCTCGTCTCTACAAAAGACACAAAAGTTAGCTGGGTGCTGTGGCGTGTGCCTGTAATTCCAGCACTTTGGGAGGCTGAGGTGGGAGGATTGCTTGCATCCAGGAGTTGGGGACCATCCTTAGCAACATAGCAAGACTGCATCTCATTAAAAAAAAATTTGGCTGGGCGTAGTGTCTCACATCTGTAATCCCAGCACCTTGGGAGGCTGAGGCAGGCGAATCATCTGAGGTCAGGAGTTTGAGACCAGTCTAGCCAACATGGTGAAACCCCGTCTCTACTAAAAAGACAAGCATTAGCTGGGTGTGGTGGCACACGCCTGTAGTCCCAGCTACTTGGGAGGCTGAGGCAAGAGAATTGCTTGAACATGGGAGGTGGAGGTTGCAGAGCTGAGACTGCACCACTGCACTCCAGCCTGGATGACAGAGACTCTGTCTCAGAAAAAAAAATGTAAATAAAAAAAAAAGGAAAACATTTAATAAAACATATGATTTTGTATCTGTATATATCATGTCTCTACTCTTCAGGAACATCAATGTCCTGGTAGACACACTGGGGGCGCTGTTCTACAATAAAAGAAGTGAAAAAACATGACAAGTAAATGCCATTGGATCCAGACTTAAGGAAAATTGTTCTCCAGGACATTACTGGGACACTTGGTGACATTTAATCAAGGACTGACTGTAGACAGTACTGTGGTCTCAGTGCTGTGTCTGCTGGGTTTGATGATACGCCGTCGTTCTTAGCAGAGGTAGGCTGAAGCATTTAGGAGTGAAGGGTCATTATATTTGCAACTTATTCCCAAATGGCTCAATCAAATCATAATGGCCCCTTCTAGCTCTTAAAAGTCATGAGGCGGCCAGGCCTGGTGGCTCCCATCTGTAATCCCAGCACTTTGGGAGGCTGAAACAGACGGAGACCACAGAGTGGGGAACCGGACTGGAGTCATCAGCTCCTGTTTCCCAGCCCAGTGTGGCTCCTCATGGGCCATGATTCAGGACTGAATTCAGTTCCTTCCTTTTTCCTTCCCTTCCCTCCCTCCTTCCTTTAATGCCAACCACCCTGTGTATCATCACAGGGGCCACAGAGATGAGCCTGACCTCGGCTGTGTGGGAGGAGGCAACACTCACCTAAGCAGGGACGTGAGGCAGAAGTGCTAGTGCTTCTAGAGATAACGATACCTCTCCATGCCCAAGAAGCAGGGCTCACAGCAGGCCATGCATGCTCCAACGAACAGGATCATGCCGGGAACTGAGAAGACCCCAGGGGATGTGCAGGCCACCACTGCAGCTTGATGAACCACCCCAAGATGTAGCGGCATTTAAAACACTATTTTATTTGTAATCCCAGCATGTTGGGAGGCCGAGGTGCGCAGATCATGAGATCAAGAGATCGAGACCATCCTGGCCAACATGGTGAAACCCCGTCTCTACTAAAAATACAAAAATCAGCTGGGCGTGGTGGTGCGTGCCTGTAGTCCCACATACTCGGGAGGCTGAGGCAGGAGAATTGCTTGAACCTGGAAGGCGGAGGTTACAGTGAGCCGAGATTGCGCCACTGCACTCCAGCCTGGGCAACAGAGCGAGACTCCGTCTCAAAAAAAAAAAAAAAAAAAAAATTAGCCAGGCGGCTGGGCACAGTGGCTCACTCCTGTAATCCCAGCACTTTGGGAGGCCAAGGCGGGCAGATCACTTGAGGTTAGGAGTTCAAGATCAGCCTGGGCAACATGGTGATACCCCGTCTCTGCTAAAAATAAAAAAATTACCTGGGCATGGTGGCACAGCACCTGTAATCCCAGCTACTTGGGAGGCTGAAGCAGGAGAATCACTTGAACCTGTGAGGCAGAGGTTGCAGTGAGCCAAGATCGTGCCACTGCACTCCAGCCTGGGTGACAGAGTGAGACTGTCTCAAAAAAAAAAAAAAAAAAATTAGCCAGGCATGGTGGCATGCACCTGTAGTCCCAGCTACTCAGGCGGCAGAGGCAGGAGGATTGCCTGAGCTCAGGAGATTGAGGCTGCAGTGAGCTATGATTGTGCCACTGCATTCCAGCCTGGGCAACAGAGCGAGACCCTGTTCAAAATAAATAAATAAATAACAATTTCATTATGCTCAGATTCTGTGGGTCAAAGATTTGGACAAGGCACATCAAGGATGGCTTGTCTGCTCCTCAATGTCTTAAAGACTGACACAGTGGCTAGGGTTTGGAGTGCTCCAAGGACATGTTCACTCACAGCTCAGCCGGTGATGCTGGCTGTCACGACTGGGCTTCTCTATGAGGTGTTGTCGTGTCCCCCACCCCAGCCCCCCAGTGGCTGTTTGGGCTTCCTCACAGCATGGCAGCTGAGATCCAAGTGTGAGCTTCCCAAGAGAGCCAGGTGGAGGCTGTATCACCTCTTTGTTTTTTTTGGAGACAGAGTCTTGCTCTGTCACCCAGGCTGGAGTGCAATGATGTGATCTCGGCTCACTGAAACCTCCGCCTCCTGGGTTCAAGTGATTCTCCTGCCTCAGCCTCCCGAGTAGCTGGGATTACAAGCATCTGCCACCACACCTGGCTAATTTTTGTATTTTTAGTAGAGTTGGGGTTTCACCATGTTGGCCAGACTGGTCTTTAAACTCCTGACCTCAGGTAATCCACCTGCCTCGTCTTCCCAAAGTGCTGGGATTACAGGCATGAGCCACCGCACCCGGCCTGTATCACCTTTTAAAACCTGGCTTACGAGATTGTGCCATTGTACTCCAGCCTGGGCAAAAAAGAGAAACTCCGTCTAAAACAAACAAACAAACAAACAAAACCTGGTTTAGGGCCGGGTGTTGTGGCTCACGCCTTTTATCCCAGCACTTTGGGAGGCCAAGGTGGGTAGATCACCTTAGGTCAGGAGTTCAAGACCAGGCTGGCCAACATGGCGAAATGGTGAAACCCCATCTCTACTAAAAATACAAACAAAAAAAAAAAATTAGCTGGGCTTGGTGGTGGGTGCCTATAATCCCACCACTTTGGGAGGCTCAGGAGGGTGGATCACCTGAGGTCAGGAGTTCGAGACCAGCTGGCCAACATGGCGAAATGGCAAAATCCTGTCCCTACTAAAAATACAAAAAAAAAAAAAAATGAGCTGGGAGTGGTGGCGCACACCTGTAATCCCAGCTACTTGGGAGGCTGAGGCAGGAGAATCACTTGAACCTGGGGGGTGGAGGTTGCAATGAGCCGAGATCATGCCATTGTACACCAGCCTGGGCAATGGAGTGAGACTCTGTTGCATAAATAAATAAATAAATAAACCTGGGCCTGGTGCGGTGGCTCATGCCTGTAATCCCAGCATTTTGGGAGGCCGAGGCAGGCAGATCACGAGGTCAGGAGTCCGAGACCAGCCTGGCCAACATGGTGAAACCCTGTCTCTACTAAGAATACAAAAAATTAGGCAGGCGTGGTGGTGGGTGCCTGTAATCCCAGCTACTCAGGAGGCTGAGGCAGGAAAATCGCTTGAACCCGGGAGGCGGAGGTTGCAGTGAGCCGAGATGGCGCCATTGCACTCCAGCCCGGGCAACAGGGCGAGACTCCATCTCAAAAAAAAAACAAAACAAAAAAACATAAACCTGGCTTAGTCCTAGAGTGTTACTTCCACTGTAGTCACAGGCCTGTCCAGACTCCAGGGGAAGGCATATTGATTCTACCTCATGTGGGAGAACGTCGAAGTCTTACTGTGAGAAGAACTGTGTAAGGGGAGATGGTGAGGCAGCCTGAAGGACGGCTGATTATTTTCTCCCAAGACGGCAGCTGCACGACACCTGCTGTACCCTTCCTGCTTGCCACCCCCATCTCCAGTCCCTCCACATTTTGGGCACATATTCCAATATTCTTTTTTGGTGGCAGAATCATTGGTTTACGGGGTGGCTTCTGAAGGGACTCTGCACCTTGTGGGCGGGGCTGTGGCCGAGCAGCCAGCCTTTCTTCCCTGCAGGAGCCTGGATACCTCCCGGCCCTCTCTAATCACCCAGACCCCTGGCCACTGAATCCAAGCAAAGCCCCCTCCCTGCCGGGACCCTGGGGCTGTTCTGCAGGGAAACGTGAGTCTCTCATGTTTCCCTGCATGTATGATCAGCGGCACTGACTCCTTTGTTCCAGCCCATCCTCTCAAGCATGTTGGTGTAGCAAATTACCTTCAACAAAACATAACGTAGCCTTCCTGAGTGGAATACGGGCGGCCTTTCCAGCCAGCTCCTGGGCACAGGGATCCTCTCCTGGAATGCACACGAGTGTGTGTGCAGGTGTCATCCAGCCCTCTTCACATTGCCCTGTGGGAACTGTGGGAACCGAGCTCAGGAACCAGCACCACAGTGCTGAGACTCAGGCCACTGTAGACCTGTGAGTAAAAATCTGTCCTGTCTCATATCCAGGCGTTGGTGTCCTTTGTCAGCATCCGTGAACCAGTGGCAGGCCACCTTGTTAGCTTGCAGCTAAGGTAAAATCTCAGAAATTTCAGGCCGGGCTCGGTGGCTCACGCCTGTAATCCCAGCACTTTGGGAGGACAAGGCGGGCAGATCACCTGAGGTCAGGAGTTCGAGACTAGCCTGGCCAACATGGTGAAGCCCTGTCTCCACTTTAAAAAACACAAAAATTAGCCAGGCATGGTGGCGGTTGCCTATAATTCCAGCCCCCGAGGCTGAGGCAGGAGAATCACTTGAACCCGGGAGGCGGAGGTTACAGTGAGCTGAGATCATGCCACTGCACTCCAGCTTGGGTGACAGAGCAAGACTCCGTCTCAAAAAAAAAAGCAAAAGAGTTGAACAAACATTTCACAAAGATAGATATATAAATGGCCAATAAGTACATGAAAAGATGTTCAGCATCTTACGAGGCAAATGCAAATTAAAACCACAAAGAGGCCGGGCACAGTGGCTCACGCCTGTAATCCCAGCACTTTGGGAGGCCAAGGCAGGTGGATCACGAGGTCAGGAGATCAAGACCATCCTGGCTAACATGGTGAAACCCTGTCTCTACTAAAAAATACAAAAAAAAAAATTAGCCGGGTGTGGTGGCGGGTGCCTGTAGTCCCAGCTACTCGGGAGGCTGAGGCAGGAGAATGGCGTGAACCCGGAAGGTGGAGTTGCAGTGAGCCCAGATTGAGCCACTGCACTCCAGCCTGGGCGACAGAGCAAGACTCCGTCTCAAAAAAAATAAATAAATAAAAATAAAAAATAAAAAAATAAAACCACAAAGAGGCCAGGCACGGTGGCTCAAGCCTGTAATCCCAGCACTTTGGGAAGCCGAGTCGGGACGATCACTTGAGTCCAGGAGTTCGAGATGAGCCTGACTATCATGGTGAATCCCCGTCTCTACTAAAAATACAAAAATTAGGGGCCGGGCGCGGTGGCTCACACCTGTAATCCCAACACTTTGGGAGGTCAAGGTGGGTGGATCACTTGAGGTCAAAAGTTGGAGATCATCCTGGCCAACATAGTGAAAGAAACCCCGTCTCTACTAAAAATACAAAAATTAGCCAGACGTGGTGGCAGGCCCCTGTAATCCCAGCTCCTAAGGAGGCTGAAGCAGGAGAATCGCTTGAACCTGGGAGGTGAAGGTTGCAGTGAGCTGAGATCGCACCATTGCACTCCATCCTGGGGGACAAGAGCGAAACTCCATCTCAAAAAAAAAAAAAAATTAGCCGGTCGTGGTGGCATGTACCTCTAATCCCAGCTACTTGGGAGGCTGAGGCAGGAGAATCGCTTGAACCTGGGAGGCGGAGGTTACAATGAGTCGAGATCGTGCCATTGCACTCCAGCCTGGGCAACAGAGCAAGACTCAGTCTCAAAAAAAAAAAAAAATTAGCCGGGCTTAGTGGTGTGCACCTGTAATCCCAGCTACTCAGGAGGCTGAGATGGAAGAATTGCTTGAACCCAGGAGGCAGAGGTTGCAATGAGCCAAGATAGTGCCACTGCACTTCAGCCTGGGTGACAGAGTGAGACTCTGTCTCAAAAGAAAAAAAAAAAACCACCCACAGAGAGAACTACACGTTCACCAGAATGACTCAGATTCAAAAGACTGATGCCACCAGACGCTGGGGAAGACGTGGAACAACTGGAATGCCCATAGCTCACTGATGGGAGGGATAGATGGGCAGTCACCTAGGAGAAAGGCCTGGAAGTTTCTTTCTTTCTTTCTTTCTTTCTTTTTTTTGAAAATAGAGTCTCTGTTGCCCAGGCTGGAGTGTGGTGGCATGATCTTGGCTCAGTGCAGTCTCCGCCTCCCAGGCTCAAGCGATCCCCCCACCTCAGCCTCCTGAGTAGCTGAGACTACAGGTGCATGCCATCACACTCAGCTCACTGTTATATTTTTAGTAGAGACGGGGATTTGCCATGTTGCCCAGGCTGGCCTCGAACTCCCGGGCTCAAGCAATCCTCCTGCCTCAGCCTCACAACATGCTGAGATTACAGGTGTGAGCCACTGTGCCCAACCAGAAGTTTCTTTTTTTTTTTTTCCTGAGATGGAGTCTTGCTCTGTTGCCCAGAGCTGGAGTGCAGTGGCGTGATCTCTGTTCACTGCAACCTCTGCCTCCCAGGCTCAAGCAATTCTGCCTCAGCCTCCTGAGTAGCTGGGATTACAGGCACGTGCCACCATGCTGGGCTAATTTTCTTTTTCTTTTCCTTTTTTTTTTTTGAGACGGAGTTTTGCTCTTGTTGCCCTGGCTGGAGTACAAAGGCACGATCTCGGCTCACTGCCATCTCCACCTCCTGGGTTCAAGTGATTCTCCTGCTTCAGCCTCCCGAGTAACTGGGATTACCGGTATGTGCCACCATGCCCAGCTAATTTTGTATTTTTAGTAGAGATGGGGTTTCTCCATATTGATTGGGCTGGTCTCTAACTCCTGACCTCAGATGATCTGCCTGCCTCGGCCTCCCAAAGTGCTGGGATTACAGGCGTGTACCACCGTGCCTGGCCTAATTTTTGTATTTTTAGTAGACACAGGGTTTCACCATGTTGGCAAGGCTGGTCTTGAACTCCTGATCTTGTGATCTGCCCACCTCAGCCCCGTAAAGTGCTGGGATTAACAGGCGTGAGCCACCGTGTCCAGCCCAGAAGTTTCTTATAGAACTAAACATATGCCTGGCCGGGCATGATGGCTCACACCTGTAATCCCAGCACTATGGGAGGCTGAGATGGGTGGATCACGAGGGCAGGAGATTGAGACTGTCCTGGCTAACACAGTGAAACCCCTGTCTCTACTAAAAATACAAAAAATTACCTGTGCGTGGTTGCACGCACCTGTAGTCCCAGCTACTCAGGAGTACTCAGGAGGCTGAGGCAGGAGAATCACTTGAACCTGGGAGGCGGAGGTTGCAGTGAGCTGAGATCACACCACTGCACTCCACCCCGGGCAACAGAGGGAGACTCCGTCTTAAAAAAAAACAACAAAAAACAAAAAAACAAAAAAAAACAAGCAAACAAACATATGCCTACCTGATGACCCAGCAATTTCATTCCTAGGTTTTGTTGCTGTTGTTGTTGTTTATCATCTGAAATACAGTCTTGCTCTGTTGCCCAGGCTGGAATGCAGTAATGCCATCTCGGCTCACTGCAACCTCCACCTTTTGGGTTCAAACGATTCTCATACCTCAGCCCCTTGAGTAGCTGGGGTTACAGGCATGTGCCACCACGTCCAGCTAATTTTTTTTGTAGTTTTAGTAGGGACAGGGTTTTGACATGTTGTCCAGGCTAGTCTCAAATGATCTGCCCTCCTTGGCCTCCCAGAATGCTGGGACTACAGGCATGAGGCACTGTACGTGGCCTTCCTAGGTATTTACCTAAGAGAAATGAAAATACATGTTCACCAACAGGCTTGTATAAGAAAGCTGAGATTACCTTTACTCGTATCAACCAAAATGGAAGCATCCCAGCTTCTATCAGCAGGAGAATGGCAAACAAATGTGGGACAATGTGGATGAATGTCAAAAACAGGAGGTGAGTGAAAGACGCTAGACACAGAAGTAGATGCTATGTGACTTCATGTAAAATGCTAGAACAGGCAAAATAGGTCTACATTTAAAAAATAAAAACTGGGGTGGGGCGCGATGGCTCATGCCTGTAATCCCAGCACTTTGGGAGGTGAGCAGATCACCTGAGATCAGGAGTTCGAGATCAGCCTGGCCAAAATGGTGAAACCCCATCTCTACTAAAATTAGTAGGGCGTGGTAGTGCGTGCCTGTAATCCCAGCTACTTGGGAGGCTAAGGCAGGAGAACTGCTTGAACCCGGGAGGCGGAGGTTGCAGTGGACTGAGATTGCGCCATCGTACTCTAGCCTGGGTGACAGAGTGAGACTCCATCTAAAAAAACAAAAAACCAAAAAAAAAAAGAAAAAACAGCCCAGGCATGGTAGCTCACGCCTGTAATCCCAGCACTTTGGGAGGCTGAGGCAGGAGGATTGCTTGAGGCCAGGAGTTCAAGACCAGCCTGGGCAACATAGTGAGACCTCCTCGCTACAAAATAAATAAAAAATAAATAAACTGCCGGGCGTGGTGGCTCATGCCTGTAATCCTAGCACTTTGGGAGGCTGACGTGGGCGGATCACTTGAGGTCAGGAGTTCAAAACCAGCCTGGCCAACATGGTGAAACCTCATCTCTACTAAAAATACAAAAAAATAAGTCAGGCGTGGTGGTGGGCGCCTATAATCCCAGCTACTTGGGAGGCTGAGGCAGGAGAATTGCTTGAACCTGGGAGGTGGAGGTTGCAGTGAGCCGAGATTGTGCCACTGCACTCCAGCCTGGGCAACAAAGTGAGAGTCTATCTCAAAAACAAACAAACAAACAAACAAACAAACCCAAGAGTGGTTGCCTGGGGTCAGATGGGAAGGGGCATGAGGCAACCCTGCAATGTGATGGAAACGTTCCATTTCCTGGTAGGGACTTCAGTTACACAGGTGAAAGGTTTCTCACAACTCATCATATCATTATACTTACATGTGTCAAAACCCATAGAATATCCAGTACTGTGTACAATACAGACAGTGAGCCCTTATGTAAACTCTAGACTTAGTTAATATATGAATATCGGTCCATTGGTTGTAACGAATGTACCACACTAGTGCAGGATGTTAGTGGTAGGGGAACTGGGTACCGGACATACATGGCAGTTCTTTGTACTTTTCGCTCAAATTTTCTGTGAGCCTAAAACTGCTTTAACGAAACACAATTAAAAATGAAACAAAACCGGCCGGGCACGGTGGCTCATGCCTGTAATCTCAGCACTTTGGGAGGCCGAGGCAGGTGGATCATTTGAGGACAGAAGTTTGAGACCAGCCTGGCCAACATGGTGAAACCCTAAAAATACAAAAATTAGCTGGGCGGTAGTGGCGTGTGCCTGTAATCCCAGTTACTTGGAAGGCTGAGACATGAGAATTGCTTGAGCCTGGGAGGTGGAGGTTGCAGTGAGCTGAGATTGCACCACTGCACTCCAGTCTGGGCAGCCGAGTGAGACCCTGTCTCAAAACAAAACAAAACAAAACCACTGTTTAGTCTCTGAAATAAAGGTCAATATCATATAAAGCAAAACTCTTCAAATGCTGTCCTTAAGATTTATGCATTTTACCACGTGTAAATGTTTCCTAAAACAAACAAGCAAAGAATATCGGATTCCATTAATGCTATGAATGCTGAAGCGTCTAGAGGTGGTGTGTACTGATCTTTGCAATTTACTTTGAAATGCATTAAAAATGTATTGATAGATAGAAGAATGGGGAGAAGAGATGTGATAAAGGAAATAAGGCCATATATATATATATATATATATATATTTTTTTTTTTTTTTTTTTTTTTTTTTTTTTTTTTGTAGACGGGGTCTTGTTCTGTTGCCCAGGCTGGAGTGCAGTGGTGTGATCTCGGCTCCCTGCAACCTCTGTCTCCCAGGTTCAAGCAATTCTCCTGCCTCAGCCTCCCAAGTAGCTGGGACTACAGGTGCGCCATCACACCCAGCGAATTATTTGTACTTTTAGTAGAGATGGGGTTTCGCCATGTTGGCCAGGCTGGTCTTGAACTCCTGGCCTCAAGTGATCCACCTGCCTCGGCCTCCCAAACTGCTGGGATTACAGGCACAAGCCACTGCGCCCAGCCCAGGCAAAATGTTAATGGTAGAATCCTGGTGGTGGGTATGTGAACGTTCACTGGACAGTTTGTTATTTTTTTTTGAGACACACGGTCGTGCTCTGTGGTCCAGGCAAGAGTGCAGTGGCATGATCATAGTTCACTGTAACCTTGAACTTCTGGGCTCAAGGGAGCCTCCCATCTCAGCTTCCAGAGTAGCTGAGACTACAGGCGTACACCACCAGGCGTGGTTAATTTTTTTCTTTAAATTTTGTGTACAGTTGGTGTCTCACTATGTTGCCCAGGTTGGTCTTGAACTCCTGGCCTCAAGCAATCCTCTTCCCTTGGCCTCCCAAAGTACTGGGATTACAGGTGTAAGCCAATGCACCCAGCCTTCACTGTACAGGTTTTTCAACTCTTCTGTAAATGTATTTTCATAATAAAATGTTGGGAGAAAATCTCCAATATGGAATCTGTTTTCCATGGCAAATCCCTAATCGCAGGTACCACAGCCCCACTGTTTCCCTCTATCAGTGTTCTTCAAACCATTTTGAAATTATCTGGAGGACATAGGTGTCTTCCCTTCTCCCAGTTTCTGGCATAACCTTTTGGATAACTATATAAAACACGTCCAGTCTCCATGCCACATACTGTGGGAAGTCCAGCACTTTCCTCAAGATATCTCATGATTCCTTGAGAGGAAGTGAAGTGGGGTAAATATTATCCTGGTCACTTGGAGTGCTGTCGCCCTGGCACCTGGCTCAAGTCCAGAGACACAGGTCGGGCTCAGTCGGCATAGGACGAACTCAGTGTACCCAGCCAGGCTGAGCTTGGTCGGTGATGTCTTCCTCCCTGCTGCCATTTGAGCCTCAGTCCTCATCTGCAGAAATTCTGGTCCCAGGGGACCGCCCAGACGGCTTCCCTCGCTGCCTGGCGCCTCCAGCTGTCTTAAAGCTTCGGCCGGCACTGGCGCAGCCTCCCTCCAGCTGTACCAGGAAACAGGACACAAATGCTGAGGGTCTGGGTCACCAGGCCATGTGAGGAAACCAGCTACCACAACCAGGGCTTGCTGAGACAGGATCCCAGGTGTGGGGGACAGTGCTGCTGAGCCGTCACGGTGGCCTGCTGGCCCTGGGAGAACCCAGGGCTCTGTTCTCTCAGGGGCCCCTGGGCTGTCCTGCGGGAGTGGAGTGGGTGTGAAGGACAGAAAGACAGACTGAGGGGTGGCTTCCTGCCAGGGTGTCCACCACACCTCCTTCCGATCTTGAGCGCGCCTTTCCCTGCAGTTCTGAAGGAAGTGGTCCCTGGAGCTCTGTGCTCAGCGGCCCCAGCTCTTTAAAGAAAAAACACCCTGGCCGGGTGTGGTGGCTCACGCCTGTAATCCCAGCACTTTGGGAGGCCGAGGTGGGTGGATCACGAGGTCAGGAGTTCAAGACCAGCCTGGCTAAGATGGTGAAACCTCGTCTCTATTAAAAATACAAAAATTAGCCAGGCATGGTGGCAGGCACCTGTAATCCCAGCTACTCGGGAGGCTGAGGCAGGAGAATTGCTTGAACTCTGCAGGGCGGAGGTTGCAGTGAGCCGAGATTGCACCACTGCACTCCAGCCTGGGCAACAGAGTGAGACTCCGTTTCAATAAAAAAAAAAAAAAAAGAAAGAAAGGAAAAAACACCCTGGAAATCAGAGGAATTGCATTTTTAGAATTGAAGCCTGAGACCAGAGAGGGTGTGACCTGTGGCTGAGAGCAACGCGGGCCAGATCCCAGATTAGCCAGGTCCGGATGCCAGGCAGCCCCTCCCTGGACCAGCACGCCCGTCCGGTGACTCGTCCCTAAGCCTCGTGCTGACAAGGAGGGTGAGCAGGCTGCGGGGAGGGGTCAGAGCTGTGTGGAGTCAACCAGCCTGCTCTTCCCATGGCCTGTGCTTCCCCCGCCCCAGCCCCTCCAGCCAGGTCACCCCTCCCAGCCAGAGGATGGGCACCTGAGTACAGCTGCCAGCCAGGGACAGGCTTCAGGCTGCCTCCACCCTGCCCTTCTTCTTCTCTCCCTCTTTCCTCCCCACCCTCTTCCTCCCTCCTTTCTTCAGGCATTCACAGACAGGGCTGCCCACAAGGCTGCAGATCCTCAAGAACCAAAGGGAAATTCCTGCCTGCTTGTCTCTTCCAAAAAGCCGCTCGCAAAGACAGACATCTACAAACATCTACAGTAAAAAGATGAATAGTGTAAAAAATAACAACTTCCTGTTCCATTCTCCACTTGAGACAAACGGGACTGCATGGTTTGTTGCATGTGGGCACTGCACTTCCTTCCTGTGGTCCCCCCACCTGCCACGGGAGTGTCCCTCTCCCTCATCTCCTGGATCCCCGAGGGACGCAGGGCTCCCCTCTGCACTTCTTCAGGCCTCTCATCTTAGTTCCTGCTGGCCGTCAGCTCACTTGTCCAGGGCACCCGGTTCTGTTGCCCAGCCTGGCACCTGATACTAGCAGTTCTCAATGAATACTGAGAATGACGTGAATATGAAAAATTGTAGGCTCTATGCTTGCCTCCGATGTCCCAGGGGCCTGGCAAATGGCAGAAGGTGGGTAGTTCCCCCCCTCCTTTTTTTTTTTTGAGACAGGGTCTCACTCTGTTGCTCAGGCTGGAGTGCAGTGACACAGTCATAGCTCACTACAGCCTTGACCTCCTGGGCTCAAGTGATCCTTCCACCTCAGTTCAGCCTTCTGAGTAGCTGAGACTATAAGGGTGCATCACCATGCCTGGATAATTAAAAAAAATTTTTTTTGTAGAGTCAGGGTCTTACTATGTTGCCCAGGTTGTCCATGCCTTTTAACCCCAGGCAGTACCTTAGGAGCCCAACCTAGGAGCTGCTAACGGCTCCAAGGACTGCAGGATCTCCTGAGGATCATGGCAGAAGTCAGGGACTTAAGGGACCCGAAGAGTCTGCTCCCCTTGAAAAGGGAGCAAGAGCAGCATCTCTGTGCAAAGGAAGCCTGGAGAAGCAGCAGCCCAGCCCTCCTCTCATGCTTGCTTGAGGGTTGCCCTTGCAGCTGCGTCAGGTGCTGAGCAGGCTGTGGGGAAGAGGACACCAGCCCCTCCTGTTCTCTGCTTACAGGCTGAGGAGAAGGCAGCTGTGTAAGCTGACCACATACTACACATTGGGGAAGGGACAGGTGGGTGGTCAGAGGAGGCCTTGACCCAGGCAGGTGCTGTCAGAAGCGGCTTCCCCCAGGAAGTGACGATCATTTGAATCCTGGAGCACTGGGGGGAATGGGGGAGGGAGAACATTCTAGGCACAGTGAATACTATGTACAGGGGCATGGCTATGTGAGAGACCAGGGTGAACTCAGGAACAGATAAGGGTGTTCAGAGCACAGGAGACCAGGAGGTTGGCAGCACCAGGCCCTGGGGGCCTTGTTGACCAACCCAAGGAATTTGAAGTTGCTGCAGACAGTGATGCGTGGCAGCACTGGTGGATGAATTGGCCTTTTCTCCTTTCCCCCAACACTCCAGGGTCATTCCTGCCTGAGGACTCCTGCCCTCAGAGCTCTCCTGGGGCTTTTATTTATTTTGTTTTGAGACAGAATGTGGCTCTGTTGCCCAGGCTTGAGTGCAGTGGTGTGATCTTGGCTCACTGCAACCTCTGCCTCCCAGGTTCAAGCGATTCTCCTGCCTCAGCCTCCCGAGTAGCTGGGACTACAGACGTGCGCCACCACGCCTGGCTAATTTGTTGTATTTTAGCAGAGATGTGGTTTCACTGTGTTGCCCAGGTTGGTCTTGAACTCCTGAAGGCAATCCACCTGCCTCGGCCTCCTGAAGTGTTGGGATTACAGGCGTGAGCCACCTCGCCGGCCTCTCCTGGGGCTTTGAACGCCTGCCTCCCTCCTCTCATTTGGGTCTCAGGTCACCCGCCTGCCTCTGAGTTCACCCCTGACCACCTAGACTCTGCCTGTTCCATCATCTTTGTTCCATCTCTGCCTGTTCCATCATCTCGGCAAGATCCGGTATTTCCTTATGTGTTTATGGCCTACTTCTCCTCACTGGAATGTAAACTCTTAGAAAGCAGAGATCTTATCTATCTTGTTCACCTATGCATCCTTGGCTGTTATGAGGATCATGGGAGAGCAACAAATATTTATTGAGGAAATAAAAGAACAAGGTAATAAAGCCAGAACAAAGTGGTGGCAGTGGAGATGGATTCAAGAAATACTGAGAGGCCGGGCATGGTGGCTCACACCTGTAATCTCAGCACTTTGGGAGGCCAGCTGGGAGGATCACTTGTGGCCAGGAGTTCGAGATCAGTCTGGGCAACATAGCAAGATCTCCTCTCTGCAAAAAATTTAAAAAACATTAGCTGGGAGTGGTGGTGCACACCTGTAGTCCCTAGCTACTTGGGAGGCTGAGGCAAGAGGATCTCTTGAGCCCAGGAGTTCGAGGTTACGGTGAGCTGATTGCCACTGCCCTCCAGTCAGGGTGACAAAGATACCCTAACTCAAAGAAATATTGAGGAAGTAGAATCTTTTCCACCTGTTGTAGTAGGGCGTAAGGGAGCGGTGCAGGCATCCCAGGTTTCTGGCTAGGGTTGTGGGTGAGCAGAGGGGACAGTTACTGGGCGCAGCGGCACAGAAAGAATGAGCAGTCGATGCTTGGCGGTGCCCAGCCCAGTGGCTGAACTTAGTGACATCCAAGCTGCAGTCTGGCTGAAATCACTAACCTGAAAGTGGTATGGAGAAAGTTTGTTTGACCCTGACTCAGTGCCTCTCCCCGGGCCAACCCTACCGTGTTACCTAGGAGCTCCCCCTTTGTCTTTATAAATGAGATAAAAGTAACCAGACCTCCCTGGAAAAACCGAGGAGCACTTGCTTCTCTGGTGACTGCGGGGCCTAACTGCAGGGTTCACAAAGGGCTGCTGGTGCTGGGTGATAACATCGGAAAGGAACAGCAGTTCACAAGATGGGGCTGGGGGACTGGCCCAGGAACCCCTCCAGGTTAAATGATGCCTCCGGGCCCCGCACTTGGGACGTCTGCAGGCACTGGGAGGGTTTTTCCCAAGCCGCTGGCAGCAGCGAGCGGAGCCTCGCCCATTGAATCAGCATGCCCTCCCGGCTGGCTGCTGAGTCAGGCCTGCGGAGCCGGCGAAGCCGCAGGACTTGACCCAGGCGCGCTCCGCTGCCCTTCAGGCCGGGCTGGAGGTCGAGGCCCTGCAGCCAGGGAGATGCGCCGGTGGCTGCGTGGGGACAGAGGGGGGTTGTCTCCCACCCTCACAGTCTACACCCCGGCCCTTCCCCTTTGCCCGTCTGAGGCGCAGTTTGTGTCGAGGGGGAGCGCCTGGAAAGTTTCCTCGTACAGATACGAGGGTCCAAAAGCCCCGAGGAGAGGGAATAATGAGAAGGGGAGGGCGCAGGGTTAGAGGTCAGGGTCTCGACCAAAGGCTGTCGGTTTTCCTGGAGGAGGGAGAAAGGCCTGGCCGGGATCATCTGATTCCGGGGCCTCCCGAAGGCCTCCTAGCTGGGTTTTGGGGGGACCGAAACGAGCGCATGAAGCTCGCGGGCCTGGGAGTGGGGTGGGGCGGGAGCCCAGTGGTGGCGGCTGCGGCCGGGCCTGCACCGTCCCCGGCCGCATTCTGGTAGGGCCCACAGTCCGGCTGGAAGGGAAGCTGCCGAAGCGCTCGGTCATCGCGGCTGCGGAGTCGGAGAGGCCAGGGCCTGGCCGCCCACCCCGCGAGCCGCGCCCTGCCCCGAGCGCCCCACCCCCGTCCGCGTTACAACCGGGAGGCCCGCTGGGTCCTGCACCGTCACCCTCCTCCCTGTGACCGCCCACCTGATACCCAAACAACTTTCTCGCCCCTCCAGTCCCCAGCTCGCCGAGCGCTTGCGGGGAGCCACCCAGCCTCAGTTTCCCCAGCCCCGGGCGGGGCGAGGGGCGATGACGTCATGCCGGCGCGCGGCATTGTGGGGCGGGGCGAGGCGGGGCGCCGGGGGGAGCAACACTGAGACGCCATTTTCGGCGGCGGGAGCGGCGCAGGCGGCCGAGCGGGACTGGCTGGGTCGGCTGGGCTGCTGGTGCGAGGAGCCGCGGGGCTGTGCTCGGCGGCCAAGGGGACAGCGCGTGGGTGGCCGAGGATGCTGCGGGGCGGTAGCTCCGGCGCCCCTAGCTGGTGACTGCTGCGCCGTGCCTCACACAGCCGAGGCGGGCTCGGCGCACAGTCGCTGCTCCGCGCGCGCGCCCGGCGGCGCTCCAGGTGCTGACAGCGCGAGAGAGCGCGGCCCTCAGGAGCAAGGCGGTGAGTCCCCGGCGTGCGCCCCGGACCGCGGCCCCCTCCTCATCCTCCGCCCCGTCCCTGTCCCGCTCCTCTTCGGACCCGCCCCGGCCGTAACTCTGTCCCCATCCAGGCCTCCTTCCCGGTTTGGGTCCCGGCCCCTCTCCGTTCCCACCCCGGTACCCGCCCCAGTTCACCGCCCCGGCCGGTCCGCGACCCCTTCCAGGTTCAGGTCGGGTTCTTGTCCCCGGCCCTTTTGCCAGCCCCGGCTCCCGGCGCCGCGCGTCCTCCCCATCCGCGTCCCACTGCAGGTTCCGGTCCCCGGCCCTGCCCAGGGCCCCGCCCTGGCCCCGCATCCCCGGCTTGGCCCTGCTGCGGGCGGCGGCGGCCGTTCCCGGGGACAGCTGTGGACCCCGGGAACCCGCGACAGGGGAGGTGGCTGACCCCGGGATCGCGGCGGGCGGGGAGGCCGGAGGCCCGGCGGGGCTGGCTTTGTCCGATTCCTCCTCTTCCTTCCACCCCCGCCTCTCCCGGCACCGCCCTGAGCGGACGCGCCTGTCATTCTCGCGGGCGGCGGGGGGCCGGGTCCCTCCCGAGAGCTGGCTCCGCTTTGCCTCCTTGGCGACCCCTTATTTTCAGTAACCAGATGCGAAACGTTTCAGGCGACCCTGTTCACCTAGGCTGGCGTTGCTCCAACTAAACTTGAAGCAGCCTCCGTCCTGGAATGCTTTTTCCATGTAAAATTGGGTGTACCCTTTTCCTTAAGAAAATTAAAATAAAGCGTAAAAGTAGTGAAATTAATGCGTGATGGAGTGGATGGTTTTATAACTTAACATTTGTAGGTCATTTCTAGGTATATTTGTATTAGAATTGTTGCTGCCTGTTACTGTTTTATTATTTAAATGAATTAAGAATTTACATATTAAGCGTTTGAAAAGGAATACTTACAAAAATGATGTTTTTTAAAAATGTGAGAACAAAAAATTTGAGATATACTATTTCAGGTGTTCTGTAAAAGGGCAGTTAGAGCTTTGATTCTTTGCATTAGTTAAATCCCAAGGCCTTTTTTTTTGGTACGGCATGACTAAGCCATTGATCAGAATCAGCTCGGAATACATTGCACTAGTTTAGTGAAAGACACTTTAGAAAACTGGAAGAACCTCCTGAAGTTATATTACAGACATGGCCTTGCTTCTTTCAGGGATTGTCAGCAAGCCTGTTATGGTGAGAAATTTGACCTATTGCTCTGTTTCCTAAATATTTGTAGGAATACAATGATACTAAGTATGAAGTATATTTCAACTTGTATGGAATTCTGTGTGGGAGGGTAGGCACTCTAAAGAGCCAGTGTCTCTCCAAGTCATCAAAGAATGCAGCATCATGTTGCAGTTGAGCCTGGCAGCCCTGTCTGGCACTGAGTGCTGTGGAGGACCCAGGTGGTAACCTCTAACCCTACTGCAGCCTTGGCATTGTCTTAGAGAAAAGCATCCAGACATGCACAGGACTCTGGACAGCGTTTATCTCCAGCAAGGGGGGAGGGAATGACACTGGGGAGAGGCACACAGTATCTTCAGTATTTCATAGCAAATAACTGCAGTCGTTTAAACTTACACATTTTTTTTTTTTTTGAGATGGAGTCTCGCTCTGTCGCCCGGGCTGGAGTGTAGTGGCGCGATCTCGGCTCACTGCAAGCTCCGCCTCCCGGGTTCACGCCATTCTCCTGCCTCAACCTACTGAGTAGCTGGGACCACAGGCGCCCGCCACCACGCCCGGTTAATTTTTTGTATTTTTAGTAGAGATGGGGTTTCAACATGTTAGCCAGGTTGGTCTTGATCTCCTGACCTCGTGATCCGCCCACCTCGGCCTCCCAAAGTGCTGGGATTACAGGCGTGAGCCACCGCACCTGGCCCAAATTTATACATTTTTAAAATTTATACATTCTTAGGCATGTTTCTCAATGTTGGAAAAAAGTCAATGTGTAACTTTCTGTATAGGGCCATAAATTATCTTAAAACATACTTGTATAAAAAGAAACCTAGGATAGAAAAATCAAAAGTTGAGTGAAATGTATGATTAGTATCACCTGAAAACATTCTTTGTAGATAAGTGGAATGTTAGAAACCAGTATTTTATTTTTATTTATTTAGAGATGAGTCTCACTGTGTGGCTCAGGCTAGAGTGCAGTGGTGTGATCCCCGCTCACTGCAACCTCCGCCTCCCAGGTTCCAGTGATTCTCCTGCCTCAGCCTCCCTAGTAGCTGGGATTACAGGTGCCCACTACCACACCAGGCTGATTTTTTGTATTTTTAGTAGAGACGGGGCTTCACCATGTTGGCCAGGCTGGTCTCAAACTGCTGACCTCAGGCGATCCACCCGCCTCAGCCTCCCAAAGTGCTAGGGTTACAGGTGTGAGCCATTGCACCTGGGCTGAAACCAGTATTTTATGTAGCAAAGAAATGATCAGTAATATACTCAAGACGAGAGTATTTGGGAAGATTTAAGTGTCAAATTTCAGGGCATAGAATAAAAGTGACAAGCACATTAAGATTGCAAATACTGGTCTTAAATGTCTGTTGGGAACCAACTGAATGGCAGGTACTGTGCTGAGTAGTCAGCGATACCTTGATAAAAGAGCCACTGTTGGCCGGGCGTGGTCATGCCTGTAATCTTAACTCTTTGGGAGGCTGAGGCTGCAGATCGCCCCTAGCTCTTTGGGAGGCCGAGGCAGGTGGATCACCTGAGGTCAGGAGTTTAAGACCAGCCTGGCCAACATGGTGAAACCCCGTCCCTACCAAAAATACAAAAATTAGCCAGGTGTGGTGGTGCACACCTGTAATTCCAGCTACTCATGAGGCTGAGGAAGGAGAATCGCTTGAACCGGGAAGTGGAGGTTGTAGTGAGCCGAGATCACGTCACTGCAGTCCAGCCAGACTCCGTCTCAAAACAAACAAAAAGAGCCGCTGTCAGCCGTGCAGTGGCTCACTCCTGTAATCCCAGCACTTTGGGAGGCCAAGATGGACCGATCACCTGAGGTCAGGAGTTTGAGACCCGCCTGGACAACATGGTGAAACCCTGTCTCTACTAAAAATACAAAAAAAACCAAAACCGGGTGTGGTGGCGGGTGCCTCTAATCGCAGCTACTCAGAAGGCTGAGGCTGGAGAATCGCTTGAACTGGGGAGGCAGAGGTTGCAGTGAGCCGAGATCACGCCATTGCACTCCAGCCTGGGCAACAAGAGCAAAACTCTGCCTCAAAAAAAATAAAACCAAAAAACAAAAAAACTCTGTCCTCTAGGAGCTCACAGGCTGGCATGGGCAGGTACCACAGACCAGGTTAAAGGCTGTGGAGTGCACTGAGGAGGCGATTCTTCACAAAAGAAAAGTACCAATCAGCCAGTGTCAGGGGGTCAGGGGTGGGATTGGGATTGGGGTTCCTGCTTGGAGGAAATAAATCCTGAGGTTGTGCTGCTGTAAAGGGGCATGTTGGGAAGGGGACATGGGAGTGAGTGTGGAAAGACGAGGTTAGGAAAGGCCTTGAATGACTTCTTAGAAGTCTGCTTTCATTCTGAGGTTTACAAAGGAGGGTTGGAAGATTTTTTTTTTTTTTGAGATGGAGTCTTGCTCTGTCACCCAGGCTGGAACGCAGTGGCACGACCTCTGCTCACTGCAGCCTCTACCTCCCAGGTTCAAGTGATTCTCCTGCCTCAGCCTCCCGAGTAGCTGGGACTACAGGTGCGTGCCACCACATCCGGCTAATTTTTTGTATTTTTAGTAGAGTCGGGGTTTCACCACGTTAGCCAGGATGGTCTCCATCTCCTGACCTCGTGATCCGCCCGCCTTGGCCTCTCAAAGTGCTGGGATTACAGGCGTGAGCCACCGCGCCTGGCCGGAGGGTTGGAAGATTCTGAGGAGCCAGTTGCCACTTTAGAAAGAGCATAGGCAGTGGTGGGGCAGGTGCTGTGAACTGGGATGAGGTTAATTAGGAAGCCATTAACCCCAACTCGGCAAGCCTCAGGATTAGGGCAGTGACAGAAGGAACAGAGAAGCTAGGTGGGGGCAGGGGCTGGGCTGTAAGGGTTATAGTGGAGCTGATTTGGGGCTGACTGGATTGGGGTAAATGAGGAGCTGCAGGGAGGACTCCCCAGAATGATCCTGTGAAAACCTGAGTCACTCCTCTGTTAAAGCTTTTGTCAGTGTCCTCTGAGCACCCCACCCTGTCTCTTTTCATCTTCCTGCTCTGGCCCTACTCAAGCACTTCCAGGTGCATCTGGAGTTCTGAACCAAACCCATTCTTGTAGTGATTAGCATTTCTTCACTTCCCCACATACTCCTTAGCCTCTGCCCTGATTTTTCTCCTTAGCACACCTCACTATCTTAAATGCTGTATTATTATTATTTTTTTTTTATTATTACTTTTTGAGACGGAGTCTCGCTCTGTCACCCAGGATGGAGTGCAGTGGCATGATCTCAGCTCACTGCATCCTCTGCCTCCCGGGTTCAAGCCATTCTCCTGCCTCAGCCTCCCAAGTAGTTGGGACTACAGGCATGTGCCACCACACCTAGCTAATTTTTGTATTTTTAGTAGAGACAGGATTTCACCATGTTGGCCAGGCTGGTCTCGAACTCTTGACCTTAAGTGATCCACCTGCCTCAGCCTCCCAAAGTGCTGGGATTACAGGCCTGAGCCACCGTGCCTGGCCAATACTGTATTATTTTAATCATTTTAAAATTTTTATTGTTTGTCTCCACTTAACATTCATAACCTCCACAAGGATGGGGAGTTTTGTCTCTTGTATTCAGTGTCGGTGCTTGGCGTGTAATAGGAACTTAGTAAATGTTTGTTGAAGGAATGCATCTAGAATGATCCTCATCTCTAATTTGGGTGATTCACTGGCTGGTGACACTCATCCAAGGAGGGAAAATGGGAGAAGGATGAGATTATGAGTTTGTTTTTGGACATGTTAAATCTGAAGTGCTTGTGGGGCAGCCAAGTGGACTAGTGGGCAGTTAGAGATACATCTTTGGAGCTCAAGACAGAGGCTGAGGCTGGAGGTAAAGATTCCAGAGACTGCATCATATCGTTGAGCCAGTCGGGTGTGATGTCCATCTGGTAGAGATGGGGAGTGGGTCTAAGAGGAGAGGGTCCTGGGAAACCAAGAGAAGAGGAGGGAGGAGATCAGTAGCAAATTGGCTAAGAAGTCAGTGATGGGTTGGACTGAGAAGTCTCTATGGATTTTGCTTCTAGGAGGTTACTAATGACCTTTAACTTTTTTTTTTTTAAATATAGTTTATGTAGAGACGGGGGTCTCACTGTGTTTCCCAGGCTGGTCTCGAATTCCTGGGCTCAAGCCATCTGCCTGCCGTGGCCTCCCAAAGTGTCGGGATTACAGGTTTGAGCCACTGCACCCGGCCTGTTGCCTGTTTCCTGAGAATATTACCTCTTAAGGATGGAGGCTATTTCGAGATGATCTTCATTCGTTCTCCCAAGGCATCCTTTGTGGCGTTGTACTCTGTAGCCTCCTAGTTAGTATACTCATGGATCAGAAATGAATTATGATTTTTTTTTAGTTTTAACTAATTTTTGGAGGCAGATGAAAGCAGTTTGCATATATGCTTTTTGAATTTGAAAAGTGCTATCTGAACTTAAAGCAACGGATATGGAGCAAACATGTTAAGCTGAGTTACGTGCATACGTGAACTGAGTTACTTCCTTGGTTCTAAAATATCTGTTACCTTCATTTAAACCATAGATTGTTCCCTGACTTCAGTTGCATAACATAAATTTATGTTCAGGCTTCTCTGAAGTTCACTATGCTGCTACTAAAACTGATCAGAGTGATGTTTGCACTGTTCCAGAGAAAATAGGTACTGTAAACCCTGCGGATGTCATATGTGTCTGTAGTTTCAGTTACTCCGAAGGCTGAGGTGGGAGAATCAGTTGAGCCCAGGAGTTCAAACTAGCTTGGGCAATATAGTGAGACCTTGTTTCTTAAAAAAATAAAAGGCTGTGCTTGGTGGCTAATGTCTGTAATCCCAGCACTTTGGGAGGCTGAGGAGGGCGGATCACCTGAGGTCAGGAGTTTGAGACCAGCCTGGCCAACATGGGTGAAACCTTGTCTCTACTAAAAATATAAAATTAGCCGCGTGTGGTAGTATGCTTCTGTAGTCCCGGGTATTTGGGAAGCTGAGGTAGGAGAATCACTTGAACCCGGGAGGCGGAGGTTGCAGTGAGCCAGATCGAGCCACGGCACTCCAGCCTGGGCGACAGAGTGAGACTCCCATCTCAAAAAGAAAAAAAAAAAGTAAAATAGGTACTGTTACTGAGATTCTACTGTTGAGGAATTTGAGGGTGAGAGAGGGGAAGTTTCAGAAACCAAAGTTACACAGCTGTGAAGTCAAGATTCTAACTCAGTTTTTTTGCTTCGCGGTATAAGCTTTGAATCACCTTGCAGTACTTAAAGCTGCAGCTTCAAGTGAATCATGATAATGCTGTTTAATCCTATCATTACTTTTTCTTGGGGAAACCTCGCGCCACTTCAATTTTTTTCAAAGATGTACCATTTTAACCATTTAAAAGTTCACAATTCAGTAGTGTTAAGGATATGCACATCGTTGTTCCACATTTCTGGAACTCTTTCATCTGGCAGCGCTGAGACTGTAGCCCCCAAATACTGATATCTCCTCCTCCCTCGCCCTCCCCCGGTAACCATCTTTTCTACTTTGTTTCTATGATTTTGACTACTTTCAATACTTTATTTTTTATTTTTTTTGAGATGGAGTTTCACTCTTGTTGCCCAGGCTGGAGTGCAGTGGCACGATCTCAGCTCACTGCAACCTCTGCCTCCCGAGTTCAAACAATTCTCCTGCTTTAATTTCCTGAGTATCTGGGATTACAGTCATGGGCCACCATGCCGGGCTAATTTTGTATTTTTAGTAGAGATGGGTTTCTCCATGTTGGTCAGGCTGGTCTTGAACTCCTGACCTCAGGTGATCACCCCCCATCGGCCTCCCAAAGTGTTGGGATTACAGGCGTGAGCCACCGTGCCTGGCCTTGCCTGTCTTTTTCATCTGAGCCATTCTAGCGGGGTATAGTGGCATCTTGTTAGTTTTAATGTGCATTTCACTGATGACTCATAATGGTGAGCGCTTACATGCTTGTCGGTCTTTGTATGCCTGGATTTGTAAAGTGTCTGTTCAAGACTTTTGCCCATTTAAAAAATTGGATTGTTTGTATTTTTAAGTTCCTTACATATTTATTTATTTATTTATTTTTGAGATGGAGTCTCCTCTGTTGCCCAGGCTTGAGTGCAGTGGCGCGATCTCGGCTCACTGCAAGCTCTGCCTCCCGGGTTCACGCCATTCCCCTGCCTCAGCCTCTGGAGTAGCTGGGACTACAGGCGCCTGCCACCACGCCCAGCTAATTTTTTTTTTTGTTGTATTTTTATTAGATATGGGTTTCACCATGTTAGCCAGGATGGTCTCGATCTCCTGACCTCGTGATCCGCCCGTCTTGGCCTCCCAAAGTGCTGGTATTAACAGGCGTGAGCCACCACGCCCAGCAGTTCCTTACATGTTTTTTTTTTTTCAGATGGAGTCTTGCTCTTGCTCTATTGCCCAGGCTGACGTATTTTTTATACAAGCCGTTTGCCAGATATATATGTGTCGCAAATATTTTTTCCTAATCTATGGCTTAACTTTATTTTTTGGTAGTGCCTTTTAATAAATCAATACTTTTAATTTTTCTTAACCATGCTCTGGCAAGTTTTATTAAAGAAATTTTCGGCTGGGCGCGGTGGCTCACACCTATAATCCCAGCACTTTCGGAGGCCGAGGCGGGTGGATCATGAAGTCAGGAGTTTGAGACTACCCTGGCCAGTATGGTGAAACCCCGTCTCTACTAAAATTACAAAAATTCGCCAGGCGTGGTGGTGTGCACCTGTAGTCCCAGCTACTTGGGAGGCTGAGGCAGAAGAATCGCTTGATCCCGGGAGGCAGAGGTTGCAGTGAGTCGAGATTGCGACACTGCATTCCAGCCTGGGCAACAGAGTGAGACTCTGTTTCAAAAAAAAAAAAGAAATTTTCGCAGGGTTTATTTTTATCTTTTATTTTTTGTTGTTGCCTAAGCAACATCCGCTTTCCTTAATTCTGAAAGCATATCTATAAATAAGTCACCCAAAGGCCAAATAGATGCATTTGTTTTGTCTGGTTGTTAATGTTTTCTTTTTAAAAAAATATTTATGTATTTATTTAATTTTTGAGACAGGATCTTGCTCTGTTGCCTAGGTTGGAGTGCAGTGTCACAGTCGTGGCTCAGTGCAGCCTCGTGTTCAAGTGATCGTCCCACCTCAGCCCCTGAAGTAGCTGGGACTACATGTGCGCACCACCATGACCGGCTTGTTTTTTGTAGAGACAGGGTTTCATGGCATTGCCCTGGCTAGTCTTTAACTTCTGGGCTCAAATGATCTGCTCTCCTTGGCCTCCCAAAGTGCTGGGATTACAGACGTAAGCCACTATGCTGGGCCACCAAGATACTATTTATTTCCCTGAATATGACGTGGACTGTTCCTGTAGGCTGGTCCCTTCACCTCAGGACCCTCTTTGCTGGTATTGTTTGGGGCTTCTGCGCCTGTATATGGGGATGGGACCTGACCCTGCTGATCTGGCCAGCACTGCCAGGGTTTCCTGTTGCCCATCTCTCGGTAAAACATCCCTTATAAACCTTTGCAAGGAAAAAACCTCTGTTTTCTTCCCTCCATCCCATTTTTCCTTAATGTGCTACCCTCGTCTGTATTCATAGGAACTTTATTTAACACTTGAGAACTGAGAGTAATTGACATTTCTTTCTTGGCTGTCCTTCATTCTGTGCACCCAGACCTATTGCTTTTTCTACCACATTCTTTTTCTCTTTTAGAAAATTGAAATGTAAGTCACATCACATCAAATGCCCCATTTTAAAGCGTGCAGTGCAGTGATTTTTAATGTATTCTCTGTTTTGTGCAACTACCATCTATCTAATTCCACACATTCCTTTTCCCTTTTTAGTGCTTGGTGTTTTTTTTTTTTCTTAACTTTCTTCATCACTGTAAGCTTTCCCCACCTGGCTGAATTTCACATGATAAAACCAGGGGAGGTAAAGTGACCAAAGATGATGCCCTTTGCTTCTCTGGCCTTTGCTTTCATTTCATTAATTTTTTTTTTTTTTTTTTTTTTTGAGTCAGAGTCTCGCTCTGTCACCCAGGCTGGAGTCTGGGTGTATATGTATGAACACAGTGGGGTGTGTGGGTGTGTGTGAACATAGTGGTGTGTATGTATGAACACAGTGGGGGTGTGTGTGCGTGAGCACAGTGGTGTGTGTATGTATGAACATAGGGGTGTGTGTGAGCACAGTGGTGCATATGTATGAACATAGGGTGTATGTGTGTGAGCACAAGGGTGTGTGTGTGTGTGTGCGTGCATGCAGAGTGGTAGGGTTCCTGAAGCAGAGGGACACTTGGGGCAAAGAGACCTTGGATTGTGTTCTTCTTGTTGGTAGAATAAGCTTAAATCACTTCATGTATCCCAGTTTCCTCAGCTGTAAATGGGAATTATAATGATAGGTCATCAAACTACCTGCAGACTTTTTTTGTTGTTATTTCGATAAAATATTACACATTTGAAAATGCTCCCAAAACTAACATATTGGACAGATGCGAATTCTTCTTTCCTTTTTTTTGAGATGGAGTCTTGCTCTGTTGTCCAGGCTGGAGTACAGTGGCATGATCTTGGCTCATTGCAGCCTCAGCCTCCCAAGTAGCTGGAACTACAGGCATGTGCCACCACGCCTAGCTAATTTTTATATTTTTAGTAGAGATGGGGTTTCACCATGTTGGCCAGGCTGGTCTTGAACTCCTGACCTCAAGTGATCCGCCTGCCTCAGCCTCCCAAAGTGTTGGGATTACAGGTGTGAGCCACCACGCCTGGCTCTTTCTTGTCTTTTACTTATTTATTTTTTTGTGACAGGGTTTCGCTGTGTCACCTAGGCTGGAGTATAGTGGTACAGCCAAAGCTTACTGTAGCCTTGAGCTCCCAGGCTCAAACAATCCTCCCACCTTAGCCTCCTGAGTAGCTGGGACCACAGGCGTGTGCCACCACACCCAACTAATTTTTATTTTTGTAGAGACAGGGTCTCACTGTATTCCCCAGGCTGGTCTTGAACTCCTGGGCTCAAGCAGTGCTCCTGTCTTGGCCTCCCAAAGTGCTGGGATTACTGGTATGAGCCACCACACCCGGCCCAGATGTGAATTCTTTATTTTTATTTTATTATTTTTGAGACAGGGTCTCAACTCTGTCACCCAGGCTAGAGCACAATGGTGCAATCATGTTTCACTGCAGCCTTGATTTCCTGGACTCCAGTGATACACCTCAGCCTCCTGAGTAGCTGGGACCACAGGTGCATGTCACCACACCCAGCTAATTTTGGTATTTTTTTTTAGGATGGGGTTTTGCCATGTTTCCCTGTCTGGCTTTGAAATCCTGAGCTCAAGAGATCCACCCGCCTTGGCCTCCCAAAGTGCTGGGATTACAGGCGTGAGCCACTGAGTCAGGCTGTGAATTCTTTCTTTTATTTTCTTTATTTTTGAGACAGAGTTTCGCTCTGTTGTGGAGTGCAGTGGCACGATCTTGGCTCACTGCAAACTCCACTTTCCAGGTTCATGCGATTCTACTGCCTCACCCTCCCGAGTAGCTGGGATTACAGGTGTGCACCACTATGCCTGGCTAATTTTGTATTTTTAATAGAGACAGGGTTTCACCATGTTGACCAGGCTGGTCTCGATCTCCTGACTTCAGGTGATCGACCCACCTTGGCCTCCCAAAATTCTGGGATTACAGGCATGAGCCACTGCCCCTGGCCTGTGAATTCTTTTTTTTTTGAGACAGAGTCTCGCGCTGTCGCCCAGGCTGGAGTGCAGTGGCGCGATCTCTGCTCACTGCAAGCGTCACCTCCCGGGTTCACGCCATTCTCCTGCCTCAGCCTCCTGAGTAGCTGGGACCACAGGCGCCCGCCACCACGCCTGGCTAATTTTTTGTATTTTTGGTAGAGATGGGGTTTCACCGTGTTAACCAGGATGGTCTCGATCTCCTGACCTTGTGATCTGCCCGCCTCGGCCTCCCAAAGTGCTGGGATTACAGGCGTGAGCCACCGCGCCCGGCCCTGTGAATTCTTAATATACATATTGTATGTATACTTTTTTGGTTTTGTTTTTATCAAGTTATATATGTATTTTGTATTTATGTGTAGATTTGAAAATAAACTTTTAATTTTAGAATAGTTACAGATTTACAGAAAAGTTGCAAAGATAGTACAGAGAGTTCCCACATACTTTGCATCCAATTTCCCCTAATGTTAATATCCTACATTACTGTGATACATTTGTGACAACCAAGGAACCAACATTGGTACCTTACTATTATTATTACTATTATTTTTTTTTTCTTTTGAGACAAAGTTTTGCTAGGTCACCCAGGCTGGAGTGCAGTGGCTCCATGGCTCACTGCAACCTCTGCCTTCTGGGTTCCAGCAATTCTCCTGCCTCAGCCTCCCTAGTAGCTGGAATTACAGGCATGCGCTACTATGCCTGGCTAATTTTTGTACTTTTAGTAGAGATGGGGTTTTGCCATGTTGGCCATGCTGGTCTCGAACTCCTGCCCTTAAGTGATCCACCTGCCTCGGCCTCCCAGTGTTGGGATCACAGGTGTGAGTCACTGTGCCCAGCCTGGTACATTATTATTAACTGAACTCCACTTTATTTGGTATCACTGGTTTTTCCCTTGTCCTTGTTGTACCTCAGGATCCCATCCAAGATACCATATCACATTTAGTCATCATGCCTCCTGCTCTGTGGCTGTTTTCTTAGACTTTCCTTGCATTAGAGGACTGTCTTAGCTTGCGAGGCTGTAACAAAGTACCACAGGCTAGTGACTCACGAACAACACAAGCCACAGTCCTGGAGGCTGGAAGTCTGGGATCAGGGTGCCAGCATGGTCAGATTCTGGTGCAGACCCTCTTTCTGGTTGCATGCTACCGACTTCTAGATGTATTCTCACATGGTGAAAAGAGTGTGAGAGAGTTCCCTTTTTAAAAAAAATTTAATAATAATTATTTTTTTGAGACAGAGTCTGTCTCTGTTGCCCAAGCTGGAGTGCAGTGGCACAATCTTGGCTCACTGCAGCCTCCGCCTCCTGGGTGCACTTCATCCTCCCACCTCCACCTCAGCCTCCCAGGCTCAATTCATCCTCCCAAGTAGCTGGGACTACAGGTGCACACTACAACACCCAGATAATTTTTGTATTTTTTGTAGAGATGGGGTTTTACCATGTTGCCCAGACTGGTCTTGAACACCTGAGCTCAAGCTATCTGCCTGCCTTGGCATCCCAAAGTGTTGGGATTATAGGTATCAGCCACTATACTCTGCCTAGGTTCCCTTTATTTTTTATTTTTTTGAGACAGAGTCTCACTCCATCGCCCAGGCTGGAGTGCAGTGGCATGATCTCAGCTCACTGCAACCTCTGCCTGCTGGGTTCAAGCTATTCTCCTGCCTCAGCCTCCTGAGTAGCTGGGATTACAGGCATGCACCACCATGCCCGGCTAATTTTGTATTTTTAGTAGAGACGGGGTTTCACCATATTGACTAGGCTGGTCTCGAACTCCTGATTTCAGGTGATTCACCCACCTCGGCCTCCCAGAGTGCTGGGATTACAGGCATGAGCCACTGCTCAGCCCCTGGGTTCCCTTTTTTAAAGGCACTAATCCCACCGTGAGGGGTCCCCTCATGGCCTAATCACCTCCCAAAGGCCCCACCTCCTAAAAGCATTACTCTAGGCATTAGAATTTTAACATGTGAATTGGGGTGGGGGGCACACATTGATTCCATTGCAATAACCTTGATAGTTTTGAGACATATGGGCAAGGTATTTTGTACAATGTCCTTAAATTTGGGTTTGTCTTGATATTTTTCCCATGGTTAAGTCAGGGTTATGAGTTTTTAGGAGAAAGACTACTGGCTCCCAGTTTTGGATTCTGATTCCATTGTACCAAAACAAATCAGAACTCTTTGGAGTAATGGGTGATTCTAGGGCTGGGGCAGGGAAAATATAAGATGAGCCTGAAGCTTCTTCTAGTGTTTGAATGTAAGGATATGCTAAAAAACAAAGGGATGGGAACATGAAGAAGGGACACAGGAACCAACTGAAAGAGCTCCCATTGACAAAAGCTGGAACAACTTGAACAATAAAATAAATAATGTAGTTTTTTGGTTTTTTGGTTTTTTTTTTTTTTTTGAGACGGAGTCTCACTCTGTTGCCCAGGCTGGAGTGCAGTGGCGTGATCTCGGCTCACTGCAACCTCCACCTCCCAGGTTCAAGGCAATTCTCCTGTCTCAGCCTCCTGAGTTGCTGGGACAACAGGCGCACACCACCACGCCCGGCTAATTTTTTTGTATTTTTAGTAGAGACGGGGTTTCACCATTTTGGTCAGGTTGGTCTCCAACTCCTGACCTCAGGTAATCCACCCACCATGGCCTCCCAAAGTGTTGGGATTACAGGCATGAGCCTCCATGCCCAGCCAAGAATGTATTTTTAACAATTAGTATTTTACTTATCACCTAAAGTATAAAACAAATATCTGTAAGTCCATATTGATATAAATAATTACATTAATAAATGAGGAAAGAGACAAAGAATAGACTGATCTCCCTTAGAGAAGAATTCCAAATAATGGTAGATTCTTCCATCTTCCAGAGGGTCCTCTATAACTTTCCCCATCTCCTTGGAGTGTGGGCTGCACTTAGTGACTTGCTTCCTAAGAGTATGGAATGGGATGACTGTGTGTGGAGGTGGTGGTGATAATCTTACAGTGGCTAAACCTGCAAATGCTACCTGAGCCAGGTGGTCGAGGCTGATGTATTAGGTGTAAATCATGTTGGCACGTGCCCTTGATAGAATTGTTATGAAAAGATTCAAACCCTGTAAAATATTTGAAAAGATTTATTCTGAGCCAAATATGAGTGACCATGGCCCGTGACACAGCCCTCAGGAAGTCCTGAGAACATGTGCCCAAGGTGGTCGGGGCACAGCTTGGTTTTATACATTTTAGAGAGGCATGAGACATCAATCAGATACATTTAAGAAATACATTGGTTGACCGGGCATGGTGGCTCACGCCTGTAATCCCAACACTTTGGAAGGCCAAGGCAGGCAGATCACTTGAGGTCAAGAGTTCCAGACCAGCCTGGCCAATATGGTGAAACTCCGTCTCTACTAAAAATACAAAAATTAGCCTGGCGTGGTGGTGCATGCCTGTAATCCCAGCTACTCGGGAGGCTGAGTCAGGAGAATCACTTGAGCGCAGAAGGTGGAGGTTGCCTGGCCCGAAGGCATTTGTTTAATTTCCTTTTGCTTCCAATGTGGCTGTTAAGAAACCTAAAGTTGGCTGGGCACGGTGGCTCACGCCTGTAATCCCAGCACTTTGAGAGGCCGAGGCAGGCAGATCACGAGGTCAGGAGATCGAGACCATCCTGGGTAACATGGTGAAACCCCATCTCTACTAAAAATACAAAAAATTAGCTGGGTGTGGTTGCGGGCGCCTGTGGTCTCAGCTACCAGGGAGGATGAGGCAGGAGAATGGCCTGAACCTGGGAGGCGGAGCTTGCAGTGAGCCGTGATTGCACCACTGCACATCAGCCTGGGCAACAGAGCGAGACTCTGTCTCAAAAAAAAAAAAAAAAAAAGCCTAAAGTTATTCTCGATTCTTTCTACGTGACTTTTTTTTTTTGAGATGGAATCTCGCTTTGTCGCCCAGGCTGGAGTGCAGTGGCGTGATCTCGGCTCACTGCAACCTCCGCCTCCCGAGTTCAAGCAATTCTCTGCCTCAGCTTCCCGAGTAGCTGGGATTACAGGCTCCCGCCACCACACCCGGCTAATTTTTTTGTGTTTTTAGTAGAGATGGGCTTTCATCATATTGGCCAGACTGGTCTTGAACTCCTGACCTCCTGATCCACCCGCTTCAGCCTCCCGAAGTGCTTGGACTAAGGCGTGAGCCACCGCGCCCGGCCTGCATGACCTGTTTTTTTTCCTCCCTCTCTGGAAGTATAGAGAATATTCTCTGGGACTGGGTGTGGTAGCTCACGCCTATAATCCCAGTACTTTGGGAGGCCGAGGTAGGAGGATCACTTGAGCCCAGGACTTTGAGACCATTCTGGGCAACATAGTGAGACCCTGTCTCTACTTAAAAAGAAAAGAGAAGAGAAGAAAAAGAATATTCTCTTGTCACCAAAATATTTTAATTTTCTTAGGACAATTTTTTTGGGGGGTCAAGTTCTACCTTTAGAACAGTGCCTTGAATAAAGTAGAGGCTCAGTAAACATTTGAGGAATGGATGGATGTTACTCTTTTGGGGCTGGCCAGATTTCTTTCTTTAGTTCTGTTCTTTTCTGTTCTATTCTGTTCTTTTCCTTTTCTTTTCTTTCTCTCTCTCTTTCTTTCTTTTTCTTTGAGTTTCTTTCTTGTTGCCCAGGCTGGAGTGCAATGGGGTGATCTTGGCTCACTGCAACCTCCGCCTCCTGGGTTCAAGTGATTCTCCTGCCTCAGCCTCTCAAGTAACTGGGGTTACAGGCATGTGCCACCACACCTGGCTAATTTTGTATTTGTAGTAGAGTCGGGGTTTCTCCATGTTTGCTAGGCTGGTCTCGAACTCCCGACCTCAGGTGATCCGCCCGCCTCGGCCTCCCAAAGTGCTGGGACTACAGGCGGGAGCCACTGCGCCTGGCCTGGGGCTGGCCAGATTTCTCGGGAAAATTTGCCTGTCTTTTTTTTGGAGGCGAAGACCTAGCTGCCCTACCAGGTCTACAAACCAAGTGGTGGCTGAGAGTTGGTCATCTCCCAGGTTCCCCCTGGTGCTGCCTAGCTCAGTTCTTCTGCAGCTCCCTGCCATGCTTGTAGTGGACATCGCAGTCGCACTTCTTAGTTTAAAGCATCCACCTAATGCAGTTGTGTGTGTGTTATGCTGAACGTTGAGGATGTGTTTTGAGGAATGCATCGTTAAGTGATTTCGTTGTGGGGGCATCAGGGAGTACATTTACACAAACCTAGGAAGTATAACCTACTGCACACCTAGGCTGTATGGTGTAGCCCATTGCTCCTAGGCTAAAAACCCATACAGTATGTGGCTGTGGTAGGCAGCTGTAACAGTGGTAAATATTTGTGCAACTAAACATATCTAAACATAGAAAAGATATAGTCAAAATAGGTGTTACAATCCTTTTTTTTTTTTTGAGACAGAGTCTCGCTCTGTTGCCCAGGCTGGAGTGCAGTGGCACAATCTCAGCTCACTGCAAGTTCCGCCTTCTGGGTTCATGCCATTCTTCTGCCTCAGCCTCCCGAGTAGCTGGGACTACAGGCACCCGCCACCATGCCCAGCTAATTTTTTTGTATTTTTAGTAGAGACAGGGTTTCATCGTGTTAGCCAGGATGGTCTTGATCTCCTGACATCGTGATCCACCAGCCTCAGCCTCCCAAAGTGCTGGGATTACGGGCATGAGCCACCATGCCTGGCCTGGTGTTATAATCTTATGGGACCACTGTCAAATATGAGGTCCCTCATTGACCAAAATGTCATTATACTGCACATGACTGTATTGTACAGAATTTGTCTATTGTAAATTTGTTAGTTTGCGTCATATCTATCAGGGAGTTAGTTAAAATTCCCAAGGCCTTCTCTTTTAGTCATTAGTGTGACAGAGTAAGTAAAATATCACTCCTGTCATAAAGGACGAATTAAAAGGACAGTTTTAGTGTGTAATGAGAACTATTTTCTGAGACAGTCTTGCTTGCTCTGTCACCTACGCTGGAGTGCAGTGGCATGATCATAGCTCACGCAGCCTTGAACTCCTGGGCTCAAGCCATCTTCCCACTTCAGCCTCTCAAGTAGTTGGGAGTACAGGCACATACTACCATGCCCATCTAATTTTTAATTTTTTAATTAAAATATTATATGTATGCATATATATGTGTATATATACATATTTCAGACAAGGTCTCACTCTGTCACCCAGGCTGAAGTGCAGTGGCACAGTCATGGCTCACTGCAGCCGTGAACTGCAGACATGCATCTTTATGCCTAGCTAATTTTTTTTCTTTCTTTTTTTTCTTTTTGAAAAGATGGGACCCCTCTATGTTGCCCAGTCTGGTCTTGAACCCCTGGGCTCAAACGATGTTTCTGCTTCAGCCTCCCAAGTAGCTGGGAGTACAAGCATGTGCCACCATGCCTAGCTAATTTTTTTTGTTTTTTTGTAGAGATGGGGTCTTGCTGTCTTGCCTAGGCTGGTCTTGAATTCCTGGGTTCAAGGGATCCTCCCACCTCATCCTCCCAAAGTGCTGGGGTTACACACATCAGCCACAGTGTCCAGCATAAGAACTATTTCTATTTTTCATATTACCTCTGCTTGGATTACTTTAGAGGTAAAGCAACTGAATATACAAATTCATATTTATGTCTGGTGTTTTTGTCAGAGCTGAGTGGTAGAACTTTCGTTGTAGTCTGTATATTAGGTTTTATTGCATGCCATCTCTTTTCAGTTACACGGGTACAAATCCTTACCTGTCAAGTAGGATGTTGAATAATACAAACATGCTACAGTTACCTTGTCTATCCGAACTGTTAAGCCTTATTTCAAGTTTGAGCATGGGTTTTTTATTTACTTTCTTTATCCAGAAACTTTTTTTTTATTTTTATTTTTTTGAGACGGAGTGTTGCTCTGTCACCCAGGCTGGAGTGCAGTGGCAGGATCTCGGCTTACTGCAACCTCCACTTTCCAGGTTCAAGCGATTCTCCTGCCTCAGCCTCCTGAGTAGCTGAGACTACAGGTGTGTGCCACCACACCCAGCTAATTTTTGTATTTTTTTTTTTACTAGAGATGGGGTTTTGCCATGTTGACCAGGCTGGTCTTGAACTCCTGACCTCAAGTAATCCGCCTGCCTGGGCCTCCCAAAGTGGTGGGATTACAGGGAGAGCCACTGTGCCTTACCCAGAAACTTTTTTGTTATTGTTTCTTATATTTCCAAAAGGCAGGTAAGCCTTTTGAAAGGATGGCATGGCCAGGCATGGTGGCTCACGCCTGTAATCCCAACACTTTGGGAAGCCAAGGTGGGCAGATCCCAAGGTCAAGAGATCAAGACCATCCTGGCATACATGGTAAAACCCCATCTCTACTAAAAATACAAAAATTAGCTGAGCATGGTGGTGTGTTCCTGTAGTTCTAGCTACTTGGGAGGCTGAGGCAGGAGAATCGCTTGAACCTGGGAGGTGGAGGTTGCATTGAGCCGAGATTGTGCAACTGCACTCCAGCCTGGCGACAGAGCAAGACTCCATCTCAAAAAAAAAAAAAAAGAATAGCATTTCCTAATTTCTGTCCCAGTGGGTAGTTTGTAAAAGACCAGGTCTATTTGTATTGGGTTTTTTTTTCTTTTGAGACGGAGTCTCGCTCTTTTGGCAGGCTGGAGTGCAGTGGCGCGATCTCGGCTCACTGCAACCTCTGCCTCCCAGATTCAAGCAATTCTTCTGCCTCAAGCTCCCGAGTAGCTGGGACTACAGGTGCACGCCACCACGCCTGGCTAATTTTTGTATTTTTATTAGAGACGGGGTTTCACCATGTTGGCCAGGATGGTCTCAATCTCTTGACCTCGTGATTTGCCTGCCTTGGCCTCCCAAAGTGCTGGGATTACAGGCGTGAGCCACCGCGCCCAGCCTGTATTGTTTTTCAAATGACATTTTAAAAAGAGTAAAAATTGTTTTATTTCTAGGTTACAAAATGCTACAGACAGGATTTTAACATTTATTTTGATTTATTTTTTACTCCTGGCAAGTTGCGATACAGGTATTTAATCAGAGGTCCCAATGTGGAGCCTGACAGGATAGGTTCTTAACATTCTCAATTTATGTCCTCAGAATGTGGTAGTACGAAAGAATGATTGAAGTAAATCTTTGGACTTGAGACTTGTGGCCTGGCATGGTGGCTCATGCCTGTAATCGCAGCACTTTCGGAGGGTGAAGTGGACAGGTCACTTGAGCCTAGGAGTTGAAGGCCAGCCTCGGCAACATGGCAAGACCCTCTCTACAGAAAATAAAAAGAAAATAAAAAAGAAAGAAAAATTAGCCAGGCTTGGCGGCACGCACCTGTAGTCCCAACTACGTGGGAGACTGAGGTGGGAGGATCACTTGAGCCCAGGAGGTGGAGGTTGTAATGAGCCAAGATCATGCCACTGCACTTCAGCCTGGGTGACAGAGTGAGACCCTGTCTCAGACAAAAAAGGAGAATCATGTATGTTAAAAATACATGTCAAAATGGCACAGTGGGCTGGGTGCAGTGGCTCATGCCTGTAATCCCAGTTCTTTGGGAGGCCGAGGCGGGCAGATCACCTGAGCTCAGGAGTTTGAGACCAGCCTGGGCAACATGGCGAAACTGTGTCTCTACTAAAAATACAAAAGTTAGCTGGGTATGGTGGTGCATGCCTGTAGTCCCAGCTACTTGGGAGGCTGATGTGGGAGGATCGCTTGAGCCCGGGATGCGGAAGTTGCAGTGAGCCAAAATAGTGCCATTGCAGCCCACCCTGGGTGATAGAATGAGAGCCTGTCTTAAAAAAAAACAAAGAAACAGTACAGTGACAATTGCCTATACTCCTAGCTCCTTGGGAGACTGAAGGTGGGGAATTGCTTGAGTCTAGGAGTGCAAGTCCAGCCTGGGCAACATAGCAAGACCCCATCTCTAAAAGAAAGAGAAAAACATGAAAACCACAATACTATATAATTGCAAAAGTTGAGTCACTATCTAAAATAATGTAAACAAAATGAGTTCTAAAATAAAAATAACAATTATAGGGTTTTTTTGGTCTTCATTATGTTAGGTAGTGACTTACAGTCTGTAGACACAGTACATAATTTGTTAGGGGCCTGGTGTGATAGCTCATACCCATATCTCCAGCACTTTGGGAGGCCAAGGTGGGAGGATCACTGGAGCCCAAGAGTTTTAGACCAGCCTGGGCAACATGGTGAGACCTCATCTCAAAAAAAAAAAAAAAAAAAAAAGAATTTGTTAGGTTTACTTGAATCCTGAGACTTTAAATTTAGTAGACTGTAATAGCTTTGCCTGTTGAACAATAGCCTTAAAGAGGTTTGACCCTAAAAAGGGCTTCTTATGTGTTTTTTTTTTTTTTCGAGACGGAGTCTCGCTCTGTCGCCCAGGCTGGAGTGCAGTGGCGCCATCTCGGCTCACTGCAAGCTTCGTCTCCCGGGTTCACGCCATTCTCCTGCCTCAGCCTCCGGAGTAGCTGGGACTACAGGCGCCCACCATCGCGCCCGGCTAATTTTTTGTATTTTTAGTAGAGACGGGGTTTCACCGTGTTAGCCAGGGTGGTCTCGATCTCCTGACCTCGTGATCCGCCCGCCTCCACCTCCCAAAGTGCTGGGATTACAGGCGTGAGCCACCGTGCCCGGCAGCTTCTTGTGTTTTGGGAGCTTAATTCAGATGTTAGATTTATCAGGTTTTACACTGGAGATTTTGCATTGAGTTCTTTTGGTCTCACGGAGTAAATAATGGAACTTTAAATAGGACTTTTTTTTTTTAAGGAATAAAAGCATAATAAAAAAAGTTCATAGTTAGAATAACCTGGGGCCAGATAGCTTGTGTGTCAGTCAGAGGGAAAGAGGGAAGGGAGTATTTCTGAGCCTGTACTATTGTTCCAGGTCAGGTGGGTATCAATTTCACTTGACGTACAGGGAGACTGAGCCTCCACCACACCCCAGGGTAGGTGAGAAGAAGATGCATTAGCTCCAAAGCTGCTTCATTCATTCATTGCACACATCTTTATTGCATGCCCGTGGGTTGCTAGGCATTGTTTTGGCTGATTCCTTGTTCCATTGAATCATCTCCAGGCATACACGGCATGAGAGTTGGAAGATGGTCCAGTGATGGTGTGATTTATAGGCTGGCAAAATGTTTGAGTCAACTTAGATACTGAGTAATTTTTACCTTGCAGAAATCAGTAAATCAGTGTTACCTGTTACTTAGCGGTAGCCTGTATACTTTTTTTTTTTTTTTTTGAGATGGAGTCTCACTCTTGCCCAGGCTGGAGTGCAGTGGTGCGATCTCAGCTCACTGCAACCTCTGCCTACCGGGTTCAAGCGATTCTTCTACCTCAACCTCCCGAGTAGCTGGGATTGCAGGCACCTGCCACCACGCCTGGCTAATTTTTTGTATTTTTAGTAGAGACGGGGTTTCACCATGTTGGCCAGGCTTGTCTGGAACTCCTGACCTAAGTGATCTGCTTACCTGGGCCTCCCAAAGTGCTGGGATTACAGGCGTGAACCACCAAGCCCAGCCGCCTGTATACTTTTGAATTCTTCATCTTGAGGAGCTGCAAGATAGTTTTCCCTCAGAAACGCATTTTGTTTCTGCATCAAACTTGAAAAATGTCCTAAGTAGACTTGTCAGTCGTTTACAGTTTTATACCTTATTTATTTATTTATTTAGTGATGGAGTCTTGCTCTGTCGCCCAGGCTGGAGTGCAGTGGTGAGATCTCCGCTCACTGCAACCTCCACCTCCTGAGTTCAAGTGATTCTCCTGCCTCAGCCTCCATAATAGCTGGGATTACAGGTGTGCACCACCACGCCCGGCTAATTTTTTGTATTTTTAGTAGAAACGGGTTTCACCATGTTGGCCAGGCTGGTCTTGAACTCTTGACCTCGTGATCCGCCAGCCTCGGCCTCCCAGAGTGCTAGGATTACAGGCGTCGGCCACCGCGCCCAGCTTGCCATTACTTTTATTCATAGAATGATCTTTAGTTTGACCTACGTGCATATAGACTTTTGCCTGTATTTCCTTCTAGTTTCTTGGTTTTTTTTTAATTTAGTTATTAATCTGGAATTCATGTTAGTATATAGTGAGTGTAGGAGTTTAACTTTATTTTATTTTTCCTAAATAGCCAGTTGCCTTGGCACCGTTTATTATATAAGCTGTCTTTGGTTATAATGGCTTAGCCTAGAAATGGTGAGAGGTATCGAGTCTAAATATACATGCCGCTGTCTGTTTCCCTCTGAAGAAGTGGCACGTGTACTTAACATCTATACCATGGTCACCTGGGGGGCAGGTTTCTTGTGCTCTCACTCCGTGCTGCTCCTCTAGCCTTGGTACTGGGTCTGGCTTTGCAGTGATGAGCAGCTGCTCACCAGCAGTGGGTGCCGTCACACCTCTGCCTCAGCTCCCCTTTGCTGCCGGGCTGGCAGTGCCCTTAGCAATCTTAGTAGCCCTTACTAGCCTTGAGAGGTGCTACTTGATAACACTGGCTTCCCTTGGGAGTGGTTTCTTCTGTCTGGCCTTCGTCTCTCAGTTGGCCATTGCCCCCCACCACCGTGTTCCGCCACACAGCCACTGTCCCTGAGCCTTCAGGTCTTTGTGCACCTGCTTGTGTAGCTTGTCTTCTGCTAGCTTGCATGTCCCCAAGGGCGAGGCCCTTATTAATCTGTACATTCCAGGGCTTAGCTCAGAGTAAGTTTTAGTAAAACACTTGCATCTGCTAGTTTGGGAAACATAAAAGAATATATGTTGCATCATTTGGATATAATACATAAATACTTTGCTGTCAGGGTGGAAAAACAGGCCTTAAGTTTTATTTTCCTCCTCCTGAAGACCCTTCCCTTCAGTCATAGGAACCTCAAAGATGTTCAGATCAACACTTTAACCTAGTACATTTTAATCTTGTTTGTTGAAAACTGGTCCTTAAGTGTTTTCTTTCACTCATTTTACAAATGTGTATTGAGTGCCAGGCCGGGGATATATCATGGAACAGTATGGATGAGGTCCCTAGTGGAGCAGCAGTATCACTCAGCAATATATTCCCAGCCTGGCACACCATGGATTTGCTACAGTGAAGCTGGAGAGCCCTGTGTTAAATAAATACTAACAGTTAACATACTGTCAGGTAGAGGAGTGGCCTTTGTTCTTTTTTTTTTTTGAGACAGAATCTTCCTCTGTTGCCCAGGCTGGAGTGCAGTGGCGCGATCTCGGCTCACTGCAACTCCTGCCTCCTGGCTTCAAGCGATTCTCCTGCCTCAGCCTCCTGAGTAGCTGGGAGTACAGGCGAGCGCCATCAGGCTCGGCTGATTTTTGTATTTTTAGTAGAGACGGGGGTTTCACCATATTGGCCAGGCTGGTCTCGAACTCTTGACCTCGTGATCTGCCCGCCTTCGCCTCCCAAAGTGCTGGGATTACAGGCATGAGCCACCGTGCCCGGTCGGCGTTTGTTGTTTTGTTGTTTTCTGGCCTCTTTGTTAGTGGAGTGGAGGTGGATTTCTGAATAGTCTTACAGACAACTTCCAAATTTTAAAAGGAATTCAGTCTTCATATGTATGGAAAAAGAAAATCATTTTTCCAGTGTGTGATGCAGAGACTAACGTGACCCTATTCTCAAGCACTCATAGCTTCACCCCAAAATCCTGGAATATATAGTCTGTATCTGCTGATTCAGCTTTTCTTCCCTTCATGCAGCGTCTGTCAGTCCATCCATTCACTACATGGACTTTCTGGGCCAGGAGCTGCCTCTAGAAGCTGTGGAGTCCTACAAGATCAAGTCCCTGCCTTTTTTCTTTTTTTGGGAATTTTTTAAAGAGACAGGGTCTTGCTCCGTCACCCAGGCTAGAGTGCAGAGGTACCATCATAGCTGACTGTCACCTCAAATTCCTGGACTCAAGCGATCCTTGTGCCTCACTGAGCCTCCTGGGTAGCAAGGAATACCTGCACATACCACCCAGCTAATTTTACTTCATTTATTTTTATTTATTTATTTAGGCAGAGTCTCGCTCTGTCACCCAGGCTGGAGTGCAGTAGTGAGATCTTGGCTCACTGCAACCTCTGCCTCCCGGGCTCAAGTGATTCTCGTGCCTCAGCCCCCTGAGTAGCTGGGACCACAGGCGTGTGCCAGCACACTCACCTAATTTTTGTATTTTTAGTTGAGACAGGGTTTCGCCGTGTTGGCCGGCTGGTTTTGAACTCCTGCCATCAAGTGATCCGCCTGCCTTGGCCTCCCAAAGTGCTGGAATTATAGGAATGAGCCACCATGCCTGGCTGTCCTGCCTTTTTAAATAAGAGCTTATATTCAAGGTGACATTAGACACTTAATGAATCGTGAGATTTTAGACAGTGGCAGTGCTGTGAAGGAAATAACTCTGACGTGTAATCTTGCCTCCATCCCTGTCACTGTGCCGAAAAAGATCACTGCTCACTATCTTTCTGTTTTTTAAACTTAACTATGGGTTTTTAAGACTTAGAAAAAAGGAGAGAGGCTAGCAGAGGGAACCATTGCTCAGTGACAGCGGCTGTCAGGCACAACAGCACAAATGATGCTGTTTTTATATTCCCCTTTCCTCCCCCTTTTCTTTCTCACTTTGGTGTTTGAAAGCCCCTTCCAGACATTGCATCACATCACCCTGGGCCTGGCCCTGGTGGTGCTTCGCTGTGCCATCCTCATCTGTGAGCCTGCCCGGTGACCGTGCTGCACCTGTCCTTGATGCCCTGTGTCTTCCAGGTCTGCTCCTCCCCTGCTGCTCTTCCTGTTCCATGTTCTTTGGCTGGTTTTTCTTTCTTCTTCCAGCTGTGTGACTCCTTTTCAAGCCTTTGTCCAGTTAAACATTTTACCAAGAATGTAGTGTTCTTCCTGCATTTCATTAGGAAGAGAAAAAGGCTTGCAAACATTCTGAGAAAAAATGTTGTTCACCGAGGCTATGTGTTTTGGAAATGCCATTTAGATGTTTTGCTGCTTTTAATCTTTGGCATTAATTTCAGTTGCTGTCATAAAAAAGAATTAAGACATAAACCAGAAAAGTAATTAAATGTGTCTGCAAAGGAAAAACAGAAACTGCAGAATATGGTATTTCAAGGTCATAAATTACAAATGTGCATATTTATTATTCCCCTATAAAATGTTAATTAAAAAATTTTCATATTTACTTGATGTAACAGAAATGAAACCTGTAATGAGGGATCTAATTTCTTTTTCTTTTTTCATTCCAGAATGTATGACAACATGTCCACAATGGTGTACATAAAGGAAGACAAGTTGGAGAAGCTTACACAGGATGAAATTATTTCTAAGACAAAGCAAGTAATTCAGGGGCTGGAAGCTTTGAAGAATGAGCACAATTCCATTTTACAAAGTTTGCTGGAGACACTGAAGTGTTTGAAGAAAGATGATGAAAGTAATTTGGTGGAGGAGAAATCAAACATGATCCGGAAGTCACTGGAGATGTTGGAGCTCGGCCTGAGTGAGGCACAGGTACGAGTGAGAATGACTCAGACGTTATCAGGAACTTTTGATGGTAAAATGGAGACTTGTTTGAAATAAGCAGTTTCACTAAAGAAGAGGAAAGATGATTATAGAATAACAGATCCAGGCCGAGTGCGGTGTGGCTCAGGCCTGTAATCCAAGCACTTTGGGAGGCTGAGGCAGGTGGATCACTTGAGGTCAGGAGTTTGAGACCAGCCTGGCCAACATAGCGAAACCCTGACTCTACTAAAAATACAAAAATTAGCCGGGCCTGGTGGCTGGCGTGTGTAATCCAGCTACTAGGCAGGCTTGAGGCAGGAGAATCACTTGAACCTGGGAGGCAGAGGTTGCAGGGAGCCAAAATTGCATCACTGCACTCCAGCCTGGGTGACAGAGCGAGACTTTTTCTCAAAGAAAAAACAAAACAAAACAGATCATGTGTTCTGTATGTTAATAAATTACTATTGATTTGGGCCTATCAGAATTGTATTGATTGATTGATTGAGATGGAGTTTTGCTCTTGCTGCCCAGGCTGGAGTGCAGTGATGCAGTCTCGGCTCACTGCATCCTCTGCCTCCTGGGCTCAAATGATTCTCCTGCCTCAGCCTCCCAAGTAGCTGGGATTACAGGCATGGGCCACCACACCTGGCTAATTTTGTATTTTTAGTAGAGACAGGGTTTCTCCATGTTGGTTAGGCTGGTCTTGAACTCCCAACCTCACGTGATCCACCTGCCTCAGCAAAGTGTTGGGATTACAGGCGCGAGCCACCATGCCCGGCCTCTGAATTTTATTTTTATTTTTATTTTTTTGAGACAGTGTTTGCTCTCGCCGCCCAGGCTGGAGTGCAATGGCTCAATCTCAGATCACTGCAACCTCTGTCCCCCGGGTTCAAGTGATTCTCCTGCCTCAGCCTCCCAAGTAGCTGGGATTACAGGCACATACCACCATTCCTGGCTAATTTTTTGTATTTTTAGTAGAAACTAAAATGTTGGCCAGGCTGGTCTTGAACTCCTGACCTCAGGGCCTCTCTGAATTTTGAAAAGCGGATCCAAAATAGTGGATACTGCTGTGTATCATTTAGGATTTGATTTGGCTGCCAGTATCAAAAAAACAAAAACAGTGGCTTAAACCACAAGATGTTTGTCAAATAAGTACTGAGGTACACTCTCCTGGACGGGTTCTGTAGCTACACAGTCATCGGGGATACTCAGGTTCCTAACATCTGCCACACTGCACCTTGGCAGCCTGTCTTGGGGACTGAGAGTGAGCTCCATGTGGCCCTGTTCTAGCATAGGGGAAGGGAAAGGAAGGACGTGCCTCCTTCCTTGAAGGCTGCTGCTTTGATGATGTGTACAGCAGTGCTTACATTGCATTGGCCAGACCTTATGGCTGTACCTGGGTGAGTGGGAGACTGGGGAATGTTGTCTTCCCACTTACAGTGGCAGGTCCTTAAGCCTAAGGAAGGAGAATGGACACTGGCCAGTGGGTGATGGTCTCTGCAATCCCAGGGCCAGATTGCTTCATATCTTTGACTAACCTTTGTTTCTATAATATCATGCTTGACATAGAGATGAAAACACTGGAAACATCTAGGTTTTTAAATACTCTCTCCTGATAACTTCTGGCTCTGTCAGCATATCTTAGGTAAAATTAAATATACCAAAGCTTTGCTTCTTTCTTAGCATTCTCTAGTTTAGTGAGTGAATAGAGCAGAAGAGGGGCTGCTGGCCAGCGGTTTCTGCTTTCATAGAGGAAGTGACTGCCCACACCCTGATTTTAGAGTCTTCATCCTAACCATGTTACAGCCTTGAGTTGCAGAACTGTAGCTCTGTTTGGATATTGTGAACGTATTATTTCTCAAGTTCTGTTACCTTGAGAACAGGTGACATGAATTTAAACTTGCTTTTTTGGTGTCGCAGATAAGAGTTTTAAAAAAAGAAGGAAGAAAAGGTCCCACCTTCTGGAGTTTCAGGTTTTAAACCTAGGAGGATAATAACCTGGTTATTATGTTATGAGAGGGATGGGCAGATGTATGTTCTAAAGAGAGAACAGATTGCTGCCAGCCAGCTCCTAGCTGTTTGTGCTCTTATGCTCCTAGGAACTTGCCACAGCCTCACGCTGGTCTGTTCCAGAAACCAGTGAGCACTCTGTAGGCAGAGCCCTGGAGTGGCCCCTGGATTTTATGACATAAACATAAGCTTATGAGTGCACCAGTGCATTCTTACTCTTGGTGGTAGCTACAGAGATGTCTTCTCTCACCTTGGAACATCAAGGAAGATTTGTATGTGCACTGTTCTCTGACCCCCACTTGCAGCCCTTCACCAACATGCACTCTGTGCGCAGACATGCATGTGTGTACACGAGGTCTTACACATGGGAAAGGGTCTATAAAAAATTATGTTGGGCCCATCTTGATAGAAAGTAAAATAATACAGTTTCATCAGAAGGGTAGCTGTGTTTTCATTGCTAGTTCATTTGGCATGCTCTTCAAAAAAATAAGTATTTTTTTGTAGGCATTCTGAGCGTGTGATATTCTTTATCATACCCTGCTTTGTAGTCTGTGGCTGAAGGGGAAAAGAGAAGTAAATGGCAGATTGTACTTATATGTACTTTGGAGAAAATATCTGCGAGTGTAAGCTACAGCCCCAGCCACAGAATGTTCGCACGGGTGGGAGGGACTCTTGCTGGACAACGTGCCACAGTGCTGCACACGTTTCTGTCTGCTCAGGTTATGATGGCTTTGTCAAATCACCTGAATGCTGTGGAGTCCGAGAAGCAGAAACTGCGTGCGCAGGTTCGTCGTCTGTGCCAGGAGAATCAGTGGCTACGGGATGAACTGGCCAACACGCAGCAGAAACTGCAGAAGAGTGAGCAGTCTGTGGCTCAACTGGAGGAGGAGAAGAAGCATCTGGAGTTTATGAATCAGCTAAAAAAATATGATGACGACATTTCCCCATCCGTGAGTGGCTCTGTAGCAAATGTGGTGCTAATGTTTAAAATGGAGTCACTGGGAAAGTCATAGAGGTTCTGTTTGCCATATTCTTTTCATATTAGAACATATTAGAACATTAGAACATGCAAAAATGTTTTGTAAATATAAGCCACAATCCAGAGAGACACCATTACCTTCAACAAGGTCTGCCCCGAGGTCTGTCCCGAGGTCTGCCCCAGCTTAGGCTCTGGAGCTTCCTTGCCCCTCTGTAGCTTGGCTTCCATGCCATCAGCTGCTGGTCTAGCAGTGGTCCAATCTGGCCGTCTGAATTTGGACTCTGGGCAACCTCTCTGCCCCTTAGGGTGGGTGCTCTTGGCATTGCCATTCTCTTTGAAACTCCCCTGGCCCTCTGGACACCACCTGGCTCTCTTGCCGCCTCTCTCATCCTCCCCTTGGCTTCCCTTGCCAGCTTATCTTTCTGTATCTGCAGGGGAAGAAACGATCTTGGTTTTCTTCTTCTTCTTTTTTTTACAAGGAGTCTCGCTCTGTCACTCAGGCTGGAGTGCAATGGCACAATCTTGGCTTACTGCAACCTCCATCTCCCGGGTTCATGTGATTCTCCTGCCTCAGCCTCTGGAGTAGCTGGGATTACAGGTGTGTGACACCATGCCCAGCTAAGTTTTTTTTTTTTTTTTTTTTTTTTTTAGTAGAGATGAGGTTTCACTGTTTTGGCCAGGCTGGTCTTGAACTCCTGGCCTCAAGTGATCTGCCCACCTCAGCCTCCCAAAGTGCTGGTATTCCAGGTGGGAGCCACCATGCCCAGCCTTCTTTCTCTGTTGGCTCTATTTGGATGTTTATCCTAGTCTCAGTTATTTTTCATTCAACATTTATTTCTGATTCAGTTAACTTTTTTTTTTTTTTTTTTTGAGATGGAGTCTCACTCTGTCACCCAGGCTGGAGTGCAGTGGCACGATCTTGGCTCACTGCAACCTCCACCTCCCGGGCTCCAGCGATTCTCCTGCCTCAGCCTCCCGAGTAGCTGGGACTACAGGTGTGTGCCACCACGCCTGGCCAATTTTTTGTATTTTTAGTAGAGATAGGGTTTCATTGCGTTAGCCAGGATGGTCTTGATCTCCTGACCTTGTGATCTGCCTGCCTCGGCCTCCCAAAGTGCTGGGATTACAGGTGTGAGCCACTGCGCCCAGCCAGTTAACTTCTTTTTATTTTTTTTTTTACTTTTTTTTTGAGACGAAGTCTCGCTTTTGTACCCCAGGCTGGAGTGCAATGGCGCGATCTTGGCTCACTGCAGCCTCCACCTCCTGGGTTCAAGCGATTCTCCCTTCTCAGCCTTCCAAGTAGCTGGGATTACAGGTGCGTACCGCCACGACTGGCTAATTTTTGTATTTTAAGTAGAGATGGGGTTTCACCATGTTGGCCACTCCTGACCTCAGGTCATCCCCCCGCCTCGGCCTCCCAAAGTGCTGGGATTACAGGCGTGAGCCACCACGACCGGCTTCAGTTAACTTCTTTTTAAAGAAAATTTCTAAATTTTGGAATTATTTTATTTTACTTATTTTTAATTTTAAAAATTTTACCCTCCTCTCAAGTTTCCAATGGAATAATTTTAAATTGATTGAAAAGTTGAAAAGTTAGAGAAGAAAATTGATGTGCCCATAACCCAGTCTCCCCTGATCGTCCATAATCATAGAACAGTGGTCAGAACTAAGATATTAACATCAACACTTTACTGTTAACTGAAACACAGACTTGGTTGGATGTCACCAGGCCTTCCACTAGTATCTCTTTTCTGTGCTAGGACCTAGTCCAGTGTTCCACATTGCATTTGGAACTAACGTTTTTTAAATACCTGTATGATGCCAGACATGTTCATGTACATAATCAGAATACTAGAGAGGTGCACATTTGTGTGTCTCGTTCGAATCCCCATCCTAAGACTACTGAAACAGTTTTTTGCGTAGCACCAGCAAACCTGCATTTCCCCTCTGTCTTCATCTGCTTGGGCTACTGTAACAAATACCACGGGCTGGATGGCTTAACATTTATTTTCTCATAGTTCTGGAAGTCCGAGATCAGGGTACCAGCAGGGTCCGGTTCTGGGGAGGGCCTTCTTTCTGGCTTGCAGACTGCTGCCATCTCTTTGTGTTCTCATATGGTACAGAGAGAGAGGGAGTAAGCTCTCTGGTGTCTCTTTTTATGAGGGCACTAATCCCATCATGAGGGCCCCACACTTTCGAGCTCATCTTATCCTGATCACCTCCCAAAGGTTTCATCTCTAAATACCATTACACTGGGGGTTAGGGCTTTAACATAGGAATTTGGGGAGAACACAGTTTAGTTGACAGCATGCTATTTCAAAAGGCTTACCAAAATCCTCCCTCACATCTCCTCTAGGTTAGGGGCCAACTAAATGTTTTGATTTAAAAGATGTGGCTGGGCGCAGTGGCTCATGCCTGTAATCCCAGCCCTTAGGGAGGCCGAGGCAGGCAGATCACCTGAGGTCAGGAGTTGGAGGACAGCCTGGCCAATATAGTGAAACCCTATCTCTACTAAAAATACAAAAATTAGCCAAGCATGGTGGCACATACCTGTAATCCCAGCTACTCAGGAGGCTGAGGCAGGAGAATCGCTTAAACCCAGGAGATGGAGGTTGCAGTGAGCCAAGATCATGCCACCGCACTCCAGTCTAGATGACAGAGTAAAGCTCTGTCTCAAAAAAGAAAAAAAAAAAAAAAATTAAGGCCGATGCGGTGGCTCATGCCTGTAATCCCAACATTTTGGGAGGCTGAAGCGGGTGGATTACCTGAGGCCAGGAGTTCAAGACCAGCCTGGCCAACATAGCAAAACCCCTTCTCTATTAAAAAATACAAAAAAATTAGCTGGGTGTGGTAGAGTGCACCTGTGGTCCCAGCTACTTGGGAGGCTGAGGCATGGAATTGTTTGAACCTGGGAGTTGGAGGTTGCAGTGAGCCAAGATCATGCCGCTGTACTCCAGCTTGGGTGGCAGAGGGAGACCCTGTCTCAGAAAAACAAGCAATAAATAAATAAATAAATAAATAAATAAAAGATGCTTGCTCTAGAGTGCTATGGAAATGCAAGTACTTTGCAGATGTCGATGCCAGCAGTGATTGACCTGGGACATTGGAGGATGTTGAGAAGAAGAAAACTGGTTTCGTAGGATCGGAGACTTTTAAAATTTATTATTTTGAAAAAGTGTTAAACTTGGAGAAAACATCCAGTGAGCTGGCTCTCCTTACCCTTTCCAGAGTACTTACGAGTGCCTGTTTCTTCTGAAACCTGTTCACATAGTGGCATAGCATGTGCCACGGCTGCTTACTGCTGCTGGGCGTCTTTCCCTAGGGTGAGGGGTTCTCCTGTGGCAGTCCAGGGCCAAGGGCACTCAGGAAATTGCACACAGACCCAGTATGTCCTCTCCTCTGCAGCTCATACTCTCCTTTTGTTAACTGCCAACAGCATCCTTCATGGCATTGTTTCACTGTGTCCCAGGGTCCAGTTCAGGGGTACATCCTGCATGTGGCCGTCACATCTGTTGAGTAGCCTTTCACGTGGAATGGGGTCTCTGTCTCTGGTTGTCTTTCATGACATTGGTGTTTTTGAAGAATGCAGGCCAGTTATTTTGTCCATCATTCCTCAGTTGGGGTTCGTCTAATGCCTGGATTATGCATCCCAGACAGGAATATTCTAAAAGCAATGTGTCTTTATCACATTTTCCCTTCCGGAGCCAAACAGTGTTCATCTGCCTCATGACAAAGCTAATTTCTTACTGGTCAGGCTGTTACCTGTCTTTTCCATTATGTAGTTTCTGATTTTATTTCTTTGACTAATCAGCAAAATGTAGGGAAACATGGGTCACAGGCCTTTAAAGCTGGGAGGTTTCAAACTGCTCCCAGGGATCCTGCCCCAGAGCCGATTGTGGTGGTGAGGAATCTAGCCCCTCCACTTCTCTGGGGATCAGAGATGCACCATTTTCACCTGTTGCTACATATTTGGTTCCCAAATAAGATTTTATTTTGAGTCAGGGTTTTCCCTGCTCTCCTAGACCTCCCTCAAAGCGCGGGAGAAGGATCTGAGGCATGAAATGCAGCCATGGCCCATTTCGTCAAACTGTGGTCTGCACTCAAGTATTTGTATTCTAGTCTAAAAAGCTTTTCATTACTCCTGTTCAACTGATGGATAAGCCAGATTGTCGGCGATCCTACATTTGATGTTAAAAACTGATCATCTTTTCTAAGATTCTTAGTTAAAATGTATTTAATATTAAAAATTTTCAGGACAGGATGTGTATAGCACGTGTAAGATGAAGTGTTGTCCTGGGTCTGTTTTATAGGAGGACAAAGACACTGATTCTACCAAAGAGCCTCTGGATGACCTTTTCCCCAATGATGAAGACGACCCAGGGCAAGGAAGTGAGTGATGGGTGATGCAGGCATGTTACCGAGTGCAGAAGAGAGGTGTTCCTCCTAGAACACGGTCATAGCAATCAGTGGCAGCCTTAGTGCATGCGGCCTGCCTGGAGGAAGCACCACCAGAGCGGGGTTGCCTTTGGTTTTCCAAAATAATCTGTGTTGTGATACGGGAATATGCTAGAGCAGACCCTAGGATACAGCGGCATGCACGTGCAGTTCAGGCGTGGTCTGCAGATTCTTACAGGGTGAAGAGGTCAGAATTACTTATCCTGCTTGTTTCATGGCGCCAAGAGGAGTCTCATGGCACTGAGTGGCCATGTTGCCATCCCTGACACTGTAGTCACTACTCTTACCCTGCCTGCCCAGACAGTACTAGGAAAAGATTTAAATAGCACTGGGGGCCAAGTACTAACTTGAACCAAAGTTAGTAAAGATAATTTTAAAGAAACTGACTCATCTGGATAATTGTCTTTAAAAACCCATCTGAAGTGAACTTTCTCGGTGCAGTCCAGCAGCAGCACAGCAGTGCAGCCGCGGCTGCCCAGCAGGGCGGCTACGAGATCCCCGCGCGGCTGCGGACGCTCCACAACCTGGTGATCCAGTACGCCTCGCAGGGGCGCTACGAGGTAGCTGTGCCCCTCTGCAAGCAGGCCCTGGAGGACCTGGAGAAGACTTCAGGACACGACCACCCGGACGTGGCCACCATGCTCAACATCCTGGCCTTGGTGTACAGGCTAGTCACTTTTGTTTACCTACTGAATTTTACCTAGAGACAATGTTTTTAACCATCTTGCCCCTTAAAATATATTTTTATGTATCTGTATAAACTATTTTTCAACCATATCCACTTCTCTTTAAACAGGGGTTAAATTAAAAATATTTAGCAAGCTTTTTTTTTTTTTTGAGACGGAGTCTCGTTCTGTCACCCAGGCTGGAGTGCCGGGGTGTGATCTCGGTTCACTGCAAGCTCCGCCTCCCGGGTTCACGCCATTCTCCTGCCTCAGCCTCCCGAGTAGCTGGGACTTCAGGCACCCGCCACCATGCCTGGCTAATTTTTTTGTATTTTTAGTAAAGACGGGGTTTCATCGTGTTAACCAGGATGGTCTCGATCTCCTGACCTCGTGATCCGCCCGCCTCAGCCTCCCAAAACGCTGGGATTACAGGCGTGAGCCACCGCGCCCGGCCTATTTAGCAAGCTTTGTGGAAGGGTGTCACTGAATCAGAAGAACAGATGCTGCCCGTGACCACTCAGTTCAGCTTGTTTAGAATAGACCACAGTGTACCCCTAACGCCAGCCAAACGAAGCTGTTTTGACCTTTTCCACAAGACCCTGTGCAGGCGGCTTCTTTTGTCTAAATAGCCTTCCCACTTGGCCTGGCGGTGTCTTCCTGCCTTCTGAGGCCTGGTGCGCTGTGCCTCCTTTTGGAATCCGGGATTCAACTTGCCCTTTGCCCCTTGTGTGCTCCCCGAACCCTTTCACCCCTGTTGAAGGACGCCCCGGGGGAGTGGTGGGCTCTCAGTTGTGTGGTAGAAGAGTTCCTTTGGCTCAGTGCCTAGGATGCAGTTGGGGGCTGGAGCCGGAGGCAGGGTGTCCTGTTGGGACAGGATTGAGGTTGTCGGGGTGGGGCGAGGGGAACCTGAGCAAGGAGGAGGACGTGGAGGAAGAGGAGAGTACAGGGCCTAATGACGCTTGAAGAGAAATGCGGTGATATGACTACCCACACGCATAAGTGATTTCTTTAAAAATAAGTTTTGAAAGTTGATAAAATAAAAACACACAAATAAGAAAGTAAGCCCCCTGTTATAACAACACTATTTAAAATGAGGCCGTTCCCTTTGGCTCTGTAGTTTGTCAGCAGCTTGGTCTGCCCCATGACTATGCAGCAGGGTTTCGTGGACATTCTGGACATTTTTTGACTGTTTTCCTGTTGGTGAATGTTGAGATTGTTTGCATATTTTCTTTTTTCTTTTTTTTGAGACAGAGTCTGGCTCTGTCACCCAGGCTGGAGTGCAGTGGTGCAATCTCAGCTCACCGCAACCTCTGCTTCCTGAGTTCAAGTGATTCTCCTGCTTCAGCCTCCTGAGTAGCTGGGATTACAGGCATGCGCCACCATGCCTGGCTAACTTCTGTATTTTTAGTAGAGACGGGGTTTCACCATGTTGGCCAGGCTGGTCTCAAACTCCTGACCTCAAGTGATCCTTCTGTCTCGGCCTCCCAAAGTGCTGGGATTACAGGCATGAGCCACTGTGCCTGGCCAATTGTTTGCATATTTCACTGCAGGAATTTCTTAGTCAGAGATATTTGCATTTAGCTCTTAATTAGATTGAGACATTTCATTGCAAAAAAATTTTTTTTTTGAGATAGGGTCTTGCTCAGTGATGCGATCATGGGTCATTGCAACCTCTGACTCCTGGCCTCAAGCAATCTTCCTGCCTCACCTTCCTGAGTAGCTGGGACCACAGGCATGCACCACTACACCCAGCTAAATTTTATATATTTCATAGAGACAGCGTTTTGCCATGTTGCCCAGGCTGGTCTCGAACTCCTGGGCTTAAGTGATCTGCTCAGCTCGGTACCCCATAGTGCTAGGATTACAGGCGTGAACCACTGCACTTGGCCAAGGCTTTTTTTTTTTTTTTTTTTTTTTTAAACTTATATGCCCATTAAAACATATGGAAGTTTCTGGACAGCACTGGATATTATTAATATAAATGAGTTAAGTAAGCATAACTAGGTTTTTGTTGTGCACAGCGTGCATGGGCACACACATCACTGCTGGGTGCTGGGGATGCCATGGCCTCTGTCAGTCTTGTGTTTTTCCCTAGCATTATAGTGTGAGAGTTGACCCACGTGCGTAGATGTTTGGGAAAAAAATAGTAGCTACATATGTATTCATATTCAGTATTCTACCTTTCAGCTTGTTATTTCATCATTCTTGTATTAAGGGACACATAATTTTAAGCTTTTTTTTTTTGCCTTTAATATTTTACTGATCTTTATAAGGTTTGTTCAAGATTTTGGATTGATTGATTGGTTGTAGAGATGGAGTCTCACCATGTTGCTCAGGCTGGTCTCAAACTCCTGGGCTCCAAATGATCCTCCACCTTGACGTCCCAAAGTGCTGGGATTATAGGTGTGAGCTGCGAGGTACCACGCCTGGCCAGGATGGATTGATTGATTTCTTTTCTTTCTTTCTGTCTGTCTGTCTGTCTTTCTGTCTTGTCTTGTCTTGTCCTGTCCTGTCCTGTCTTGTGTCTTGATGGAGTTTTGCTCTTGTCGCCCAGGCTAGAGTGCAGTGGAGTGATCTCAGCTCACTGCAACCTCAGCCTCTGGAGTTCAACCATTTCTCCTGCCTCAGCCTCCCAAGTAGCTGGGATTACAGACACCTGCCACCAAGCCCCGCTAATTTTTTGTATTTTTTAGTAGAGACAGTGTTTTGTCATGTTGGCCAGGCTGGTCTCAAAACTCCTGACCTCAGGTGATCCACCCTCCTTGGCCTCCCAAAGTGCTAGGATTACAGGTGTGAGCCACTGTGCCCAGCCATGTATTTCTTTTTTTAGGATAAATTCCTAAGACGGGTTAGAGTATAAACATTTTATAGTCCTTGGTACCTGCTGCCAAACTGCCACTCAGAAAGGCTGTGTCTGCCCATGCTTCTGCCGCACAGGCGCCACCCTGGAGGTGGGGGGCTCTATTCCGTTGGTGGAGATAGAGTATGCATTGTGTTTTAATTTGTATTTCTTTGATTATGTATTTTTAGTCATTTGTATCCTTCTGTGAATTTCCTGTTACCTTGCACATTTTTCTGTTAGGATTTTAATGCTTTAGTATTCTATGTTTGTTTTCTTTTGAATTTGAGTTCTTGGTGGGCTTCTTTTTGTTTTTTTTGAGACGGAGTCTCGCTGTCACCCAGGCTGGAGTGCAGTGGCGTTGTCTGGGCTCACTGCAAGCTCCGCCTCCCGGGTTCACGCCATTCTCCTGCCTCAGCCTCCCGAGTAGCTGGGACTACAGGCGCCTGCCACCGCGCCCGGCTAATTTTTTGTATTTTTAGTAGAGACGGAGTTTCACCATGTTAGCCAGGATGGTCTTGATCTCCTGACCTTGTGATCCACCCGCCTTGGCCTCCCAAAGTGCTGGGATTACAGGCATGAGCCACCGTGCCCGGCCCTTGGTGGGCTTCTTAAACCCACTTGATTTAACAAATCACAGTGTGCTAGTCCCACTCCCAGAGTTTCTGATTCAGCAGGGCTAGGGTAGTCTGGGTTTCTAATAAGTTCCAGTTGAGGCTGACTGCTGTTGGTTTGGGACCACACCGGAGAACCACTGCTAACTAATAGTCCCAGACATTTTATAATATGTCATCGTTTACAGAAGTGTTTAATATACCTCATCTCATTTAATTCTTTTTTTTTTTTTTCTGAAACGAAGTCTTGCTCTTGTACCCCTGGCTGGAGTGCAATGGTGTGATCTCAGCTCACTGCAACCTCTGCCTCCCGGGTTGAGGCGATTCCACCCACCCCGGCCTCCCAAAGTGCTGGGATTACAGGCGTGAGCCACCGTGCCTGGCCATTTTTTTTCTTTCTTTTTTTTTTTTTTTTTGATACGGAGTCTTGCTCTGTCGCCCGGGCTGGCATGCAATGGCATCATCTTGGCTCATTGCAACCTCTGCCTCCCAGGTTCAAGCGATTCTCCTGCCTCAGCCTCCCTAGTAGTTGGGATTACAGGTGCCCGCCAGCATGCCCAGCTAATTTTTTTTATTTTTAGTAGAGACAGGGTCTTATCATTCTTGGTCAGGCTGGTCTCAAACTCCTGACCTCAGGTGACCCACCCGCCTTAGCCTCGCAAAGTGTTGGGATTACAGGCGTGAGCCACCATGTCCGGCCTCATTTAATTCTCATAACACTTTAGGTAGCTTATTTTATTTTATTTTTTTTACACGGAGTTTCACTCTTGTTGGCCAGGCTGGAGTGCAATGGCACAATCTCAGCTCACTGCAACCTCTGCCTCCTGGGTTCAAGCGATTCTTCTGCCTCAGGCTCCCGAGTAGCTGGGATTACAGGTGCCTGCCACCACACCCAGCTAATTTTTGTATTTTTAGTAGAGACAGGGTCTTGCTATGTTGGTTGATCTTGAACTCCTGACCTCGGGTGATCTACCCGCCTCAGCCTCCCAGAGTGCTGGGATTACAGGCGTGAGCCACCGTGCCCAGCCTTGGTAGCTTATTTTTAAATTGCATTTGCTACAATTCTCCTGCCTCAGCCTCCCGAGTAGCTGGGACTACAGGTGCATGTCGCCAGGCCTGGCTAATTTTTTGTATTTTAGTAGAGATGGGGTTTCACTGTGTTGCCCAGGCTTGTCTTGAACTCCTGAGCTCAGGCAGTCTGCCCGCCTCAGCCTCCCAAAGTGCTAGGATTGCAGGTGTGAGCCACCGCACCTGGCCACTACTTTTTGGAACTCTATTTTGTACTTGCTGACTTTCACAAAAAGTTTGAGGCAGCTTACAATAGGATGTAATAGGATGAAAGAAGAAACAACAATATATTAATACGTGGCCAGAATTAGTGTGCTTCAGAGGTTGTAGAAGCCTTATTAACCTTTCTCACGTTTTTCAGGGGAAAGCCTTGCCAGGCAGTTACTACTACTCAATTGAGAAAGATGTGTGCTAAGTCTCAAAAGCAAGTACTTGTTCTCAGTCACATCAGTAGTGAGTAGCACGCTTAAACTGAGAGTTTCTGGTTCTGGGGTGTTTCTGTTTTACTCCAATCAAGAAAGATTCTTCGTTCCTCCATACTCAACAAAATGGAGGGAGACTGGGTACCAAGTTCAGACACAACAATATATTTACTTTTGTTTGTTGTTTTTTAAAATATTTTTTCAGTATACATGTAGCATATCATCTTCTTACAGCAAGACTGTGCAATAGATCATATACTTGCTTTGTAGATGGGAAGGCTGGGACTGCGTGAGGTCACGTAATGCACCCAAAGCCATGTAGCCATTAACTGGTAGAGCCCAAGCTCAGACACTAGAATTAATTCTGTCTGAAACCAAATGCAAGCTTGGTCCATTGTTCTAGACTGTTGCACTTATTCTGTGCTGGCCAGCTGGCATAGGCAGGACAACACTGTAGTGTGGGGACATTATCTTCCCAGTGGCCTAGATGGGAAGGTTAAGTTCAGAAGCTAGTTGGGTCTGATTCCAGAGTTCACCTTGCCAGTCCATTTATTGGTGGATTTCCTTCCAGTGTTTTTTCCCCATCCATAAGCTTGTGGTTTTTCTTTTTTCTTTTTTTTTTCTTTTGAGACGGAGTCTTGCTCTGTCACCCAGGCTTTAGTGCAGTGGCGCGATCTATGCTCACTGCAAGCTCCGCCTCCCGGGTTCACATCATTCTCCTGCCTTAGCGTCCCCAGCAGCTGGGACAACAGGCGCATGCTGCCATGCCCGGCTATTTTTTTTTGTATTTTTAGTAGAGACAGGGTTTCACTGTGTTAGCAAGGATGGTCTCGATCTTCTGACCTCGTGATCCGCCCGCCTCAGCCTCCCAAAGTGTTGGGATTACAGGCGTGAGCCACCACACCCATCTTTTTATTTATTTATTTTTTGAGACAGTCTCACTCTGTCGCCTAGGCTGGAGTGCAGTGGCACGATCTCTGCTCACTGCAAGCTCCACCTCCCAGGTTCACGCCATTCTCCTGCCTCAGCCTCCCGAGTAGCTGGGACTAAAGCCGCCTGCTACCACACCCGGCTAATTTTTTTGTATTTTTAGTAGCGATGGGGTTTCACCATGTTAGCCAGGATGGTCTCGATCTCCTGACCTCGTGATCTGCCCGCCTCAGCCTCCCAAAGTGCTGAGATTACAGGCATGAGCCACTGCACCCGGCCCTGTGGTTTTTCTTAAATAGTTTAAGCTTAACTTTTATTTCTGTAGTTGAAAATTACATTTAAAAAAGCTGTAGTGAGGCCGGGCACGATGGCTCATGCCTGTAACCCCAGCACTTTGGGAGGCCTAGGCGGGTGGATCATGAGGTCAGGAGTTTGAGACCACCCTGGCCAACATGGTGAAATCCCGTCTCTACTAAAAATACAAAAATTAGCCGGGCGTGGTGACAGATGCCTGTAATCCCAGCTACTCAGGAGGCTGAGGCAGAGAATTGCTTGAACCCGTGAGGCGGAGGTTGCAGTGAGCCAAGATGGCACCACTGCACTCCAACCTGTGCAACAGAGTCAGACTCTGTCTAAAAAAAAAGAAAAGAAAAGAAAAGAAAAGCTGTAGTGATCTACATCTGAAACACTTAATGTGTGTTTTTCCATTTAGGGATCAGAATAAATACAAAGATGCAGCTAACCTACTGAATGATGCCTTGGCTATTCGTGAGAAAACTTTGGGCAAAGATCATCCTGCGGTTTGTATATCCAGTTCTTTCATTCTTTTAATATTTTATTTTCCCCATATATTTCTTTTATCCAACTCATTTTACCATTAAACTCAACAGGGAAAGTTTAAGTGCTGCCTTTTCCCTAGATGGTGCAGGTAGGAGGTCTTCACTTACTCAGTGCTAGTGACAGGCCAGAGCACACTTAATTTGTTTATGACCCCACCTCAAATGGATCACCAACTGTATTGTTTGATTGTAAATCAAATTGCATGTCCTTCTAGAAATTTTTTTCTGAAAATTATATTGTCTTCATTAAAATCTGGTCAGATTTGCATATGAATCTGTTTTGGTTGGCTTTGTGGCTTCCAGGGAAATTTTTAAAAAGTCAGGAATACGTTGTTGATTTGTTTAATTTTAGTATTCTGCAGTGTTACTTTGTATAATCTATACTCTAGTGAATTGCGCTTTTCATTTTAACTGAAGTCATATTGTTCTATCCGACTAAGAATGCTTTACTGTATAGATTGAATATAAATGAATATGTGGTGTATAAATGTACTCTTATTTGGTTATCTTTTACCATTCTTAGTGGTTCTCTCTGTGTTGACAGGTGGCGGCGACTTTGAATAACCTTGCAGTCCTTTATGGTAAAAGAGGGAAGTACAAAGAAGCAGAGCCGTTGTGTAAAAGAGCTCTGGAAATCCGAGAAAAGGTACAAAAGAAGGGGGCAGTCGTTTTCTTTGAGATTTTTGTTTTGTGTGTGTGTGGTTTTTTTTTTTTTTTTGAGATGGAGTCTCGTTCTGTCACCGGGCTGGAGTGCGGTGGCGTGATCTCGGCTCACTGCAACCCCCACCTCCATGGTTCAGGTGATTCTTCTGCCTCGGCCTTCCAAGTAGCTGGGACTACAGGGACACACCACCACGTCCACCTAATTTTTGTATTTGTAGTAGAGATGGGGTTTCACCATGTTGGCCAGGATGTTCTCAATCTCTTGACCTCCTGATCCGCCCGCCTTGGCCTCCCAAAGTGCTGGGATTACAGGCTGAGCCACTGTGCCCGGCGCTGTTTTTTGTGTTTTTAAAAATTTTTCGGTTTTAGGTTTTGAGAAATAACCACTGTGATGTGTTTTTAACTGACTATTAGCTGAAAACAACTCATTTAATTAGAGAATAGCCCACAAAACAAAGCCAGATTGGCCCATACAAATCAGTGTTTAAGACTCAATTACAGGCTGGGTGCAGTGGCTCATGCTTGTAATCCCAGCACTTTGGGAGGCCAAGGTGGGAGGATCACTTGAGCCTAGGAAGTTTAAGACCAGCCTGGGTAACATAGTGAGACCTCGTCTCTAAAGAAAAAAAAAAGAAAAGAAGGTCCAGTTATGAGGCGTGTGCATTTAGAAAGGTGCAGTCCTGAGTCTGATGCTGTCCAAGCCTGATATGGCCTAGAAGTGACTCTGATTGAAGAAGACATGTCTGAGGACTAGAGATGGAAAGCCTGGGAGCATTGCATTTGACAGTGGAACATGTGCTTGTCAATAAGAAAAACATGATTAAAGATAAATTCACCAAATATGCTTTATGAAGCTGAAAAATGAAATAATTATTATTATAACTAAAGATTAACTCAGAGCTATAGATTAAGTCAATGTCATATATATTTAATACCAGCTGCTACAGTTCATGGTAATTAGGTATTAAAAAATATAACAACTTGTTCATTTCAGCAGTGCTGTGTATGACAATCTCTTTAGATGTTATGAAGATTCGGGTATTGGGTCTATCCGATGAGTGACCACAAATTGTGTTTTTTTTTTTCTGAAACGGAGTCTTGCTGTGTCGCCCAGGCTGGAGTGCAGTGGCACGATCTCGGCTCACTGCAGCCTTCGCCTCCTGGATTCCAGGAATTCTCTTGCCTCAGCCTCCTGGGTAGCTGGGATTACAGGCATGTGCCACAACACCCGGCTAATTTTTGTATTTTTTAGTAGAGATGGGGTTTCACCATGTTGGCCAGGCTGGCCAAGAACTCCTGACCTTAGGTGATCCATCTGCCTTAGCCTCCCACAGTGCTAGGATTACAGGCATGAGCCACTGCACCCAGCCGCACAAATGGTATTTTAACCTGGTATTTTTTGTGATTATTTATCAGTGATTCTTATCAGTTAATTTTGAGCCACATGGCAAGGAATTGGGGGAGAGAAAATAAAAAGGGGCTCCTTATCAAATTATACAGGTAATATTTTATCATGCTGTCAATCTGCATGATATTTCTGAAATAGAATGGTTGAATTTGGGGTGGGCTGGAGTTAAAGTCAGGGAGAGCACAAAAGTATCAAATTAAGGATTAGGAACCATATAAGATGACCTGCCAAATTCATTCATATATTTACCCTTTCATTCATTTAGAGCCCCCTGCTTAGAGTTGGTGATTTACAGATCAGACATGTAGTTCCTCCCACTAGGACACAGTCCACTGGACAGACTGAGGACCGCAGAGGGCACATCAGCATCTAGAATAGAGAGCTCTGGGAGGATATGAAGTGTGGGCTTCTGCGGGCCAGAGCCAGGGGGTGTTGGGGATGGTTTCTCAGGGAAGGTCGGTGTTGGAACTGCATCTTGAATAATTGAGTTAAAAGTGTCCTAGGCAGGGGGAGGTAGGGAATGCAGAAGGGAGTAGAAAGGCAGCTTACCTCCCTGAGGACCACATGTGTAAAGGCACAAAGCGGAGAGAACTCATCACTTGTTCAAGGTACTGAGGGAGGAGGTTAGTGTTCATTCATCTATCTCTGTGCCAGACCCCTTTTTCGATGCGGAGATTACATTGGTGAAGAAGAGAGACAAAGAATTTATACTCTTGGGGCTTACATTGTAATAAAAAATATTCAAGGTAGTTTAGAGAAGTGATTCTTATAAAGAACAACCAGGTGATGTGCCTGTGAGTTCACTAGGTGAGGTGGGGTGGTATAGGGAAGTCTCCTTTGAGGGGAACTGAGGAGAACCCTGAAGGATAAGTCGTAGCTAGTAGGGAGGGCTAGGAGAAGAGCATCCTGGGCAACTGGGACAGCTGTGGGCTCTTCAGAAGCTGGCAGTAAAACTCACATAGCCTTTACAAAGCCCATTTCCTTATCTTCAAAATGTGCCTAATGTGTACATTTGTACATAGTACAACCAATGTACAAAAATATAACTACCATGAAGGATTACTACAGTAATTAACACAGCTAAAGAAGATGAGCACAGTTCCCTCCCTCCCCTCATGAATAAGAATTTGAGAAATTCTGGTTATTTTATTACTACGTGGTGTAGCGAGCCAGTTAAGGATTTAAATCTGAAAGTGTAGCACAGTCGTGCTTATGTTGAGGAAGATCCTGATGTGACAGTAGGGTGGAGAATGGATTGGATGGAAGCAGAACAAGTGTCTCTAATATGCTGTTTTTTATTTTCAGGTTTTGGGGAAGGATCACCCCGATGTTGCCAAGCAGTTAAATAACTTGGCCTTACTGTGCCAGAACCAGGGCAAGTATGAAGAAGTAGAATATTATTATCAAAGAGCCCTCGAGATCTACCAGACAAAACTGGGACCTGATGACCCCAACGTGGCTAAGACGAAAAATAACCTGGTGTGTTGACTGCACAGCACTAGGGAGGGGGCCAGGAGTGCTTTCGTCCCAAGTCCAAACACTTTCTCATTTAACTGGAGATTAAAATGTATGCTTTATTTACATCTGAAAGATATGAAATATTTTATTTTATTTTATTTTAAGGCATCCTGCTATTTGAAACAAGGAAAGTTCAAGCAAGCAGAAACACTGTACAAAGAGATTCTCACTCGTGCACATGAAAGGGAGTTTGGTTCTGTAGATGGTAAGAAATATACTCCCGTTTCAAGTGAATTTAATTGTATAATGACTTGACTAATAGTAATATACTAATAGTATTAGTTACTGTTTATTAAGCACTTAACTTTGTACATCACTAAGCTAAATAGTTTAAATGTGTGATTTCACTTCACTTTCACAGCAGTCTTGTGCAGCGGGTCAAACATTACCCCATTTTAAAAGCAAGGATACCACAGGCCGGGCGTGGTGGCTCACGCCTGTAATTCCAGCACTTTGGGAGGCCGAGGTGGGTGGATCACGAGGTCAGGCGATCGAGACCATCCTGGCTAACACAGTGAAACCCCGTCTCTACTAAAAATACAAAAACTTAGCCGGGTGTGATGGCGGCCGCCTGTAGTCCCAGCTACTCGGGAGGCTAAGGCAGGAGAATGGCGTGAACCCGGGAGGCGGATCTTGCAGTGAGCCGAGATCGTGCCACTGCACTCCAGCCTGGGCAACAGAGTGAGACTCTGTCTCAAAAAAAAAAAAAGACACCACAGACTAAGTGACTTGTGTGAGGCCCCGTAGCTGAGAAGCAGTTAGACTGGGATTACAGTGCCCAGAGCCCATAACATGTCCTCATTGCAGAGACCTATACAGTTCACGCAGAAATGGAGACAGGAGCATCACCCAAATCCATCTTCATGTCCTCATTGCAGAGACCTACCCAATTCATGCAGAAATGGAAACAGGAGAATCACCCAAATTCATCTTTTCACATTTTTAATGTCTTTCCTTCCTTCTGTGCCTTTGGTTTACAGATTTCAAACCATACCGTCCATATCATCATGTATACTGCTTATTTTCTTTACATTTTTAGTGTGAGTACCTTTCAGTCATAAAAATATTTTCATAAACATTACTTTTAAGGTGGCTTTTTCCTCCATAGCATGGGTCTGTTGGTTGTCTAGAAACTTGCGTGAGTGTTCCGAGAAGATGACTTAAAACGAATATTGATTCGTATGCTTGTTTTCTTTTTTTTTTTTGAGGTGGAATTTCGTTCTTGTTGCCCAGGCTGGAGTGCAATGATGTGATCTTGGCTCACTGCAACCTCTGCCTCCTGGATTCAAGTGATTCTCCTACCTCAGCCTCCCGAGTAGCTGGGATTACAGGCACACACCACCACGCCCGGCTAATTTTTGTATTTGTAGTAGAGACAGATTTTCACCATGTTGGCCAGACTGGTCTTGAACTCCTGACCTCAGGTGATCCTCCTGCCTAAGTCCCCCAAAGTGCTGGGATTACAGGTGTGAGCCACTGCACCCGGCCTTGATTTGTATCTTTTCTACTTTTGCTAGCAACATCTTGCTACTTTTTCTTAGACTATTGTTTAATGTTTTTGTTTAGTGCTCACATTCTGAATACTCCCTTGTGCTACTTGAGCAGCTGGCATTTTAGAAATTACATTCCAGGGCCCTAGCATTTGCTGGGGTGTCTTGACAGTTGCTCACCTGTCTCAGGACATTGATTCTGTACCCTGTGTCTTACCTGTTGCTTGGTGTCCAGCTCTGTCGTCCATAGACTTTTTCCTCCAGTGTGAACCTAATCTGTCCATGCTGTAAGAAGTAGTATCTAACAAGGATCATATAAAAAAGAAAACAGGCTGGGCGCGGTGGCTCACGCCTGTAATCCTAACACTGGGAGGCTGAGGCAGGTGGATCACTTGAAGTCAGGAGTGACCAGCCTGGCCAACATGACGAAACCCCATCTCTACTAAAAATACAAAAAAATTAGCTGGGTGTGGTGGCGGGTGCCTATAATCCCAGCTACTTGAGAGGCTGAGGCAGGAGAGTCACTTGAACCCAGGAGCTGGAGGTTGCAGCGAGGCGGGATCACACCACTGCACTCCAGCCTGGGCAACAGAGTGAGACTCCATCTCAAAAAAATAAAAAACCACAGAGGCTTCATGATTTCTAGTTTACTTAGCAGGCTCTGTTATCCTTCATTTATAGTACAGGTTAAATATCCCATTATTCAAAGTGCTCCAAAGTTTGAAACTTTTCGAGTGCCGACTTGACACTCAAAGGAAATTCCCCTTAGAGCAGTTCAGATTTTGGAGTTTTGGATTAAGGATGCTCAACCTGTATGCTGTGTTTTCTTCCCTAGATGAAAATAAACCCATCTGGATGCATGCTGAAGAAAGAGAAGAATGCAAAGTAAGAATTTATTATTTTGAGATTTTCTAAATTGTATATACTGCATTCAAGATAATTATTCATTTGAAATTATTTCTTATAATTTAGGGAAAGCAAAAGGATGGGACATCTTTTGGAGAGTATGGCGGCTGGTACAAAGCCTGCAAAGTTGATAGGTATGTCTGGAATTGCGTTTGGCTGGAAAAACCAAAAAGCAGGGGGAAGGTAATTGTGTTCTACAGGGCAGCTTATAAATGACCAATGTGTAGTGTTCCTTAAGTGCACAGTCCCATGTTTTTCCCGAATTCCAATTAAAAAAACCCCACTAACCTTGTAAATGAGATCACTTACATGTATAAAACCCACTATCATGTTAGGTTGGTGCAAAGGTAATTGCGATTTTGCCATTACTTTTACTTTTAATGGCAGAAACCATACAGTAAATTCATGAGAAGCATGCCAGCAGGCCTGGGAAAGCCAGCCCCTCACACACAGCGCTGGAGACACAGATCCACACACACTCCTTTTCCTCACAGCCCATGGGGCCTTGTCCTCTGCAGAGGGAAGTGTAGGCCCCTCCGTGGCCGGCCCGAGAGCCTTGCCTCTTGAGCCCGAGCCTGTGCAGACTGCCCTCTGTGATGGCTGCTGTCCCTGGGTCCAGGTGGCTCACCTGTTTGGCTGTCTTTCCACTCTATTTTTTTTTTTGAGATGGAGTTTCGCTCTTGTCTCCCAGGCTGGAGTGCAATGGCGTGATCATGGCTCACTGCAACCTCCACCTCCCAGGTTCAAGTGATTCTCCTGCCTCAGCCTCCCGAATAGCTGAGACTACAGTCTGTCGCCATGCCTGGCTATTTTTTGTATTTTTAGTAGAGACAGAGTTTCACCGTGTTGGCCAGGCTGGTTTTGAACTCCTGACCTCAGGTGATCCACCCGCCTCGGCCTCCCAAAGTGCTGGGATTACAGGTGTGAGCCACTGTGTCTTTCCACTCTTAACTTTCCTCATCCTTTAAGACTCAGCCTACCATTCATCTATTTTCAGAAAACTCTCTGAACTCTCTCTAGGGCTCCCATAGCACTTACCATAGATTACTTGTTTCAGAGACATAGAAAATAGCTTCTTTATTTCTGTACCCAAAATGCCTATTGTAAGTAAGTGAACAGAACTCTCTCGAAGTACTTATCTATGCTAAAATGAATCTAGGTTTATTTATAATTTTTTTAGTAAGTCTGCTCTATCAAGAATGCAGAAACATCAAGCTCAATGATACAGTTTGAAAAATAAGAAAGAAAGAAAGAACACAGAAACACAGCCGTCCTCTCGGCCATCTGCTTATTGCTTCCCTGGTACATGAAGCATTTATCCTCTGCCCTCACACCCCACTGATAAGGAGGTTCTGCTTTGCTGTCTTCTCCCGGGTACTTGAGGGGAGACGGCAGCACGTGAGCAGCAACATTCAGAGCACTGTTCGTCGTTACTGTCAGCGCAGACCAAGTCGTCTCCAGGGAAAGCATGCTGATACCACACAGACCTGGCCCAGATGTTTCTGTTGACAGAGTGGCCAGTGGTCTGTGAGAGCCGCCTCAGCCTGGATGGAGTGTGGTGTTAGCCTGGCCTGCAGGGGCTGTCTACAGGACGGGCCAGGGTCATGGGAGGTAGAGCTACCTGAGAGGGAAGAACGCTTTACAATTTTACAGTTTCAGAAAAGTACAAGAGAAAGTTAAAATATATTCAAGCCAAAACAGAAGTCTGTTAGTTCTTTAGATTATGTGCTGTTGATAGTGGTTGTTCAGAGCTTATATGTCATAGTTCTGTATGTCATGTGCTTTCTTACAGTCCAACTGTTACAACCACTCTAAAAAACCTTGGGGCACTTTACAGACGTCAAGGCAAATTTGAAGCTGCAGAAACGTTAGAAGAAGCTGCTATGAGGTCTCGTAAACAGGTTAGTCATACTTCTGTCCTTAACCGGCCCATGGGAACTTTGAATTGAATGCTTCTCTTTTACATGAATTTTATTGAAAGCTTGATTTAGAAATAGAAAATGTTGATTATTTTAGTTTGAACAAATAAAGTTATATTGTTTAAAAGAGCATGAGGCCGGGCGTGGTGGTTCACACCTTTAATCCCAGCACTTTGGGAGGCCAGCGTGGGCAGATCACCTGAGGTCAGGAGTTCAAGACCAGCCTGGCCAACATGGTGAAACCCCGTCTCTACTAAAAATACAAAAATTAGCTGGGCGTGGTGGCACACGCCTGTAATCCTGTAATCCCAGCTACTCGGGAGGCTGAGACAGGAGAATCGCTTGAACCTGGGAGGTGGAGGCTGCAGTGAGCCGATATCATGCCACTGCACTCCAACCTGGGTGACAGAACGAGACTCCGTCTCAATTTAAAAAAAAAAAAAAAAGCATGAGGCTGGGCACAGTGGCTCACACTTGAATCCCAGCACTTTGGGAGGCCAAGGTGGGTAGATTGCCTGAGGTCAGGAGTTCGAGACCAGCCTGGCTAGCATGGAAAAACCCCATCTCTACTAAAAACACAGTGCAGTGGCACAAGCCTGTAGTCCCAGCTACTGGGGAGGCTGAGGCAGGAGAGTCGCTTGAACTCAGGAGGCAGAGGTTGCAGTGAGCCGAGATTGCACTACTGCACTCCAGCCTGGGCAACAGAGCGAGACTCCGTCTCAAAAATTAAAATAAAATAAAATAAAATAGCATGAATATGACCCCAAAAGCATGAACAGCAAAATAAAAACTAGATCTGTTGGATTCACCAAAGTTAAAAGCTCTTGTGCATCTAAGGACATCATCAAGAAAGTGAAAGGGGACTGGGTGTGGTGCTGAGCACCTGCAATTCCTGCACGTTGGGAGGCTGAGGTGGGAGGATCCCTTGAGCTCAGGAGTTGGAAACCAGCCTGGGCAACATAGTGATACTTTGTCTCTACAAAAGTTTTTTTTTTTAAATTAGCCAGGTGTGTTGGCCCAAGCCTGTGGTCCCAGCTATTTGGGAGTCTGAGGTGGGAGGATCGCTTGAACCCGGGAGCTGGAGGTTGCAGTGAGCTTAGATGGTACCACTGCACTCCAGTCTGGGCAACAGAGCGAGACCCTGTCTCAAAGAAAGAAAAAAAAAAAGAAAAAGTGAAAAGACCCCCATGCAACAGGGGAAGATATTTGCAAATGATGTATCTCATAAGGTTTTGGTATCCAGACAAAAAGACAACCCAGTTAAAAAATGAGCAAAGGACCTGAATACACATTTTACTGAAGATGATATACAGATAGCCAACAATCACATGAAAAGATACTCAACATCTTTAGTCATTATAGAAATATTAACTGAAATCACAGTGAGATACTACCTCATCCCCACTAGACTGGCTATAATAAGCGAACAAATGGAAAATAGGCATTGGTGAGGAGGTGGAGATGCTGGAGTCTCATGTCTTCTTGCTGGTGGGAATGTAAAATGGTTCAGGCATTGGAGAAGTTTGATGGCTTATCTAAAAGTTAAACTTAGAAAACCACATGACCCAGCAGTTGCAGTCCTAGGTATAGACCCAGAATAGTTGAACACGGGTACACACCCTGTGCAATCCCAGCCCCATCACTGTTCCTCTGAGGGGTCCTTTGTGTTTCCAGTTCCCCGCCTCCACCCTCACCCCCTCCAAGGAACCACTCTTCCAATGTTTTTCCCTCCAGTGATTAAGAACTGTTTTTTTTTTTTTTTTCTAGCGAAGTATCTCAGAAATACCTAAGAAAATCTTAAGTGCTAATGGGTCAAACCATTTTCCCCTGCCTGGCTCACAGGGTCTTGACAATGTTCACAAACAGAGGGTGGCAGAAGTGCTCAATGACCCTGAGAACATGGAGAAGCGCAGGAGCCGTGAGAGCCTCAACGTGGACGTGGTCAAGTACGAGAGTGGCCCTGACGGAGGGGAGGAAGTGAGTATGAGCGTAGAGTGGAACGGGGTAAGTACAGTACACAGCGGGCACGTGCTCCGGGAGGCGCCCCCAAGTGGCGCTTGCCAGGCCTTCCTCCTGTCTCATGTGCTAGACCTTCTGCTTTTCTCAAATTAAGTGCCAATTAAGCTTTCTGTAAGTTCTTCACTTCTGCTAATACTGAAGTCTGTTATTTGTTTAAAGTGGTAATTTTCTTCTCAGGAATCCATGAAAGCTGTTTGGCTTAACTTTGAGCACTTAAATGCTGATTGAGTGTCCTGGCTATTTAAAGCATGATCCCTGTCTGGTTTCATTTTAATATTGGGATCAGTGTGGCAGATAACTAACTTGCTTCTTTAACTCACCCATTTCATTGCTAACTCCAGTGCTCCTAACTTCACTGACCAGGCTGCTCTAGATTTTGTTAGAATGAGTTGAAATGCTTTAAAGGGAGATGCTGTTTAAGTGGAATTTGTTTTTAGAAAACAGGTCAGAAACAAGAGCTTACATGGCTGCTCTCTTGATGTCCTGCCTCAGTCCTGAGCGTCCTGCATTTCCCCTGAGAGGGCGTCCAGATCTTTGGGGCTGGCTCTTCCTGGTTGCCAGCCCGCCATGTGCCTGAGAGGCTGCACAGGGCCCCCTCTGGGTTTTACTGGTTTGCCCCTGGAAATTCCTAACCACTGCTGTTTATCCAGTGGTTGCCAAAGACCATGTGGCCTTCTGGACATTTTTTCTCCAGTGAATTTTTTAGCACATGGATTTTTTTTTTTTTTTTTGATACATAAGCTGATGTCTTTGGTATTTTACTTTTGTCAGGGAGAATTGAAGGCGGCATTTGACTCATCTAGGGGCACAGTTGGTTTTTTGAAGTTGCCGTAGTACAGTTTGATTAGTTATAATTCTACAGATGTTCTGCCAAATTGTAGTTTTGGGCTTTCTTACAATGTAAATCCTTTTATTCTTTAGGATTTTCTATAGCTATAGCAATTTGGTAGGAGCTAGCATTCTAAATAAATATTTTATAAAAAATGTTAGTAGCAAAATTTGAGGGAGAACATTCTCTTTGACTGTCTATCTGGCAGCTTTCTTGCTTTGGTTTTTCTCTGTGCCAAGACAACCAATCAGCATCTGCTTTGCCCACTCAACCCCAGTTGGGCAGTAGTCTAAACTGAAATCCTGGCCCGCAGGCCTCCCTGTCGCCCGCATCCTGTCAGAACTGTGTACTGTACTCTTCTCTTGGTTGCTGTCGTATCTGCATGCTTCGTATAGAAGGACAAGTCCTTTATCTAGGCTGTAGGAGCCAGGGTGCAGATTGTGATCCTCTTGAATGAAGTTCTGGAGGAAGTTTCTCTTGAGACAGTATTTCTAGGTCCATGTTGACATGAAATCATCTGATGATAAAATGGTGACGATTCAGAGCTCTGTTACCATCTTAAAGATGGACTCGGAGAGGAAGGAGAACTCGTGTCCCCTGCAGGGGGTTCGTGGGCAGGTGTCCCCGTCAGGCCCGCGGGCTGGAAGTGTCGCTGCTGGGGATGAAAGCAGCTGCTCCTCTGCACGCCTGCTGGTTTCCTCCTTCCACGCTTCCTTTCTCACTTTGGACACCTGATTCTATAGGCCATGTGCAGGCTGTGTATCTGGTGTGTCCCCTGATAGCTCTGCAGGTTTGATGGAATTCATCCCAGGGTGCGTTGGCCACGGGTGATCTACCAAAACAGTTTGAGTTTTAAATTATCCAGTGCAGTGGTTCCTAGACTCACTTTGTGCATGGAGGCAGCCCCCTCTTCAGATGGAGTCTTAGATAAAATGAGTGAATTCACTGGGTGGGCAGCTGAGGCTGCCTCAGAGTCTTCAGAGGAAGGCCTTGGCCTCCAACCCCACAACTCTAAGGTTCTGAGAAGGCAGAATGCTAAACTCGACCAACTTTTGATTTTCTTTTCAAAGTACACTTTTTCCCCCCCGAGACAAGAATCTTGCTCTCTCGCCCAGGCTGGAGTGCAGTCACGCTATCTCGGCTCACTGCAACCTCTGCCTCCTGGTTCAAGCAATTCTCCTGCCTCAGCCTCCTGAGGAGCTGGGATTACAGGTGTGCGCCACCACACCTGGCTAATTTTTTTATTTTTAGTAGAGACAGGGTTTCACCATGTTGGCCAGGCTGGTCTCTAACTCCTGACCTCGTGATCTGCCCGCCTCGGCCTCCCAAAGTGCTGGGATTACAGGCATAAACCACCGACTTTTCTTATTTTTTAAATGGTAGGGCAGTATGCACATAGGTATTAATTTTTAATCAACTTTTTTGAGGGATAATTAGAGACAGTAAAAGGGGCCCATTTTAACTGTTGTCTGATTTAAATATTAACACGGTTCAGGTCAGCACATTAGTTTGTCTTTATATAGATGTTAGAACAAAGTTTCTCATGCTGTTTCTGTTTAAGTGAAAATTTCCCTGAGATTGCAAAGCAAACCGTTACCACTGTAGCCACTTACTTGTGTGCATCAAGATTTTTTTCAGTATTATGCAATTAAGTTAAAATAGAGACATAGGTGTTGAGGTAAATGTTAAGACTATACCTTGCCGGGCGCGGTGGCTCACACCTGTAATCCCAGCACTTTGTGAAGCTGAGGCGGGCAGATCACGAGGTCAGGAGATCGAGACTATCCTGGCCAACACGGTGAAACCCCCTCTCTACTAAAAATATAAAAAATTAGCCGTGCATGGTTGCGGGCGCCTGTAGTCCCAGCTACTCAGGAGGCTGAGGCAGGAGAATGATGTGAACCCGGGAGGCGGACCTTGCCGTGAGCCAAGATCACGTCACTGCACTCCAGCCTGGGTGACAGAGCAAGACTCTGTCTCAAAAAGAAAAAAAAAAAAAAAGAGTATACCTGTGCCCGGTTGCTGTAGCTCATGCCTGTAATCCCACCACTTTGGGAGGCCAAGGCGGGTGGATCATTTGAGGTTAGTAGTTTGAGACCAGCTTGGCCAACATGGGGAAACTCTATCTCTACTAAAAATGCAAAAATTAGCTGGGCATGGTAGCAGGCACCTGTAATCCCAGCTACTTGGGAGGCCAAGGCAGGGAATCCCTTGAAACCTGGAGGCAGAGGTTGCAGTGAGCCAAGATCACGCCACCGCACTCCAGCCTGGGTGACAGAGCAAGAGTGTCTCGAGAAAAAAAAGAAAAAAGAAAAAACAACTATACCTGTTATCTGTATAATGAGAAAATGTGATTTCAATTATATATATATATATGTATATGTATGTATATGTATTTTTTTTTTTTTTTTTTGAGATGGAGGTTGCCCAGGCTGGAGTTAGGTGGCACAATCTCCACTCACTGCAACCTTTGCCTTCCGGGTTCCAGCGATTCTCCTGCCTCAGCCTAGAAGGCATTTTAATGCTTTTTAAAAGGTTGAAAACTACTACCATAGGGAAAAACATTGTGCCTCCCTGTTGGGAAGTTACAGCTTCAGCAGAAGTGACTGCCAGGAATGAATGTGACAGCTTTTGATTAAGTTATAATAACCACATACACCAGATATTCGGCTCAGTTTTTCTCAATATTCATAAGTAACATTGAAAACAAAGAGTTATGTGGTCAAAGAAAGGACAAACTGGTTAATGATAATCGTCCCCTGTGGGCCCTGGGCGTTGGTGTCACACAGAACTGAGAAGCAAAGCGGGTGGTGACAGACCCTGGTAATGTGCAGGGAGCGTCCGGATCGGAGTCTCGACCTGGTGGGTGGTTTGTCCAGGGAAGGACAGTTCTCTTCTTTAGGTACACACGGTAGGGACTATGATTAAACTACTTGACAGCGGCACCTCTGTGACCTCATTTTCGTGTGACACATGCAGATCTGGAAGCCGCCGTCACCGTGAGTCTCAGTTGGCTCTCTCTCACGGTCTTGCCTCTGAAAATGCAACTGCATTGTGCACAGAAATCCTTTTCTGGGTAAAACTGGGTCTTCTATAACTGCTGTCCGTGTGGCTTCATGTTCATGGTGTGATGTGCATGTGTCAGCCACCAGCACCAGGTCCCTGTTGGGATGTGGGAGCCCCTTGGGCTGTCTCATCATTTAGCAGTTGTCTTTACAGTGGTCCCATCCTCTGTAAAGACACACAGAGCCACATCACACATCCTCTATCCTAGGTGGAGCCCGGGGTCTGCCTCCCAGCTGCACCACCTTTGTCTGTCTGCAGGTCGCCAGCTCTGCTGGGGCCTTCTGAAGCAGCCTCTCTCCGTCTTGCCATTCTTTTCACACTGCTCCCATGTTAAGATTTCTACACGTTTCGAAGACACTAAATTCTTACCTAGGATTATTGGGGAATGGAATATATGGTTAGAAATAGATGAATTTTTATTTTTAAAAAATGACAATAAGGGCTGGACGAGGTGGCTCATGCCTGTAATCCCAGGACTTTGGGAGGCCGAGGCGGGTGGATCACTTGAGGCCAGGAGTTCGAGACCAGCCTGGCCAACATGGCGAAAACTCGTCTGTGCGAAAAAAACAAAAATCAGCCAGGCATGGTCGTGCGCGCCTGTAATCCCAGTTACTCAGGAGGCTGAGGCAGGGAATTGCTTGAACCCAGTAGGTGGAGGCTGCATTGAGCCAAGATCATGCCACTGCACTCCAGCCTGGGTGACAGAGCCAGAATCTGTCTCAAATTACACTAGTAAGACAACTAGAATATGCCAAAAATAAATAAACTTAAGCACTAAATTATCTGAGATCCTACTGTATACAGATAATAACGATGACTGCATATTTTTAAACTGTGAACACATTATCCTATTAATCCTGCTCAGGTAACCCACCTTTGTAATGTGAATATTCTTTCCCAGTAATATAAAGAGGTAGACAGTTTCTTAAGCTGTTAGAATGCAGTGAATCCTCCCAGGCCCTGAAGTCCAGTTGAATGGAAATCTGCCTGGGCCAGGGCAGCCGCCGGCCTTCCCCCTGGTTCTCACAGCCAAGGTCCTCAGGTGGCAAGTTCAGGGAAGCAGGCAGACTGACCCAGAGTGGGGCAGACCCGCTCCACTGCCAACCCCAGGTGCTGGTCTGGGTCTGCAGAGGCTCAGGGAGGAGGAGGCAGCTGGGTCGGACCCCAATTCTGGGACTCCTGGGCCCATTGCCCAGCTGTCAGCTGTCAGCTTGCTACTCCAGCAGCTGCAGAGGGGAGAGAGAGCATGAGTGAGCGTGTGTGCACGCGTGTGTGTGTGTGTCACATGAAATACTTTTGAATCTGAGTGAAATGAATCTTCTGTGTTCTGCCAAGCATTTAGTTGAGGTGTATTATAAACTACTGTAGTGTAGCGCTGAGTTTTGAAATGAACAGCAGGGGCTGCACTGTTAATGACGATACGTTAGCATTTTAGCATCCTTTTTCTCAAGAGCAGCAAAAACTTATGTTTTCTTGTCCTCCCCACATTTTTGAGGTGTTGGTAACAAGTGTTATTTTTCCATTTTAAAGATGAGGAAAATGAAGCTCGGGCTGGTTAACTGACTTGCTCAGCGTCCCATGGTGAGTCCGAGCGGGCGGGGCGCAGGCCCTGCCGTCTGGCGCTTCTGTCGAGACGTCGGCTTTCCAACCTGGCAGGACCCAGGACGCATTGCTGCCTGTGGAAATTAATTTTCTTTTGGATTATCAACTGCATGTTTAAAATGGGCTGTAGACTTTTAAAGTCCGTGGTTTCCTAAAGTTTCTGAAATGTCTAAAATGTGTTTTTAAGAGAATGAAAGTCATACCTGTAGCCTTTATTTTGGTCCCTATGTTTTTCATTGCATAATCTCCTTATATACAGTTACTTGTAAAGCCTTTTACACCAAGTGTCAAGGAGATTTCTAATACGTTGCCAATCTTTACGCTTAAAGTGTTGACATTTACTTTGATGACCATTGGGAATGGACCAGTCTGGATTCTGTGAAATGCACCATGAGGCCCAGCACCTGCTTTATGCTGGACTGGTAGAAGCAGGCAGAAGGTCATCCCAGTCCTAAAGCCACTCAGAAGGCTGCTGAGACTTGTGACCTAGAAATACTGTAAGCCAGGCTGTTATGCAGAGCCTGTTGCCTTTCCTCGCCGCGGTTTCACGTGGGTTTTCTCTCTCCTTTCTGTCTGACAGGCCTAGCCGCCCGTGACTCTCACACTGTCTCCTGCATGACGGGTGGCGCCTCCCGCAGCTTCCCTTCTCTCTCCAGTGCTGCCCGCTGTGTCTAGCAGCCTCTAGGATCTTGTCAGAGCTGCACCTCTCTGTGAACTGGCCATTCCTTTCGGTGCTGCTGTCCTTTTTGGGGGGGTTCCTGATTTCTGTATACATGTAGCTTTGCCAGATATGTACTTAGTAATATAAACTGTATTAATAAAATCCATTTACTGTGTAATACACGAGTTTAAAAATTAAGAGCGATTAGCTGTTCACTTTGGTAACAGGTAGTTAAGTGTCACACAAGGTGTTGTTGCAATGGCATGACGGTGACCTGTTGACGTAACTAAGCCTTACAGCAAGGCATGTGCCGCACGTGCTCCGTGGTACTTAGAGCCCTGGGGGCCCCGCTCGGACTCCGGGTCTCCCTAGGATATGCCCCAGTAGCATTTGCTGTGTAGTCTGTGTGTGAAATTTGGGCATTCTGCTTTTCTCTACTAATCTTGAAGTGCTCAGTGATTTGTGTATTTGTGTCTTTCTAACTTCTAATAAACTCACTCCGACTGACCTGTGTCTTGGTGTCTGTCTGCTTGGTAGAACTTCTCACTCTTTATCCATGAAACGCCGCATGGCACAGCTGCTAGGGGTCATGGGGTGACAGTTCATCTCACCAAGGAGTTCCTTCCAAGAAGAAATGCTGCTGTATGCACATCTTCTTCACTCTGTGTTTTTTATTTTCATGTTCAGATACTGCCAAGTATTTCACTTATTAATACCTGAATCAATTAAGATGAGAGCTGGGCACTCTCACCTCCCTACAAGGTTGTCTGAGGATTTTTAGTTATTTGTATAGAATGGGCATTTTATTTAATTTTCCAACCACCTTTGTAGTTAACATTTAATGAAACTGTTCTGTAAAATTTACTGAAGGAAACAGTACCTCCAACTATTGCATTTAGACGAAACTGTTAAAAGGAAGAGCCTCTGTCAGATCCAAATGGTTTGGGTCCTGTACTGTGTTACTTGTACCAGATGCTTATGTATCTGTTAAATGTGGAAGTCGATTTTGATGATATTCTTAGAAGCTGCTTTAATTTTCCTGAGACTTTGTGTGTTGGCTTTTGTCTCAAAATAGCAGGATTCACATTGCTTTTGGGATGCGATCACTTGTTTGAATGAGCTTCCTTATGTCCAAAGGTTTTCATGATCATTGGATTATCTTTAATGAAACTTAAAAAGAACAATTTCTAGTTAAAGTATATTCACGTACATGGTAATTGGTGGTTTCTGCAAGACTCTGTCAGCAGTGAGCTGCTGGCAAGCAGGGCGGCCTTGGTGGAGCTCTTATTTGCACCCGGTGTGGCTCTTGTGGGAAGGAGGGAGAACCACCTGCAGCTTCACGTTTGTTCACGTTTTTTTCAGGATGGCACTGGATCTTTAAAACGCAGTGGTTCCTTTAGCAAACTCCGGGCTTCCATTAGACGCAGCAGTGAGAAGCTGGTTAGGAAGCTGAAGGGAGGAAGTTCACGAGAGAGTGAGCCAAAGAACCCCGGGTAACTATCTCTTCCAGCTCTCCCGACTCCCTGCACGCCGGCTGCTGGGCCGCTTCTCTTCCTAGCGCAGCCTTCCTCACCCACAGACTTGAGGAAAGACACTCCAGTTGGTTCCCGTATTCTCACAACCGAAGGGTTTCATAGTTGCCACGTAGGTTTTTCCCAGGATAGGTTGAGAAGTAATTGGGTAACTTCCTGTTAGTGGCTAAAGGGCGAATACCTTTAAAAGAAATTTATGGAATTTTTTGATTCTGTCACATGTTCTAAGAAAGCCTTAGCAACGAAATGTGGGCATTTATATTAAAATGTTGAGCATTTTGAACTTGTTTACTCTAGATATGCATTATTTTTTAAATTAGCATTAGTTTAAATTCTTTAAAAATTTTAATCTTTTAAATAAATCAGATGTTAGCTATGACTATATTAAATCTCATACAGTATTATAATAGGGAGAAAAATGGTTTCAAATAGGATCAGAACTTTTAAGACTTTATTATAAGGAGATTTTCAAAACCTCAGGCTTTTCATATGTTTAAAAAAAGGTTTGAGTCATGGGTCTTAGAGGCTTTTGAAAAATAACATTTAAGTTGTCAAAGGAATTTGGTTCTTAAGATATCCTTTGTTTTTAATATGGTGCACAAAGTTGACAGATTGTCCCTGCCGCAGTGTCCAGGGTCACCTCTGGGCAGCTGCTCCTGGCTTGGACGTATTTCTCATGAGGCAGACTTTTGCCAGCCACTCTGTGTAACTCTGACTTCCTAAATGGTGACCGACTTTTTAGAGACTGATTCCTAGTAAAACTATTTTACAAGTGATCCCACTTTAAGTTCTGTGAGTAAGAAGTCTGATCACCTCAGGATGGTGAAACCGAGTTCTTCTGGAGAACATATTGGAAATAATAAAGTTATGTGCCTGATCAGTTGTTTCGTTACTCTGTCTTTTTCGTTGTTGTTGTTGAGATGGAGTTTCGTTCTTGTTCCCCAAGCTGGAGTGCAATGGCACCATCTCGGTCACCGCAACCTCCGCCTCCTGGGTTCAAGTGATTCTCCTGCCTCAGCCTCCCAAGTAGCTGGGATTACAGGCACATGCCACCACGCCTGGCTAGTTTTTTGTATTTTTAGTAGAAACGGGGTTTCACCATGTTAGCCAGGCTGGTCTCGAACTCCTGACTTCAGGTGATCTTCCCGTCTCGGCCTCCCAAATTGCTGGGATTACAGGTGTGAGCCACCGTGCCTGGCCTATTTTGTCTTTTAAAAGCTATTTAAAAAAAAAAGTATGTCCACTTTTTCATCTCTCTCAGTATCCCTGATAACCTAAGCCCTTAGAACTGTTGCCATACACGGCCAGGGTGCGGGGTGGCCAGAGATGGCCCAGTCCCTTAGTGGTAGGGCTCACCCTCTTGTCCGCTTGGTATCCCTGTGGGAGTCTCTGTCGTGGATGGAGACTTCTCTTCATGGCTGTGAGAGAGGTGCAGGCCTGAGGCAAGAGGAGTGACGTGGCTTTTGTAAGGAGCTTCTCACAACTGTTTTCCAGCCCATTTCTGGAGAGGGAGTTTTAGGAGCCCCACAAATGTTCATTCAGAAAACTCCCTGGAAGATCCCAAGGATTTGAAGACTGGACTTCTGGAAGTTTATGGGGACTTAGCAGCAAATTGCTTACAATGAAACAAATGAACTCTTATTTGGGGGAAATGGATTTTAAATTGCCTTTGGAATAGTGATCTTATTTTAAAATGTTTACAGATTTCCAGAACCAAAATGATAGATTACTATCTGCCTCTCGATGAATTTTGAGATTACACATTTCTTCTTAAACAGCATTGAGAGGGTTGGAGCAGTGCTGTGTGACTGCTTGGTGTCGCTTCCTTGGAATGATGTGAGGTGTCACACAGCAGCTCTCAGATCCCCTCCAGGAATTACATGATGCCCAGAGAGAGCATTCTGGACATTATTTAATTCCTGGAGGGGATCACACTGATTGTTTGAGGTTCTTAAGTTTTGAAGCCTTTTAAGTGCAGAGTCCAGTTCTGGTGCTGAGTGTTGTAACTTGGACCACACTCCCACATGACAGCTCTCAGAGTTGTTCTGTTTTCTCGTGTTTTGTGTCTTTGCCGTGATAAAAATGTAGCAGTGTGTGACCAGTCCCCAGTGTTAGAACTGTGGTCAGTGTTCATGGGGCTGTAGCACTGCCAGCCTGAACCATGTGACATAGATGCACACACTTGCACGGACTAACGTTTTCTACATGACTTTGGAAATTGCATCCCGTAAAATGCATACAACTGAATAATCTTTCCAAATAAGAGTGACTGTTTTTATTAACTAGACAGTAGTCTCAGACATCTTTTGGAGGGTTTGTTCAGACAGAGACTGTGAGGCCCCACCCCTGAGTTTCCAATTCCTGAGTCCCTGATCTCAGAATTTGCATTTCACACAAGTTCCCACAGTGCTGGGGCTGCTGGCCCGGGGCCACTTTTTGAGAATCGCTCAAGGACCAGGGTGTTTGCAGCTTGCTGTTTGGCTGACTCCTAACAGTGACTGTACTGAAAGGTTTTGAATGCCACGTGTTCAAACAAGGCAGTTCGCAAGAGTGGTAGGAAGAGACGTTGAGGATTCGAGTTGTTCTTTCGTTTCGTAAAAGGGGGTTTGAGGGAAGGTTGTGTAGCTCTTTTAAAAAGAGTTAATGGCGGCCGGTGCAGTGGCTGATGCCTGTAATCCCAGCACTTTGGGAGGCCTAGGTGGGTGGATCACTTGAGATCAGGAGTTTGAAACCAGCCTGGCCATCATGGCGAAACCCCGTCTCTACTAAAAATACAAAAATTAGCCGGGCCAGGTGGTGCATGCCTGTGGTCCCAGCTACTCAGGAGGCTGAGGCAGGAGAATCACTGGAACCCAGTAGGGCAGAGGTTGCAGTGAGCCAAGATCACACCACTGCACTCCAGCCTGGGCGATGGAGTGAAACTTCGTCTCAAAAAAAAAAAAAAGTTAATGGCCACTTTATAGCAAGAATAACTGAGTATGTCAGATGATAATTTACTTGTGATTTGGTTTGATTTTATACTTTGTTCTTGAGTGGTTCTAGGTAGAGAAAAACCTGTTTGGGACTCCAGCAATGTCTGTTGTGGGCTTCATTGGGATGTTTTTGTTTTGTCCTGGTTGGGACATTTTGGGGGTGAGTTTTGCCTGGGGATAAGGAAATTCAGGTCTTGCTTTTGGTGCAGTTGTTCGGCAGGGGCTGGCTGAGTATCTGCCATGTGCCAGGCGCTGTGCTCACAGCACTGCTGACACACGGGTGGGTGCCCTGGGCTTTCAGCCTCATCCCAGTGTCCTGTGTGAGGCTGTCCCTGTCACCCCTCAAGCCTGTGCCTCAGCCTCACAGCCACCGTCCTTGGCTTTCCCAGGAACTGCTGCGCTCATGTTCGCTGTCCCATGTTGCATGCAGTTCACGTTCAGAATTCAAGTAACCCTCAGTATCGGTTGCTTTAGCTTTAAAACTTCAGGGGAGTTTATGTTCAAAGGCATCCATGGTGGTGGTGAACAACGATAGTCATTTTATGACTGTCCATCATTTAAGTTATAGATTATTTATAGGCTGTTTCATCAAGTATTTTAAATACATCAGATGGAGGAAAAGTAAATATATGTATACATTCCTGTATTCCTTTAAGTGGAGAACCATGACTTTATGTTACATTTTGCTTTCTAAGTAGAAAAATACTGGCTTCAGAGTTTATTTTACTAACAATAAAGTTGATTTCCCAGCTTTTAATATAGAAAGATAAAAAATATGACAGTATATTTATGCATCATCTTTTAGCAGTGAGTTTTGAGTGTCTCTTCATGATCCCTTAGTGGTGACGAGTCTGACATGAGCCCTGGAGCACCCTCCCTGAAAAGCATCAGACTGAAGGCAGAGCCTCTCTGCTCCCAGATGGTTCCCCCCACTTTTTTTTTTTTTTTTTTTCTGAGACAGAGTCTTGCTGTGTCGCCCAGGCTGGACTACAGTGGAGTGATCTTGGCTCACTGCAACCTCTGCCTCCTGGGCTTAAGTGAATCTTGTGCCTCAGCCTCCAGAGTAGCTGGGATTACAGGTGTGTACCACCACGCCTGGCTAATTTTTTGCATTTTTAGTAGAGACAGGGTTTCACCACGTTGCCCAGGCTGGTTGTGAACTCTGGGCCTCAAGTGATCCACCCGCCTCAGTCTCCCAAAGTGCTGGGATTACAAGCATGAGCCACCACGCCTGGCTTTTTTTTTTTTTTTTTTTTTTTTTTTTGGTAGGTGGAGTCTCACTCTTGCGTAGGCTGGAGTGCAGTGGCGTGATCTCAGCTCACTGCAACCTCTGTCTCCTGGGTTCAAATGATTTTCCTGCCTCAGCCTCCCAAGTAGCTGGAATTACAGGCACATGCCACCATGCCCAGCTAATTTTTTGTATTTTAGTAGAGATGGGGTTTCACCGTGTTGCTCAGGCTGGTCTCAAACTCCTGAGCTCAGGCAGTCTGCCCGCCTCAGCCTCCCAAAGATTACAGGTGTGAGCCACTGCAGCTGGTCTTTTTTTTGTTTCGTTTTGTTTTAAAGAGAGACAGGGTCTTGCTCTGTCTCCCAGGCTGGAGTGCAGTGGTGCAGTCATGGCTCACTGCAGCCTTGACCACCTGGGCTCAAGTGATCCTCCACTTCTGCCTCCTGAGCAGCTGGGACTACAGATGCATGCCACCACGCCTGGCTAATTTTTGTATTTTTGTAGAGATGGGGTTTCCCCATGTTACCCGGGATGGTCTTGAACTCCTGGGCTTAAGTGATCCTCCTGCCTTGGCCTTCCAAAGCATTGGGATTACAGACTTGAGCCACTATACCCAGTCTAGATGAGCCACTTTTTAAAAGTGCAAGTCTAAGGACATTTTGAGTTTGCATATGGTACTTTAAAAGAAGCATTTTGCTGTGAAAGATGCAGAGAAGCTGTGGTCTTTTCTCCTGGGCACTAAATAGAGTGAGACATAGGACTCCCCGGTTACCCAAGCAAGATGAAGGCAAGGTCCCTAGAGCCCCCAGTGTCACAGAGGCGTTGGAGGGGGCTTTGCTTGTGCTTCCTGTTGCTGGTTGACCGATGTGCTGATCGTTTGTCCTTGCATGTCCGTGTCCGGGTTGCAGCATGAAGCGTGCCAGCTCTCTGAATGTCCTTAACGTGGGTGGCAAGGCTGCTGAAGATCGCTTTCAAGTAAGGAGCCTACCCCGAATTGTGTCCTAGGCTGCCCAGACCACGCTGGCAGGTCTGCTGCAGACCCGCACTCGGCCCCTGCTCGGCCCCTGCTCCTGCAGAGGGCTGGGGACGCCGCCACGTTTGTTCCTAGACAGACAGTTGTGACAGTAGTATTTTTATATTCTGCTTAACCACTGATTATGTGAATTATGGGCATGTTCACACTGTGAACATTCTCAGAATATTAATTAATGATCTCAAATGGTCTTTAAAAATAGTTTAACCTAATTAATGTATTCTGTTAAAGTACTGTCAAAGCTCGACCAATTACTAGTTTGTATGATTGTTTGATTTTAGCCTCTACTAAGTTTATAACTATTAATAATTAATTGTCTACTTAAGCTGTTGTTCAGTGTTCAGAAGTATTCAAAACTCTGTTAACATGATGACTAGCGTGCTGTCAGTTTGACACTAAAACCTGAAGCACTCGGTGCAGTTGCTCGGGCCTCACACAGACACATCAGGTTTACATCTGAAAGTACTGCCTCCCTTCCCCATCACGGAGGCCGTTTGAGTTTTCATCCACTCCGCCCTTTGGTGTGGCTGTCAGTGGGTGGCCGGGTGCCTGTGGCTGCTCTAGAACCTGTTTCTCAGGTGCCTGGGGCCCACCCGGCAGCTCGAGCTGTTGGGACTTGGCAGTCCCTGCCCCTGTGCTGGTGCTGAGAGTTCGCGACAGTGGCCAGGCACTGCCCTCCCAGTTGTCCAGATCCACTAATCCTCACAGACAGGCCAGTGCCCCGACCTGTCCCCCAACACTCTTGGGAGGCAGCCATCTCGGGAAAGCTTTTCCCCAGCCCCCTTCTCGGTGGCTGTTAAAGAGGCTTGTAGGGTGCTGGACATGTTGCTTGAAGCACCCCTAATGACAAGAGGAAAGAAAGTCTCTTCATTTTACAGGGTCCTGTAGCTGACCCAGTGTTTGCCCTCCAGTTTCTTGGAGTTTCTACATGCACATTGACCCCTGGGCCTCTCGAGTGCCAACCTAGATTTAGCTGTGCAGCTGGTACTGTTAGGCCTGAGGCCATTTGAAGCTGGCATCATTTGAAGTCCTGGTTAAGTGTAATTTTTCTATTTGTTTTTTCATGCAGGAACGAAATAATTGTCTGGCCGACTCGCGAGCTCTGAGTGCCAGCCACACTGACCTGGCCCACTGAGAGCCAGCAGGGCTAGGTAACCTGTCTTGGGAGTGTGAGACCGCCCCGCCCTGCCACGCCCCTCACCGCCCTGCCCGGAGGCGCCAGCCGCACTCCTTGGCTTCCTTTCCTAGATAGTGACGTCCACCAACCTTGGAGGTGCCTTTTCAAAACACCCGGGAGGCCGTGCCTCAGCATTCTGTTACTCGGCCTGCAGCCCCAGTGCCAGGAGCCACCCCGACCGCGACCCGGCCAGGCTGGCTCAGGGAGGCCGAGGTGGCGCTGAGGTGGCTTCAGCACGCTGGGGATTGGCTCCTGCTCACGGATGCTGTTGCATTTCCTGCCTGCCACCTTTTTGCCATGACACCAGACTCTCTTTTAAATTGTAATATTGTAATAAGGCTGTAAATTAAGAATCTGGAAACATAAAGTACCCCTTTCAGAACGATAGGCATTTAGTGATCTATGGCAGTAAAGCCTGAAGCTTAGCGGACACTGGTCAGTGGGAAGTGAATTCCTTCCCAGCTGGAGCATCTTCCGGGTCTCTCTTTCCAAGGTCCCCATGCCTGTGGCCCTGGGGCCCCATGCCCCCTTTTGAGCTGTGTTCTCCCGGACGCCCCTGCACACGAAGCCCATAGAGACGTGTGTTTCACTTTTTTTTTTTTTTTTTTTGAGACGGAGTCTAACTCTGTTGCCCAGGCTGGAGCGCAGTGGCCCAATCTCGGCCCACTGCAAGCTCCACCTCCTGGGTTCACGCCATTCTCCTGCCTCAGCCTCCCGAGTAGCTGGGACTACAGGCACCCGCCAGGCGGATCACAAGGTCAGGAGATCGAGACCATCCTGGCTAACATGGCGTTTCACTTTTTAAAAGCTTAAGCTTTATGGAATGAGGGAGCACGGTGGACTCTGACAGGAACCTTTTCAAATCAATGCTGAGGCTGTATTTCTTAGCCGTCCACAAACTAGTCCATAGGTAAAGAGCATACAAAACAGACGCCGAGGTGATCAGTGATTCCAAAGGCTGACGCTCAGCAGCGCCACCTCCATGCCAGCCAACTAGGCTACGGGATGGAGGGGCGGTCTGTGAAACACCAGCCATCCCGTGAAAGCTCAGCTTGCCACTGTCATGTAACAGGGTGGGTGGTGGCACAGCAGAGGCTCACACTTGTCACCTTCAGCCTCTAGAAGCTCCCCGTGGGGCACGAAGGCTGGGGACAGAGTGTCCTGAGGTTTTGTTACAAGGCTAGACTTTAAAATACCTTTCAAAGTTTCATCCCGCCTCATGTCGCAGGACTGCTGTGTTTGTGAAAGCGCGTTTGTTTCCACAAGACAAGCTCCGTGTAGTCGCCAGCGGGTGCCTGGCCCAGGAGCTGCCCTGTGGAGCCAGCGTTGTCCCCGAGCTGCTCGCCTGTGGCCGTGGCTCCTTTTCTGAGGCTCCTGACTCCATTCTTGCAGATTCTGGTGGATCAGGAGCTTACATTCTAAATGCTACATAGAGGTGTTGAAGAAAATTTCATAGGTTCTGTAATAGTGGATGGGATTAAAAGAAAAAATGTTAAATTATATATATATATATGGCTGGGTGCGGTGGTTCATGCCAGTAATCCTATAATCTTAGCACTTTGGGAGGCTGAGGCGGGAGGATCACTTGAGCCCAGTTCAAGAACAGCTTGGGCAACACAGCGAGTCCCTGTGTCTAGCAAAAAAAACCATGTGTATATATATATATATGTGTGTGTGTGTATATATATATATATATATATACATACATATATATACATATATAATTTGATGGGTTGTGAGAAGCCAACCCCCCCCAAAAAAAGGGGGGTGTAGAGCAGCTTCCCCTGACAGGTGCCGTGGCTGCCCCCGTAGTGGGCTATGTCTGTGCACAGGCGACAGGGAGGAGGGCTCCGGAGCTTCCCTTGTGGTGGGGGTGCCTTCTCCCTGTGAGGATGCTGAGCAGAGTTTGGAACCCAGACAGTTTCCCTTAGTGACAGTTATCTGGAAAGGAAAAAGGGCATTTAGAAGGAATAAACATAGGGCTGAATATGGAGTTGAATTTTAACCTCTTCAGACTGATGGGTGCAGACGAGGTTGTGTGGGGCCTCTGTGGAGCCTGCTGTGGCTTCCAGCCATGGGACTTTAGGGCCGAGGTGGCCTCTGCAGCACTGTGGCTGTGGGAGCACTGTGTGTTGGGGTAAGAGAAGCCAGGGGGCCTCCCTGAAGCCAGCTCATAAAGGAAGGTTCGTGTTTCAGAGGGAGGCGGCAAGGGAATCTGAGTACCTGAGTCCCCGATGTTTGAACCCTTCCACCCAATAGAAGTGCGGTGATTTCAGCCATTTCCCATCTGGCGGTCTGAATTTTTCCCTTCAGAGGAGAGAAGTGGTGGGCCCAGGCATCCCTCCTCCTGTGTGTGGTCGTTCTGGTGAGAGGAACCCCACGCGAGAGTCAGCACCTGTTTCTTCAGAGTTGCTGTCAAAATAATCACTGCGCCCCCGCCCCCCGCCCCCCCCCACAGCAGCCGTGTGTGCAGCGCCCGTCCCCAGCAACCATGGCATGGGAGCGTCTGGATCTGTGGGCGGACAGCATATCTCTGGGTAGTTGGTGCAGCTGTGGCAGAAATCAGGCCCCTGGGGAAGTCCTGTGACATGGATGCTTCCCTGAAGCAGCAGCAGTGTGTGGCTCAGGGGTCCTCAGAGGCCGGTGGTGCCCGCGGGTGGCACGGGGCACTCTCATGGGCAGCACTTGGTCTTGTGTTTACAGTATTGGAGGGATTCACATCGTTGTTTTCTGGATTAAGCTGCTAGGAGTATCATGTACTTAGAAATTCAGTGTTTATAGTAAGATGTATTAAACATTGCTAATGATGTATCGTTACAATGTATAACAGGTTTTCCATTGTCATAACTGTATGGAATTTTCTTGGAGGATGTCATTAGCTTCTGTTTGCACTGACTTGTGAGCTGTGTGTACGCTGTGGTCAGATTTCTGAATGCTGTAGAGCACTTACCAGCTCTGACCGTGTCTTGCTGGGGCCAGCAGGCTGCGTGTGCAGCGGGGCCAGCTGTCTCAGGGCTGATATGTAGACGTGTATTCTGTTTACAATTAGTTCCCCAACTCTGTGGGGAAGAACTTAAGCGGTTTTAGTGTTTTATAATATGGTGAGGCAATGAGGGTCAGGGCGCGTGGTCCCTGAGGGAGGGTCTTCAGGGCAAGACCCATGGCCCTGGCCTGGAACTGTGCTCCCCAGGGCGTGGTGCCTCCCTAAGGGGATGGTCAGTGTTCTGGGACTGACTGCCAGGCCAGCCCGTCTGCAGACTCCTGTGGTGGGAGTTCCCTGGGACGGGAAGCCCCTCGGCCCCTTCCCTCCAGGGGCAGGAACTGAGCCAGCATGGGCGGGGCCGGCCGAGCTTCCAGGCGTGTTTTCTCTGTTAAATGTACCTCTGTCTTTAAGCTGTCTCATTTTCTAATCGCTGGCATGTCTTGCCTAGAAAAGCATTTGGAATTGCTTATGTTCAATTACAGAAATAAAATGTCTTACTTGCCATTGTAGAATTCCTGCACTTTTGCAGAAAGGCTGTTTTGTAAAAATCCAACCCCAAAATAACTTTTTCCCATGTTCATGCCAGTGATTCTTAACTTTAGGGTCATAGAGAGCCTTGATAACATGATGAAGGTTTAAACGGATTGTCCCACCCTGGAAAACGGCAAACAGAAAAATTCTGCACAGTATGGCCCCAGCCCTTACCTTTCCCCCAACCAGTGCCAGCCCCCCTTCCTCCCACTGTAGGAGCACCCACAGGCTCACCCTGGGCACATAAGGTGGGGGGTGACAATTTCTGCCTCTGGGTTGTGGGAGGAGTCAAGCTACTTAACGGTTCTGGGCCTGAATTTCCCTACCTGCAAGTGGAGATGTAACAGTACCTATCCCTAGGAGTTGTGAGGAGAACATACTTCAATGTGTATAAATTACTCAGAGCAGTGCCTGGCAGACAGCAAGAAGCAGGTCCTGGAACTGCATCCATTGAACATTTATTTGTCAAAGGCCTGGTCTGTGCCAGGCAGCATGTGGAGGCACTGAGTGGGGGGTGGAGGGGGTTGTACGGTGGGAATCAAGGGGGTCACCACTGTGCCCATGGGGAGGCCACGCCACTCTGCCTGCTGGGTGGATATTTCAGCCTGTGCAGCCAGATGTGTTCCCAGGAGGCTCTGCTTTCCAGCCAGATGTAAGGCCTGGCCACAGTGTGGGACTGGGTCTGCACAGTGTGGGACTGCAGGACAGGGTCCTGCAGGTGGCCCTGCCAGGAGTCCTGCCATATCCCTACCAGAATACCACCCAGCCAGGCCAGGGCTGAGCTGGACGCCCAGACCCCCAGGGCCAGGATACACCGGGACCCTCCTTCCTCTCAACCTCGGATCCTCTTTGCCCAGAACTGTGTTCCCAGGTGGCTGACGAGCCTGTCACGTGCCAGCCCTGCGCTGCCTGCGCTCCTCTGACCGGCTGTGGTGCTGGCACAGGCCACACTACTAGAGACAAGGCAGTCCCCCCACCCCCAGGCTCTCCTGGACCCTGACACTGGAGGTTGGTGGGATATGCTTTCTCCACCTTGTACCACACTGAAGTTTTGTGGGGCACAGTGTGTGCCGAGGTGGGGCCCCCGGGAGCCAAGGACCCAGAGGTGGGTGAGGAGGAGCCGCCTGCCTGCAGCCCCACTGTGGCCTGAGTGGTGGGGGAGTAAGGACTGCCCTGTGTGCAGGAGGGGAGACCCTCGTGGGCACGGTCCCAAGGCTGAGGGGGTCTGAGGCCCCAGCCCAGGGGGCAGGCCTCAGACGCAACCCCAGTTGGGCTTCCATGTGGAGAGAAGAAGCAGGCGGCTCCCAGGGAGTCACTGTAGGACACCCCAGGCTCCAGCCCTGAGAATCACCTCTCCCCAAGGGCCAGCTCAGCAGTGGGGACCAGGTACCCAGCAAGCGGGCCTGTCCCCAGACCCAGGGAGAGGCAGAACATCCCCCCAGCTCAGATGGGGGTCAGTCTGTGGCCACCATCTTCGGATGAGAAAGTGGAGCCGCTGCCCTGGAAGAGCTGTGTCTGAACCAGGCTCCCAGCTGTGCCACGGCCCAGGCAGACGCGTTTTAAAGGCCCGAGCCCCGTGTGTCGGGGCTTCTCAGGCAGGGCTGTTGTGCAGCCGCCACCGTGTCAGTGGGACTGGGTCCCAGGTGTCCCTCGCACCCCTTCGGCACTGATCGTGTAGGAACAGGAGGAGGGGGGCAGGTGGGGGGCAGAGAGCACCCGCAGGGTCCGGGCTGGGCAGCCGAGGGCAGCCTCTTCCTCGCGGAGCCGGTCAGCCAGCAGTCTCACCAGGAGCTGGTTAGCCCAGGTTATGCCAAGGGCTGGGGAAACACGTTCGTCCCAGAACCTGAGAAACAGGAAGCAGGCAAGCTGGCGCTCAGGCTTGGTGGCCCCGCCCACTTCGGCCCAGCTGTGCCCCTGGCACCTGCACAGAGGTGCACACACCACATGGCTGCACTCACCCCAGCGGCCCGTGTGCTGCGCCCTGCTCCTCCATGGCCTCTGTCACCTGGAAGAGCACAGTCCAGGTCAGCTGCAACGGCTGAGGGTCTTCTCGATGGTTAGGCACAGGCTGCTACCCGCAGGAGCCGGAGGCCACCTCACTGCCACCCGCCCCACCTCCAGACCGGCTCTGCTTCCGCATCCTGGCTAAAAATACGAGCTCAGGGGTGCAACCCTGCCTTGGTGCTCACCTGGTTGATGCACAGCACAGGGCTCTGGAAGGCACTGCTCAGCTCACGCAGCGTGGCCCCCAGGGACTGCAGATGCCTGGCCCTGGGGGCGGAGGCCTGGCTGTCAAATTCACAGCGGAATGGGGCTGCCACCGAGTCGATGACCACCAGGCGAGCCATGCCCCGAGACAGCAGTACGGGGACCTTCTTATTCACACACTCCAACAAGGTGTCCTGTGGGGACAGCTGTCATTGTCTATGCTGGTCAGCAAGTCCCCGCCCCAGGTGACCAGACCCCGTTTGGACTGTCACTCGACCGTCTGAAAACCTTCCTACCCACCTGGGGCTCACAGTGCCCATACTCTGTAGTCCCCATACTCTGAGCCCAATTCTGTATTTTTCTCAAAGAGGCCCCAACTATAGAAGCTTCAGGCTCACACAACTGGTTCCCTTGGCCCCATGTCCTTCCTCTGGCCCCCCCAGGCAGTCACCCCTTGGCTGTGCCAACACCGTCCTCTGTAGAGGTGTCCTTTGCGCAGGCTCCTGAGTCCTTGCGGGGGTCTGCTCTCCTTCTGCCATGGTTTCACCCTCTCCCCCTCACAGGTCAGCAGCAACCAGCCCCCTCCTTCAGTGGCCCCGCACCAGGTACTCAGACCACCCAAACCTGGCCACAGTGCCACCAAAGCCAGCCCGTGGTGGCCATGACCTCTTCAGACGCTCAGCAAGGCAGGGGCCTGATGCCCTTCAGGCGTTACTCAGGCGAGTCAGGCCTGGCCTGCCTCTGCCAAGGCGTGGGGCACTCTGGGAGACCACCTGGGGGTCAGGATGGGGCTGTAGGTTGAGACACCCTCAAGGCCAGTGCCTCCCGTGCATCCAGGCCTTAGCCCTGTGCTCTGAGCTGGCCTGGCCTGGCCAAGGGGTGGAAACAGCCCTGTGCCCACCAGCTCCCAGGAGAGCTTCCAGGGGAGGACCCCCCCAGTGAAGGCAGGTGTCCTCGGCCTCCCTCTGGGTGCTGCCGTGGCCTGTGGGTGCCAGAGCCATTGGCATGGCTGGCCTGGCCTCTGACCGCACAGCTTGGTGAGCCATGGTGATGGGGGAGGGTGACACAGCTGCTCCTGGCACCAAGCAGTGTAGTTCAGGCCCCACGGGCCTTGCCAGCAGCTCTGGCCAGATGGAGGCTGCTAAGGGGCCCCTAGGCTGTCCCTCAAGTCCAAGGTCTGCAGCCACACGCTGGTGTCACGCCCGGAGCTCTGAAGACGCCTGAGGGCCGCCTGCACGCCCTGAGTGAAACTCGTCTGTGCTTCATCTCCAGGGCGTCTCTGGCCGAGCCTCTTTTTGTGGAAAACGACAGCAGCAGCAGTGGCCTGGAAGACGCCACCGCTAACGTGAGTCCCACGGCCTGCAGCCCCAGGAAGCAGGCAGCTGGGCCAGGGAGGGACTTTGCACATGCAGGGACTGGGGGGAGCTGGGGATGGGCAAGTGGTGACTGCTGCTAGCTGCCAGGCTGGGCCTCCAAGAGGGGCTTGGCTCAGGGTCCCCATCCTCATGCAAGCCCAAGGGCCACAGAGTGGGGGGGTGGGAATGGCACCAGGCTCTGCTTATGCAAGAGAAGGCTCTGTGTCCACACCCCTGGCTTCCCCCGTGCCAGACGCAGGCCTTTGGTGCTCCAGGGAGCAGAGACCAAAGACGCACCAGTCCCCCATGACCCCTCGGCCCCAGGGAGGCTCACAACCAGCAACACCCTCTTCTCTAGGCAGACTTGGGGTGGGGGTTCCCCAGAGAGCTGTTTCCAGAACAGAACTTAGTAACACTGTCAGGTTTTGGCGGCCCAGCCCTGACCTTCTATCTTCTCTTGCAGTGACCCCGACCTGGCCCCGCTCCAGGATGGGACTGCCGAGTGTGGCCCGGAGCTGGCCCGGGACAGCCAGGGCGGCAGGGAGGGCCCCTGGCCGGGAGCCGCAGCGCTCACTCATTTCTCCTGCGTCTGTGTGCATAGGACATGATACTAATAACCACACGGCTGGCGTGACCTTGGGGCTGGGGCTGGGCCTAAGCTGGTGCCCTGGTGCGGCGTGGTCTCTCCCAGGAGACCTGGGGCATGAGCTGGGCCCACGGCTCCCTTCCCATGTGTAACTTCCTCACGTTGTGTGCGATAACGTATTTTATTGTACATTTTTTTAAATTAAAAGTTTATATGCCTTATGCTTTACTTGAAAGTTTTTATAAGACCTCTTAGAAGTGGGGGAAGGCTGGCGGGCGCGGTGGCTCACGCCTGTAATCCCAGCACTTTGGGAGGCCGAGGTGGGCGGATCACCAGGTCAGGAGATCGAGACCATCCTGGCTAACATGGTGAAACCCCGTCTCTATTAAAGATACAAAGAATTAGCTGGGCGTGTTGGTGGGCGCCTGTAGTCCCACCTACTCTGGAGGCTAAGGCAAGAGAATGGCGTGAACCCGGGAGGTGGAGCTTGCAGTGAGCTGAGATTGCACCACTGTACTCCAGCCTGGGCGACAGAGCGAGACTGTCTTAAAAAAAAAAAAGAGAAGTGGGGGAAGGCCCACCCAGGAGCTGCTCTGCCAGGCCACAGCCATGTCTAGGGTGGGCTGGACATGGCAGCCGCTCCCCCTGCACAGGGTGGAATTTCCTTACTTGCCTTTGGTCAGGGGTTTACTCCCAAACGTCCCATCTTTTCTTCTGCGTCTTTTCTACTTCATCACTTCTCCCTCCCAGGATGATGTCTATAAACTAAGCACTGACAGCTCACAGCACTGCTGCCCCAGCTGCAGGGATGGGTCCCAGCCTCTCTTGCCTGCTTCTTGGCTACAGGACGGACTCCACTGGCCCCCGGTGAGTGGCCCCTGCTCTCTGCAAGGCCCTGCCATAGGTCCCTCCTCCAAGCCCAGCCAGTGTCTGCAGGGAAGCCAGCAGCCAGGCAGTGGTCAAGGATCTGAGGTCACCTGTCTGAGCTGGGTGCCCAGCAGGCCTTGGCCAGGTGGAGCCCCTGTGCCCCTAGTGAGGGCCGTCTTCCCCTCAGGGGCAAGGGGAAACCAACACAGCTATCTCACCAGGGCAGCAGCCTGGAGAGCAGGTCGCATCCTTCTCAGGGCGGTGGTCTCCTGGGGCAGCTGGTCAGGGGCCCACAGCCCAGAGGAGGTCCTTGCCACCCGCCTGGGGCTTCTCTTCCCCACTCCGTCTTCATGGGCAAGGTTGACAGATGGTGTACAGGCGCCCAGTTACATCTGAGTTTCAGATCATGAAGAAAGTTGATCTGAATATGGGCATCCTCATTCTAGAACACGCTTCAAAGCTGCCTGAGATTCAGATGTAACTGGGTGTCGCAGCCTGCCGCCCTGCCTGCCTGGCCCACAGCCACTCCTGGCCAGGATTCTGTTTGGCCAAACTGCCGTCAGGCTCCTGAGCCTCCTCCTAGGCCCATCTGTGCACGTCCTCATGAAATCCAGTTTTGGCAATCCCTGCTGAGATTGTAGCAGGACCCCTGCTCTCCGTATCCAGTCGCCCTCAGTAGCTGACTGGTCCATCCTCCACAGTCCCCAGAGGCCGTCTGATCCCCAAGGCACACCTTCAGCAAGGGTCCTGGCAGGATGCTTTAGCCAGAATTCCCTCCCCTGCCAGTTCCTCTCAGTCACTCTCCATCCTCTGACCCCACCTGCTCCTCGGGCGTAAACCCCCATGACCCATGCTGTGTTCAGAGCTGAGCCCCAACTCTCCCTGCCCTGCTGTGAGACCCCATTGCCGTGGTGGCTACACCTGCCCCAATGGTCCTGAATAGCTTGCCTTGGGGGTGTCATGGGGCTTCTCCCACACTCACCACATCGGCCACGTGCTCGATGAAGATCTGGCTGCCAAATCGGAGCTTCTGAAGCAGCTCTCCTGGAACGTCAGTGCGCAGCCGCGGCTGCTGGGCCATGAGCTGCTGCAGGCGCTTGTGCGGGAAGGCGTCTTCCGTGCAGATGTAGACGGCTCCTGGGAAGCAAGAGTGCCTGATGTGCCCAGGGGACTCCAGACGGGCCTGTGACTGCCACACAAATCAAGTGCAGATGTCTCCCGCCATTTCTAACTCTCTGCCCCTCACAGGTTCTTTGCCCCTCGCCTGGGGAGGGAGGAGGCTGGTGCTTTTTCTCACCCTCCCACTGGCAGCCACCTCCGGGGCCAGGTGACCCCTCAGGAGGAATATGGGCTGGGTCTCCACTTCTGACACCCAGGCAAGGACTTCCCCTGTCCTGGGCCCTGGGCTGGAATGGCCACAGATGGGAGGCCTCTCCTGCTCCACCCTGCCCCTCCTTCCCCCTGTGAACCTCCGTTCCCCACTGCAGGGCAGGGAGCAAGTGGCAGCATCAGGGCAACGCCTTCTGGAAATGGCCCCTGAGCCCCGACACATGGCCACCCTCAAGGCCCCCACTGAGCAAGCGTTTCCTCTCTTCAAAGCTCCTGCAATCTGGGCTCCATGGTGAAATTCAAAAAGCCAGCTTGAAAAGACACGTGTTGGTGAGGATGTGTAGGAGGCAGACCCCTGACCCCTGTGCACTGCCGCTAGGAATGTAAAATGGTGCAGCTCGGAAAACAATCGGTACTTCCTTAAAAAGTTAAACAAATCACATGACTCAGCAGCCCCACTCCTAGGTAGATACCCAAGAGAAAGAACGTCCACCGTAGCACGTTTCATGACAGCCCGGGGGGAGACGGCCCAAAGGCCATCAACTGAGGAGTGGACGAATGAAGTGCGGCCCATCCTTACAGTGGGATGATCGAATCTTAAAAGGGAAGGCAGTTCTGACACCTGCTCCAGCACGGATGAACCTCGAAAACACAATGCCAATGCAGGAAGCCTGTCACGAGACCACGTGCTGTCCGGCTGCACTTGCATGGAGCTCCCAGGACAGGAAGAGTCACAGGTAGGGAAAGGGGAGGCAGGCTGCTGGGGGTGGGGGCTGACTGCTCATGGGTAGGGTTTCCTTTTGGGGTGAGGGAACTGTTCTGGAATTGGATAGTGGTGACGGGCACAGAACTTTGTGCTTCTATTAAAAGCCACTGAATTTATTTATTTTATTTTAATTTTTGAGAGACAAGAGACTCACTCTGTCGCCCAGGCTGGAGTGCAGTGGTGCGATCTCGGCTCACTGCAACCTCTGCCTCCCGGGTTCAAGTGATTCTCCTGCCTCAGCCTTCTGAGTAGCTGGGATTACAAGGCGTGCGCTACCACGCCCAGCTAATTTTTGTATTTTTAGTAGAGACTGGGTTTCACCATGTTGGTCAGGCTGCTCTCGAACTCCTGACTTCATGATCCGCCTGCCTCAGCCTCGGCCTCCCAAAGTGCTGGGATTACAGGCATGAGGTACTGCGCCTATCAGGCCGAACTGTACACTTTTAGAGGGAATTTTATGGCATGTAAATTACATCTCAATTTAAAAAACAGGAAGGCTTAGGGGGACTGATTTGAGTAATAATAAAACTCCAGTTTCCTGCAAAACAAAAACAAAAAGACAAGGCCGGCGAGCTCTCTAAGCACTGACTATGCCAGGAAGGCTGCCCAGCCAGGACCCCGTGGCCCACGGGGCGTCGTCCTGTTCCTGCAGTGGCACATGCAGTTGTGGGAGAGCCAGTGCCCCCACGCCGTGTCATGCAGCCTGTTTGTGAGTGTCCGCGTAACCTTTAATTCTGAGCTGATTTTGCTTTGACAGAATTTCAAACGTAAAGAAGAGTTGCAAAAATGGGTCAGGAACCCCCCGCCCCATTCTGTGTCAGAACTAAGCTTCTGAGAAGCATCTGGCCCGCTTGAGGCCAGGAACGTATAAATACTGCCTTGGGAGGCCACATCCCTTTTGTGGCTGGTTCCCTTCCCCACCAGTGTCCCCAGCAGTGACTGTGCCCCTAGTCAGGAGCCACAGGAAGGTCGGGGCCCTGGGCTTCCTCCGTCCTGTTGGCTGGAGAGAGGCTGGGCTGGAAGGCTCGGAAGCAGGTGGAACCGGTCAAGCAGCGTGTTTTTGTTGGGGTGACGTTATGTAGGGGCTGCACAGTCATGGGGACATCGTGAAGCTGGCAGGAGGGTGGCTGTGGACAGCCCAGCGGTGGGCGGGGCCCCAGCAGGCCTGGGAGAGCCTCACGCGGCTTAAGCACGGGAGTCGGAATCACTTCAGAGCCCGCCTGCCGCTTTCTTTTCAAAATTCGGGCCTTTAGATTGGATCCAGGAAAGGAAGTCATTTCCCCAGGAAAGCACATCTGACCCCTAACCTTGCATGTGGTCACGGTGGCCGTGGGGCCCCCTCCCTTCCCCTGGCCCGCAAGGCTGGACTGTGCTGTCATCCCGCAGCAGTCACTGGGCTGGGCACAGCTGGGGGATTCAGGGAGGGTGTCCTAAGGCTTCTGTGTCCCTGGGTATCGGGGAGTGTGGGCTTCACTGAAAAGGCCAACGGGGTGGAAGCTGAGGGGGAGTCATTGCACAAATCAGATTTGCACGAAGCCTGGCACGGAGGACGCTGGAGAATGAGGGCGGCTCCCGTCCCGTTCCTGAGCACGCTCGAGTCCCGCCTCCACCTCACAGCAGCTCTTCCGTGCGGTAAGCGGGAGACTCCCATTTTCAAGGCCAACTCCTGTCCTCCCGGCTTCTGGCTGTCTCCAGGCTCATCCCCAAGACCAGCCGCAGGGACTCAGGCACCTGACAAGAGGGTGCCCTCCCCTGGGCTGCAGGGACAAAAATGCCTGTGGCGTGAGCAGACCCCAGCTGGGCTCTCAGGAGACCCCTCACCCTCCACCCGACACGGAGGCTCAGGAGACCCCTCACCCTCCACCCAGCACTGAAGCTCAGGCAGGCACAGCACACCCTGGGTCCTGGGGATGACGCTGACCTGAGGGTGGCAGAGGTGAGGTTCCCAGCCACACCGCTGCTGGCAGGTCAGGCCCGTGAGGAGGTGGCTGGCTGGGCCTGTGGGTCCAGGGCCTGGGGTCCGGCCCTGTGTGGGAAGTGAGCCTAGCAGATGTGCTCGGAGGTGCCACCGATGAAAAAATACTGCCACTCTGTTCACGTGGAGTTTAAGACAACGTGGGAATCGCATGTTGACACCAGGGAATTAGTTTAAAAGTTAAGGAGCTACTGAGAAACATCTCTCCTCCTCACAGCTCACAGTTTAAAACTACGTGAACTTTTAACACCTGAGAGACCCAGGCAGGCATGCTCTGAACGCTTTAGTCCAATGCAGGGAACCCTCGTTTCACAGACAGAGCGTACAGGCTCACGGGGCCGCGCCAGGAGCATACCTGGCCTGGCGGCGGGGCACCCGGGGAAAGGCTGTGCTGCCCTCCCTGCGTTGCTGGCTCTGTGGACTCTGGGCTTGGCAGCTGTGCGGAACGTGGGCCGGCATCGCTGTGCTCAGCCAGCGACCCCTGGGGGCCTAGCTCTGCTGAGGGCCGGCTGCCTGGTGGTGGGGTTCGTACCCTCCCACCCCTCCTGCTGTCAGCTGAGCCCAGCCTCACTTCCCCCTCCCTGTTCTGGAAGGAGCGAGGGCAATCAGGGTGAGAAGGAGGGAGACGCAATGGTAGGAACAGCGCAAGAGGCGGCCACTGCCCCACCTCAACGGAAAGCTGTCCCACACAAAGCAGGGGCCGCCCACCTGCCCAGACCCCACGGAAGGGGTGGCCACTCACCAGCCTCCAGGCCTCCGTGCTGCCGCGGGAACTGCACAGCCAGGCAGAGCTGCAGCGCCAGCTGGGTCTTCCCTGCCGAGCTGCGTCCGGCCAGCTCAGTGATGCCGTCCAGGGGCAGGCCACCGCGGAGCAGCGCGTCCAGCACCGGGCAGCCCAGGCTCAGGCGCTGGTGCTGCGTGGGGAACCGCTCCTTCTGCTGGTGCAGCTGCAGTGCTAAAGGGCAGGGATAGTGTCAGGCCTGACTCTCCTGGGCCTGCGGGCAGGGCTGGGGACTGCGGGAGGCATGGTCAGCCTGCCTGTGCCAGGTGCAGTGTGGCTGGAGCACAGGTGCCTGCGGTCATGGGGGTGAGCAAGGTGCTGAGGGCAGGGAGGGGGGCCCAGCCGGGAAGGGCGGGTGCACCTGAGATGCAGAGTCAGGGGGAGCCCCAGGGCCACCATCACATGCCCGCAGGGATCCCCCTATGGGGCAATTGCAGCACCAGACGCCTTCAGCCAAAGCTTCCAGAGAGCCCCGAGGCGCTCCCTAACAGCCTCCATGTGAAGAAAAAGGCACAGCTCTGTCCAGCTGGGATGCCCTGGGGTGCTGAACAGTTCTCAAGCGGCTTTAATGGGCTCCCGCAGGCGCGCACACATGCACACCACATGCCGTCAGTTCTCTGTGACAGATACCATTCTGGAGCAATGCTGGTCTCAGCCTCTTGGCTAAAGGGCCTTGGATGAGCCATTTGACACAGCCTCCTCCACGACACCGAAGCCCCTCAGGGCAAGGCTCAAGGTGGGACATGCGGTGCAGGCTGCGCTCTTGGCCTGGGGCCTGGGCCGGGAGGAGCAGCCCCTCCCTTGGAGTCTGCACACTGCCTTGGGCACCCCGTCCAGGTGGAGCAGGCCACCCTGACTGTGAGGCCTGCCCAGAGCCCTGCCCACAGCACCGTGTGTGTGGCCGTGGCACCTGCCCACCACGGCAGCCCCAAGTTCAGCACGTTCCTCGGGGCCTGGGCCACTGAGCCACCTGCAGGGGAGAGAGGGCCCTGCTCATGCCAGGACCCCGCTGCCTACTAGGGCCTGCTGAGATGCAGGGATGGAAACCTTGTCCGTCCAGGCGCATGGGGTTCCCTGGGTACCTCCTTCCCCTGCTGAGACCTGGTTTCCCACACGTGGTGGTGGGACCGTGGCCAGGGCCCCATCTCACACCGTTCCCACCCTGCCAGAGCCTGAAGGGCTCTGGGTGCTGACTGCCAAATCCACCCCTGCTTCCTGCACCCCCTCCTCTGGTCCATGGAGCAAGGTCCCCAGGAGGTCCCACAGCCCGTGTCCACCTCACGCATCTTCTGACCCGATGCTGTGACCACAGCCCCATGGGTGTAGGACAAGCAAGATGGGAACTCTGGGGCTGGAGCAGCTGCCACACGCCCTGAGGCTGGTCCCTGGGTGAAGTCTGCACAGCCCCTGCCCTGCACCACTGGGACCATGATGCTGGAGCCACATGTCACCCCTGGCAGAGATGCCAGGGCCCACCTACCTGTAAGGATGCTGCTTCCCCGCAAGTGTAAGGAGGCCGTTCTCAGCAAGTGCCAGACCTCGGGGCTGGAGAGGTTGGTCAGTCTCTTCAAGTCTGGTCCAGAAAAGTGTAAAACCTCCTTTACCGATTTCAGTTTGGCTGAAATAACACAGATAAATTACAGGAAAATGTCAGACTGTCACAACGCAGGGCAACACAGTGACAAAAGGTGCTTTGTTAAGAGCACTGTGAGAGCACCGTGCTTCCGATTCTGGGGACAAGGTGGGTAGGGACCGGATCCCCTGCTCCCTGGAAACCCTGGACACAGTGTGGCCGATGCACAGGCACGAGGAAAGGGCTGCTGGACACTGCGCCCTGAGTCCTGGCACTCGGACAGATACCAGCCTCGTGAGCTGGGGCAGAAGCCAGAAGACAGGGCTGGGCAGGTCCCGGTGCTGAGAGCAGGTTCCGGTACTGAGAAGAAACGACAGGCACCCAGTTCCATGCCAGCTGGAGACAGTGCTCCAGAAGGGGGCAGGAAAAAACCAGCACCGAGCTTTCCACCACCCGCCCACCAGGCATGGATCTGGGCTGAGCCGCGGGAGAGGACATGTGCCCTGGGGAGGGGAGCGCTGGGAGGGTAGCAGAGCCCAGGTCCAAACGCCAGCTGCGCAGGGCAGTCAGGGCAGGGGGCAGAGCATGTGCGAATCAGAACGGCGGTGGCAGCAGTTACAGGGGTGCAGATCCCCAGGACCTGCCATCTGGGGAGGAGGGCAAGGAAGTTAATTTTGGACTCAGATAAGTGCATCACTTTCTAATTTCAAACTTGTAGAAAGACGACAAATGCTGCAGACTGATCAGCCGATCAGGGAAGTGCGAGGAAGCGCACACGAGAGGGAGCAGTGGTGGACGAAGCGCCCCACCCGGCCACGGGGACTTACACCCACCACATCAGAAACCCCCTCAACACGGGTGCGCTGAACGCTGCAGTGAAAAGACAACCATTGTGCGGCTGGAAAACAGTAAGCACTGGTGTGATCTTCAGAAAAGCCACACAGAAAACACAAGGAGATGGAAGGGTGGGAATGAAGAAAGCGCCCCTGGGTTTCACCAGATCCAGCGGAGGGGGCTTCCCGCAGACAGGCTGCTCCAGAAGGCTCTGTGGGCCCTGAGGACTCACCGGGATCGGGGCTGTGGCAGGGCGCTCCCCCTGGTAAGCCTCACAGCCCCAGCCCCCTTCACAGCCGTGAAGTCTGCAGGGACTTCTGGAAACATTGGTTTTTGGATAAGAGACACAGGTGAGAAAGGAACTCCCTGGCTGAGCCCTTCTCTGTCCCTGGTCTGCAAGCGTCGTGTCTGCAGCTGTGGCAGCAGCTGTGATCACAAGGCCACCAACAGGAGGATAAAAACCAACAGCCAAGGATGGAGGGTCAGGACAGCGAGGCCCTGCCCTGTCACCAGGCTGCTGCGGCAGCTCCATGAGCACTCCGGCTTCTCGCCACAGACAGCGTGCTGAGGTTCACGTAGCTGAGGCCCGGGGAGACGGGGGAGGATGGAAGCTGGCAGGAGGGTCCCCGGATGACAGCCAGGCGGCTGGCATGGGGAGCAGGGGGCAGGGGCTGCACGTGGGGCCTGAGTTTTGAGCATTTACTAACTCGGGCGAAAAAAGATGCTGTAAGAAAGAAAACCATCCCCTGCACCACCACACCAGGTTCAACAATGGCCAGTATGCACCCAGTCACAACCCTGACAGCTGATGTCACCCAAACTAGGTTCTAAGTATGGGCAGGGAGCTGGGGGGAGAGGAAGTTGGGGTACACAGGTGTAGGCACGCTCAGTCCTCACAGCCCCCAAGAGAAGTCCATGGATAATCAGTAACACTGACAAATCAAACATTACAACATAAACACGTTTAGGAGCCCAGATGTAAATATTTTTTAAAAAAATAACTAAAAGACGGCCGGGTGCGGTGGCTCATGCCTGTAATCCCAGCACTTTGGGAGGCTGAGGCGGGCGGATCACGAGGTCAGGAGATCAAGACCATCCTGGCTAAAACAGTGAAACCCTGTCTCTACTAAATTTACAAAAAAATTAGCCGGGCGTGGTGACTGGCGCCTGTAGTCCCAGCTACTCGGGAGGCTGAGGCAGGAGAATGGTGTGAACCCCGGGAGGCGGAGCTTGCACTGAGCTGAGATCGCACCACTGCACTCAAGCCTGGGTGACAGAGCGAGACCCCGTCTCCAAAAAAAAAAAACTAAAAGACTTTATGTGGCTCCATTTTACCTTTTAGACAATATGCATGTATTACTTTGATAAAAATAAAAGTAACTGAAAGAAATCCATGTAGTTAAGAACACACACACACACACACACACACACACACCTGAAAATCCCATAGTACATCCCGCCCTCGGTTTAATAATCAGGGTAGGCAAAGGAAGGAAGGCTTAGCCAGCCAGCGTTTTGTTAACCTGCCTTATATAAACTGCACACACCCACCCACACCCTTTATGTAAATAGAAATAAATGTACCTTTCTTAATTGCAGCAATAATTCTGGGATTCAGGTCCAGTAGATCCAAATCCATTTTGTCGGTGGGCTGGCCACCAGGATGAATAACTTCCCAGGAAAGACAGAACAATGGATGCAAATTCTGAGGCACTCGCCTTCAATTCAAAGCCTGTGGGAGGCCCGAACCAGGGAAGTGACAGCAGCCGAGGTGTCCGTGTCATCGGGGCTCTGTCACTGAGGGTGGAGGAGACTTCACTGTAGAGGGAAGGCTGTCTAGCTACATCTAGGGCAACATGTCTGTCATTTACCTCTAAGAATTATTTAGCAGCTTAGAACCCATTCCAGACACTGATGCATTTGAAAAACCCCCCAAACCCACCACATTTACCTCCTGTGGAAAGTGCTAGAAATAAGACCATCCTCCTGCAGCAGTTGAGTGCCCTGCCCGACTCACCTCTCTGGGGCTTGGGGATGACCCGCGTGTTTTTGGCTGACTTGACTGAGGCATCTCTTGCACTCTGCAGTTTAATTTCCCTTAAGTGTCTCCCTGGGGACTCTGGAAAGAGTGGGAAGGTGAGTCTGGGATTGGCAGGGTGCTCAGGGATCCAAACATCAGTCGCCCCCAGCAGCCAACAGCAGAAGACAGCTTCCTGTGGGACGGGAGGAAGGTGCTGTGGACCCCACCCAGCCTCTCCCAGGAAGGGAGCTGGCAGCCATTCCACAGCCCGAGCCTGGCCCAGCAAGGGAGAAGCTCAGCTCTTCTCCCCTCCGGCCTCAGCAGGCTGCTCAGGGACTCAGCCTGGGGTCACATAAGGCCTTTCCAACAGGCCACTCTGCATCCCCTGTCGGCCTCCCAAATGGTGAGACCAAGAGTGTCCAGGACATGGGGAAACTGGAAGGCAGCAGCCTCGAGGGCCGGGTCCAGGATCCATGTCCTCCAGTGAGGCCTGGCGCCCTTGGCCGTAACCCAGCAGAGGAAAGGGCGGGCCGTGGACTTGGAGAAGGTTTTCCCTTGGACCACACAGAATGCGGCACTGGCCTGGACACGATCACGCTGGTCACTCGTATGCCCATGTTCAGCCTGCTCAGGGAGACAGGAACAGACTACAGGAGCAGCAGGCTGAGGCACGCCCCCAGGCACCCCGTGAGGCGGGCAGGGCAGGGAAGCTGGTGCTCCAGGATGCGTTTCCTGCCCGCGCACCAGGCTTGGCTCCCGGGCCCCCACAGCCTGTGGGTTTTCTGAGCAAGGGACAGGGAGGTGCCCAGGCCTGGTTGCCCAGGCAGGCCTGACAGGAACTGGCGAGAAGCCACCCTGGAGGGCCGGGCGCAGGCCAAGGCAGGGCGGTGGGGCGCTGAACCAGCTCCAAACTGCTGGCAGAGCTGGCCAGAGTGAGGAAGTGAGGTTCCCAAGCACAGAAGGCAAATCAAAAAGGAATGCCACCTCCAGGGAAGACACTACACTGCCAAAGGAGATGCGGCCTTGCCCGGCTCGAAAAGAGGTCATTTTCAGAACATGGGACTCTCCAAGCCCTGAGGACAGGAGGCAGCCTGGGGAGTATGAACCTCGCACCTGGTAGGGGACCCCACACCCGAGGTACCACCCAAAACACAGCCCAGATCTGCACGGAGGGATGGTTCCCTGAGCAGGCGTGACTGTCACAGACAGGCTGGGCCTGGGGGCTGTCGGGAGGCTGCTGTCCCAGGCTGGGTCTGGATACAAAACTTGGACTGTGTCAAGCAGCGGGACGCTGGCAGGAGCACCGGGAAGGCCAGCACGTGGCTGCAACGTCTCCCGCCTTCAGGACGCGGGCCGAGGCCAAGGCACCTGGAAGCAGAGTGTCCACTGACGGATAACAGACTCACCGGTTGGCCAACGGCAGTCCGGCTCCTGAGGCTCCTCCTGGGCCCTCTGTGCACATCCTGCTGAGAACTTGGTTTAACAGGCCTGGCTCAAAGTCTGTTTAGTGACGACCTCCTCCCGTGTCCCATCACCCTTGACAGCTGATTAGGCGCCTCATCTTCCACTGTCCCCCGGGCGGCCTGATCTGGCAGGTCAGTTGAACCTGCATCCCCTTCGCCCCTGGGGGTTCCTCTTAGCAACCTTCCATCCTCTGCCCCTGCCCAGCTCTGGAGCTGTAAGCCGCCACCAGCCCATGGCCTGTTCAGAGCTGAGCCCAGCCTCTCTCCCACTGCAAGACCGCAGTGTGGTGGTTCCCACATCTCTCAAAGGTTCTGAATGAAAGCCTGGTCTCTGCCTAACGTGCTTTCACAGATATCCTGGAATATTTTCCCTTTAACACCAAGCACCTGCCGCATCCCAGACACTGGCCTGGGAGCTCCACAGACAGCCCGGCACATGCCTCTGTCCTCTCGCCGCTGTGAGGGGCAGGGGTGTGACCAGCCCATCTCTCTACACCGGGGTGAAGGCCACACACAGGGAGCAGCCCACAGCAGGCAAGGGGCTGGCCCAAGACAGACCTGTATGTCTTCCTGCAGCACCCGAGCTGAGCAATGACTTCAGGGGGAGAGCTGATGTCACGTGCTGCTAGGTGAGTACGGACGGTCACACCAGAGCTGTTAGGCTCACACACCAGACTCTGGAAATGCCGTGGTTACTGCCTGGAGCTGCTCTGAGCCTTCCGAGGTGGACTCACTCCTCTGCCTTGGGCCCTGGGACCTGCTGTGTAGCTTTGAAGTGATTCACAGCACTTACATAGTCTGATGTTTTGGGGTGACCTGACCCCCCTGCAAGAGTGTGATGTCTTATCAGACCACATATGTGAGGACTTGAGTGAACTCCGCAACCTTGGGAATGCCACTTAAACCTTGTCAGACACTCCCTTATGTGAGTTACTGACCCTGACTGCTGGACTGCAAAAACAGACATCAGCTTGAAGGTTGTGCAGATGCTTTGAGGCAAGCTATACGCTGCTGGCCTGGGAGCTGGACCTCGGTCCCAGCTTCTCAGAGAGCTCCCGCTCTCACGCTCTCCACTGCTACCAAGGCAAACCTCGAACTCTCACCAGATCTCACTCTCCAGGGGCCCGCTCCATCCCAGCAGAGCAACCGGACCCTGGCCGTTCTGCCACTCACCTCCCTGCCGTGAATGCACCCCATCCATGGAGGCCCTGCTTCCCTGCCAGGTGTCTTCACCTCCTCCCCTCTCCTCCCCTCTGAGCACTGTGAACCCGAGAACAAATCTTCTTTGACAATAAACCGTGTGATTCGTGGAATCATACTTTGATCATCTCCTTATTTCCTCCACACACAAGGACCCCTGCACTGCCAATGGCCCCAGGAGAGGGCAGAGTCAGCCACAGGGACCCCACCTCACAGGCTTCAACACTGCTGATGCCTGTCATCCCAGCACCGTGGGAGGCCAAGGCGGCCAAGGTCGCCTGAGCCCAGGAGTTCAAGACCAGCCTGGGCAACACAGCAAGACCTACTCTCTACCGAAAAAAAAAAAAAAAAAGAAAAATAGCTGGCCAGTGTAGTGGCGCTTGCGGTCCCAGCTACTTGAGAGCCTGGGAGGTCGAGGTTGTGCCTAGCTGTGAAGACGCCACTGCACTCCACCCCGGATGACAGAGCCAGACTGTCTCAAAAAAAACAATAAAAATTCACGCCTTGTAATAAGGAATTAAAGGCAGGATGAACAAACATTTTCTTCTTTTTTTTGTGTGCTTTCTGAGATGGAGTCTTTTTCTGTAGCCCAGGCTGGAGTGCAGTAATGTGATCTCGGCTCACTGCAACCTCCGCCTCCCGGGTCCTGGTTCAAACAATTCTCCTGCCTCAGCCTCCCAAGCAGCTGGGATTACAGGCACGTGCCACCACACCCAGCTAATTTTTGTATTTTTAGTAGAGACGGGGTTTCACCATGTTGGCCAGGCTGGTCTTGAACTCCTGACCTCGTGATCCGCCCGCCTCGGCCTCCCAAAGTGCTCGGATTACAGGCGTGAGCCACCGCGCCCGGCCTAAAGGATTTTCTTTCCAAATCAAAGTATTAAAATAACTGTTCAGACCTCTCCCACTTCGATGCGAAGCCAGCGCGGTCCCAGGCGGACGAGCGAAGGCATCGAAGGCCGGGGGCGCAGCCGCGGGCCCACCTCGGCCTCCCCTGAGCGGACGCCTCCCCGCGCGCACCGGGGGCCCCGGAGACCGCCTTCCCCGCTCCGAACGCACGCGGCCCGGCCCCGGCGAGGTGCCTGAACGCTACCCGAGCTGCGGCGGGGCTCCCGGGGTGAGTGCTGCAGCCCCAGGCCCGCCTGCTCCCACAGGCTCGGGCAATGGAGACCCGCGGCCGCCCCCGCCCCTTGACCCTGCCTCACCCCTCACGCCCGCTGCCGCCCACGACCTCCGACCCCGCTGCCGCCCGGCTCGCAGCCCGGCTCGCAGCCCGGCTCGGCGGGCCTCACCTCCCGCGGGTTCCGCACTCCTCTTCCCGCCGTCCTGCTCCTCTCGGCCTTCTCCTCCAATAGGCGCCTAGCACCCTGAGTGGGCTACACCAATCAGAGACGAAGCGGCGCTAACGTGACTGACTAACTAACCAATCCAAAGTCTCAATCTCCCTGAGAGGGGCGGAGCGTACCCGGGCCAGCCCTCGCCGCCGATTGGTGATCGACCTCAGGGTTGCAGGGGCGGTGCCCTTACACGGATTGGAGAGGGCAGCGATGGGGCGGAGTTCAAGCTCCGATTAGTCCGCGCTCCGTGGCGGGCTTGGCGATTGGACGCCGGCGCTGTCAGCCGCGCGCGGACCGGGGCGGGGCGGGCGGTGCCCCGGGCTGGGCGAGGGGCCGGGTGCGGGGCCGCTGGCCGAGAGGCTGAGGCGGCGTCATGTCCTCCGAGGTGTCCGCGCGCCGCGACGCCAAGAAGCTGGTGCGCTCCCCGAGCGGCCTGCGCATGGTGCCCGAACACCGCGCCTTCGGAAGCCCGTTCGGCCTGGAGGAGCCGCAGTGGGTCCCGGACAAGGAGGTGGGTGGCCGTCGCCCCGGCCAGCGCCTCCGACCCGCCCCGCCGCCCCGGCCCGGCCCCGCGGGCTTCCAGGCTCCCGCGACGACCCCTCCGCCTCCGGGCGGCCCCTTCCCCAGCCGGCCCCCGCCCCCGCTCTCTCCCAGGTTGGCCGCGTCCCCGGGCCGCCGCCTCAGGCTCCTACGCCCGCGGGGAGGGCGGGAGGCGCGCGGTGTCCCGGTGCGGGGGTCCCGGGAGGGCAGGAGGCACCTGTCCAGGGCGGGCGCCGGGAGGCGGGGTGCGGGGCGCGGGCTGGTCCCGGGGGTGGGTGCGGCCCTGCCCGAGGCCGGTTCGTGCTGGGCTAGCGCGTGTGGACTGCGTCCCGAGAGCTGGGGCTCGCTCCCGAGAAAGTGGAAGGCGGAGCGCCTTCCTCGCAGGCTCGGTGGGGAGGGCGCGTGCTGTCCGCGGAAGCGCTGGAGCTGGCGGCCCCGCAGGGGTCCCTCCCGGGAACCGGGGGAGGCGTCGGTGCCGCGGGCGGGTGGCCGGTTCCGAAGCCACCTCCTGCTCGGAAGGAGGGCCAGGACCCAGTCTGCGGGCCAGGCTGCCCCCCGTTTCCCTTCGTCTATACCACCCTCCACCTCGGAAGCGAGGTCGCAGTCGCCCACTGGACAGTTTGAAGGAGACCGCAGATTTGCACCCGTTTCCCATGGGCCCAGACACGGCAGGAGTTGCCCAGGCCACTCCTGCAGACATTGGGGCGTGGGCGTGGGGTCCCTGAGCCAGGCCATCCGCTGGGCCTCCCGTGGGGTTCCCTGTGACCTGATCGGAGGTGCCTTTGCCTCACACCAGCCCCTTGGCCAACTGGGAAGGCCCCGAGTGCATTTAATCCCACTGGCTGTGCGCTAACAGGTGTGTCCAGTTTCTGTTCTGTGGATTTTACCACGATAAAAAAAAAATTGGGGGAGAAAAAGAATTTTTGTAATATGACTTTCATACTTAACACGTGTTACAGATTCGTTTAATTCCCTCAGTGATAGAACTAAGCAGACGTTGGAACTAGGTTCAAGAAGTCAAAGTAGCACTAATTGACTGGGTTCATTGAAGCTTGGTTGGAGGCCTGGTGGGGGGTGAGCGGCCACAGAGCCTCGGGGACAGGACGGAATTCGAGTGACTCTGGGGAAGTGTCTCTGGCATCTACAGTGTACGGAGCCATCACCGGTCACTGAGCGTGTCCTGGAGAGTTGAGACCAGTGCTGCCCACCTCTCCCCAGTATCGCCACCATGAGGAGTCTTTTTAGACACTTTCCGCCAATCATCCTCCTTCATCTTTTTTAAAATTTACTTTTAAGTTGACACGTGAAAATTGTATTTATGGTGTAACGAACTCTTAATAGCACAGAAATACTCTACGTCTGTATGAACCGTAAGGAGCACGTGAGAAAGTGTGGCCAAGATGAGGCAGAGGTTTCCACCAAAGCACAATTTCTTTCTCCCTGCTGTACACATGCACTGATCTTACGGTTCTGTTTTATAGTGAACCACTGTGTTCCCCTCCTTCATTCTCTCTTCCAGAGCCCTTCTGGTATCAGCTGAATTGTTTAGCATTTTTCCCTGCCTTTCTTTGTGGCCTCTGCTGAGGCACTGTGTGGCAGTCCCGCGGTGACTTCCGACTGAGTGGAGTTGAAACACTTGAGTCAAGGTGGCACCCCTCGTGGAAGAGAAGATTCATTCCCACGCTGGCGTGGTGGCAGGATACCCCTCCAGAGCCCCCCACCATGTTTGGATGATTAACTGGGATCTGAGCAGCTGAGGGAGGTCCTAGCATTGGGTGGGCTTGGGGGACAGAGAAACCATTCTAATAAGATGGACTTTGTCTCTGAGTTTTGCGTTGTGAATTGTATTGGAGCATGGTCTTACAGGCCAGAAACGACCAAAGACAGTGTTCTGGAGGAACTTAGAACGGGGCAGTAAGGGCTGGAAGATTTGGAATAAAGTCCAGCTTTAGGTGCAATAGCTCGAGGGGACATGTACGGTAACAGTCGCCTGGCATGTGGTGATGCTGAAGGGGACACTGAGCTACACTGTGCTGGCTGCGTGCTTGGGGCCGCTAAGGTGATTGTCGGGAGGTGACTCAAATGTGCAGATAACCAGTTGTGGGAAATAGGTTTATTTGAGGTGGTTTGGAATGGGGAGAGGAGAATTTGGTAGAACTTGGCAGGTGGGTAACATTGTCCTTGGCTTGGTGGCCGTGTGCCGATCGGCATCATCGTCATATCTGTAAACGTGTTGGTCCATTTTCATTCCAGCTCTGTTCTTAGCCAGGGGAGTCTGAATCCAGCCCAGTGCCCGTCTCCCGAATACCAGCTGCCTGACCGGGCTGGTTTATCAGTTTGGGCCCATGAGGGTTATCCCTTTAAAATGCTGCAAAACCCCCTGGGGAGCATGTGCACACATGCACCTTTCTCCGAGAGGTGGCCTGCAGCTCTCAGATTCTCAAGGCTCTGACGCAGAACCAGTTGAGAATCGTTTCTCCAGTCTGTGCCTCCTCAGGAACCTGTGGGGCAGGGGAGGCAGAGGCGGCGTGTAAAGCTTCGTGCGACACCACTTTGGATAGAGGTGCTTTGGGGGTGTGAAGGAAGCTTCAGATGATCTCTGGGGCTTGTCTGACTCTGCCATCAAATATCCGACACTGACGCAAGGCAGTGGGCTTGGGGGTGGGCGGTCCGGGCGTGCAGCCATCTGGGCTTGTCACAAGCAGCTGAGATCCTGAGTTTTATCCTTAAAATCCTTGCCGCTGTGCACCCCTCCCACCTCCCATCCGTGGTGCTGGCAGAAGAATGACCGCAGCTCCATGCTGGCGGGTTGACACTTTGATGGATACTCTAGATTCAGAGCCAGGAAGGAGAGAGCACGTGCGCGTCTGATCACGAGCCTGGACTCGGATGAGGAGAGATCTGAAGTGAGGACTGTTGCTAGAGGCGTCTGGAGCTGTGCAGCGGGGAGAACAGGGGACCCTGAGTTCTGCGAGGGTCTCACAGGCCAGGCCGGACAGGGCTTTTCTTTTGCAGGGAGGAGTGGCCAAGGCTAGAAAGAATCAAGCTGGGGAGGTGGGATGGGCCAGTGGAGGGTCAGGACCTCCAGCAGATCAGAGAGCTGAGGCCAGAATACAAAAATTAGCTGGGCGTGGTGATGAGTGCCTGTAATTCCAGCTACTTGGGAGGCTGAGACAGGAGAATCACTTGAACCCAGGAAGTGGAGGTTGCAGTGAGCTGAGATCGTGCAGCTGCACTCCAGCCTGGGCGACCAAGCGAGACTCCGTCTCAAAATAAATAAATAAATAATAAAAATTCAAAAATTAGTCGGGCGTGGTGGTGTGTGCCTGTATCCCAGCTCAGGAGGCTGAGGCAGGAGAATCACTTGAACCGGGAAGAGGAGGTTGCAATGAGCCAAGATTGTGCCACTGCACTTCAGCCTGGGTGACAGAGCAAGACTCTGTCTCAAAAAAAAAAAAAAAAAAGTCCAGGTAAGGGAATTGTGTTCCAGTTGATCATGAGGAGAAATGGCCAGTGTTTTCTGAGGCAGAGAATGGGAATTTGGAGGGCCTTGCTGCAGGTAAGCAAGGGGGGCATCTGTGATCTCCTCTGGCTCGTATGGGGAGGGTGGTTCTCGGTGGAAGGCTTTCCCAGCACACTGCAGGGTGGGGGGTTTCATAATTGTTTCCAGGATCTCAGCGCTTGGGTAAAGCTCACCCCTGTGAGGTGCCAGGGGCTGCCAGAGCCTCCACAGGTGTTCTGGGAACCAGCAGCCTCATGAGATACTGCCAGGGACACCAGCGAGCTCCTCAAGGGTCCCTGTGGCTGGCTAAGAGCTTTTTCTTTTTTGAGACAAGGTGTTGCTGTGTCACCCAGGCTGGAGAGCTGTTACTGATGTTAGGTAAAACTGAGACTTTGAAGCCACAAAAAAGGATTCCTGGGCGTCCTGTGGGAGGCCAGGCCGCCTGTAGCATAACCCTCCCAGGCTGTGATCATAGTGTCTGCACCTGTCACCGTCTTCAAACTGTCTGACAGCTTCAAATTGTAGAAAACTGATAGTAACGCACGTGTTTCTAGTCCCTGAGATGCAAGTAGATTTTGTCTCTCAGAGGTGAAGTTGATGTCCTCTCTCACACACCCCACCGCGGGGTCCCTGTGAGAGGAGCCAGTTTACAACTCATATCTTCCTTCCTCACGGCCTGTATCCATGTCTGCTCTTTGGATTCTCCTTTGAACTGGGTTTTTAGTCTTATTGGTTCTCTCATTAACTAATGAGGTAAATCTTTGACGTGGGTTCCTTTTCTGTTTGTAGGAGTTACGCTCTACCAGTTAAACGTGATTATCTTTCAATAAAGGTGCATTGATACATGCATTTAAATTGTTTTTTGATTGGCGAGTTCTTGGGGGGCTGAGAATTAGTTGACTGTGGGAGCCCCACCAGCCAGTGGGTGACGCTTCTCACTGTAGTGTGGGAGCTCAGAGTGCGTGGTGGGGCCTGATGTTTTTTGTCACCCCAGCCTCAAAGGGAGGGCAGGCCTATGTCCATGTCCAGCCTGTGTCCTGAGACTTGGTTCTTTTTATAACTTTTTTTGAACATCCATTTAAACTCCCTAAACTATACTTTCAGATTATATGGAGGCGCTTTTGGTTTCTTGCGTGCTGCCAAACCCCACTCTTTGGGGTGGGCCGGGTGCTGGTTCTGAGGAGCTGCCCTGTGACCCTCGAGGGGCCGTTCCTGTTGCATTGGAGTGGGGGAGCGGGTCTCGACCTGCAGGTCTCTAAGGAGCTCCATGCTGGTGTCTGCCGCACTGTGGAGGAGTGATGGGCTTCATGATTTCTGTTTTTTGTTTTGTTTGAGACGGAGTCTCACTGTCACCCAGGCTGGAGTGCAGTGGCGCGATCTCGGCTCACTTCAGCCTTCACCTCCCGGGTTCAAGCCATTCTCCTGCCTCAGCCTCCCGAGTAGCTGGGACCATAGGTACCCGCCACCACGCCCAGCTAATTTTTAGGTTTTATTTTGTAGGGACAGGGTTGTGCTATGTTGCTCAGGCTGGTCTGAAACTCCTGAGCTCCAGCAGTCCACCCACCTCAGCCTCCCGAAGTGCTGGGATTACAGGTGTGGCCACCACGCCTGACCTGGTTTCTTCTTTCATTGCTCGCGGCCATCTTGCTTACCCACCGGGAAGCCTAGTTTATGGCATCTGCCTTGACCGCCTCCGAGCATGTCATCTGGCAGGGTGGGTGCAAGTCAGTTGTGGTTTACTGGACTAGCAAGGAGGGGACAAGCGCCCAGGGCTCTGACTCCTGTAGGCAGCCAGGAGAAGTGTGTTCCGAAATTTCACTGGGAGCCGTCTGCATGCACCTGCCCTGATCCTCGCTCCCTCTTGGCCCCGCTTCCCTTGAGACAGCTCCTTCTGTGTCCATATAGCTTCCCGCCGAGCCTGTGATTGGCCCTGCAAGGTGGCCACGGAGGCCTCCCATGGAGGTGAGTGCCAGGCGCCCCAGAGAGGCCTGGGCCGAGGCTGCCTCTGTGACGCCACTGCACAGGGCACAGAGGGCTCCTGGAGAGCACTTGGGCCCCGCCGTCCATCCTAGGGGGCAGTGTCTGTCATTAGCGGGTTTATCTGCTTGGCTTGGGCAAGAGGGTCAGGCAGCAGATGGGTGTTATTAGGGGCACTGCCCAAGCTGACCTTGCCTCACTCTCCCTCTTCATCTCTGTGTGTTTGTCACAGCCTGCACCTCTGGCCTCGTGGCCCTCACTAAACACCTTTATTATTTATTTATTCATTTTCCTCACTAAACGTCTTGAGGCCTGTTTCATTGGGTTGTTCTTGGAGGTTTTAGTTTCCCCAGCGAATGTGCTGGTTTGAAAGTCTGCTCCAGCCCACGCTGGTGGTGACACATGTGTACCTGGGATGTGACGCAGAGGCTGGCATTCCAGACACCGCTGGCCACCTACGGTGAAAACGGATGAATCACACTTGGTTTCTGGGCTTTGGTGTATTCTCCCTAGCTCCTAAAATAGCTGTTCCACTGAGCATCAGAGCTGCGGGGTCCAGTTAAAGGAGGCGCTGGTGGGAGCCTGGTCTGGGGCCCGGCTTGCTGTCCTGCGCTTCCTTTGCGGGGCGTGCTTACTGGCGGGGTAGGTATTTGGCAGTAGTTTTACCTTATGTCTTCATCCATTGCTTTATTTCATATTAAATTGCTCTGTTGATAATTTTTTAAATTTCTTTCACTAATATAATCAATAGGAAATTACCTTATTTAAAAGCCTATACATCTAAGCTCCTTGGTTATTTTATAGTAATAAACTTCTGGATCACTTATATTTTTAAGGGGGCAAATCCTAGGTGTGGTCTGTCTCTTTTTTTTTTTTTTTTTTTTTGAGACAGGGTCTCACTCTGCTTCCCAGGCTGGAGTGCAATGGCATGAACATGGCTCACTGCAGCCTCGACCTCCTGGGCTCAAGCTGTCCTCCCAGCTCTGCCTCCCAAGTAGCTGGGACTACAGGTGTGCACCACCATGCCTGGCTCATTAAAAAAAATGTTCAGGCCGGGCACGGTGGCTCACGCCTGTAATCCCAGCACTTTGGGAGGCCGATGCAGGCAGATCACAAGGTCAGGAGATCGAGATCATCCTGGCTAACACAGTGAAACCCCGTCTCTACTAAAAATACAAAAAATTAGCTGGGCGTGGTGGCGGGCACCTGTAGTTCCAGCTACTTGGGAGGCTGAGGCGGGAGAATGACGTGAACCCGGGAGGCGGAGCTTGCAGTGAGCCGAGATTGTGCCACTGCACTCCAGCCTGGGCGACAGACTCCGTCTCAAAAAAAAAAAAATGTTCGTAGAGACAGGGTCTTGCTGTGTTGCCCAGGCTAGTCTTAAACTCTTGGGCTCAAGTGATCCTCCTGCCTCAGCCTCCCAAAGTGCTGGGATTACAGGCGTGAGCCACTGCTCCAGCAGTGTGGTGTTATATTTAGAAATTGGCCTTTCAGCTTGCCCAAACACAAACTGCACAGTAAATGTGAAAAGCAGTCCTCTTTCACCACCGTCTGCTGAGAATATTGAGAGCCCTCTCCCCTCCTGTCGGGCGCTGTGGGCCAGGGTCACCATGGAGAGACCATCAATAGTTACTCTCACTGGAACCTGGTGATAACGTGGCCTCGTGTTTGCTTAAGCTCAGAGTTAAAACCCCCGTGAAGCTTTCTCTAGCAGATTCTAGTGGATTCTGTGGCTAGTGGATGTCTGGGGTCAGGGAAGGGGCCACCACACAGAGGCAGGGACTGTGCCACCGCACAGCAGGCAGAACATTCCAGAACCGACAGGCCCATTTGAGGGCAATGGCAGGGCTGGGCTGAAGCACAATCAGGGCGGGGAACAGCCAGCCAACGCCCACAGCCCGTGGGCAGGGAGCCCCTGGCAGAGCTGCCAGCTGGACTTTTTAGATGCTTCCAGAAGGCTGGGGTGGGCCAGGCCTGGTTTCCAAGTCCAGGAAGCAGCTTAAAAGCAAAGGGAAACAAAAAAAGGCTGGTCGTGGGATCTCACAAAGCTCAGGACCTGCCTGCCTGAGTTGGGGCAGTGGCGACATGGAACTCGGCAGGGATGAGGCCCTCGTGTGGGTCGCGACGGGCCAGTCCTTGCTGCAGAATGGCGTCTGAAGGGCCCCTGATGTGCGCCACAACCGGGACCTCTGTCCTCCTACAGTGAGGGTACACGTGGCTGTGGGCCCCATAGGACTCCTTCCAGAAGCATCTGCAGAGTCCCAGGACCACCAGACTCTGTTTTGCCAACTAAGCACAGTGGGCACTTGGCACCTGATGTGGACTGTCTCCGAGCCCCCTGTGGAGGGGCTGCAGGCTTCCTGTGCTGCCTGTGTGGGTCCCGCAGGCTGGAGGGAGGCCCCTGCCTTTGCAGATTGCAGGGTGGCAGGGACACGCTGAGGGTGGCGGGGACATGGTGAGGGTGGCGGCTGTGATGGCACCGCATCAGAGCAGCTCCTCCACACCAGCGTCTTCTGGGGCTCAGAGAAGGGGTTGGACTTCCCAGAGAAGGGGTGCAGGGCAGGGAAGAGTCCCCATGCCTATGAGGGAGAGGATCAGGGTGGGGTGATGGAGGATCCGTGGCTGGGCCCCCAGACCACAGGGAGGCTGTGCAGCCATGTCAGAGGCGCTGGGGGATTGGGCGGCCGCGCGGTCCCCACCCCAGCTCAGACCCAGGGGCCTGTGTTCCAGAAGGTGCTCGGCCCCGGTGACCCCACAGGCCTTGCCTGCCTCCTTGTGGAATCAGCCCCAGCAGTGTTCGCCGGCCCAGGGTTGGGCTGGAACGGTGCCATGCGTGTGGGAGCAGCTTTCCCACGGAGGGGCCGAGCCCTGTCAGCTGCTTGTCGGTGCCAGCACAGCCCGTCTGTCCTTGGTGGAGCTCTGAGGCGGCTCTCGCGTTAGATAAGACGTCTGAGCTCTTGTGTGGCTTGGTAATGCTGTGGCCACCTCCAGTCTGCCTCCTTTTCGAGACTTCAGGCCCTCAGTTTATGCTCGCCAGGTAATTCCTGGTCTCGTTTGGGGGCCCCCTCCTTCCCCCAGAAGGGAAAAGGGGGCTCTTCGTGGAGCGAAGGTCTTCTCTTACATCTCTTTTGAGGATTATTGTGCTTAGAACATGGATGATTCTTGGTCAATATTCAGCCGAGCCCTTAATCATCAGAAGCCAAAAGACCCTCCATCTCTCCCAAGAGGACCCCTTTGACTCCCACCGTTCCGTCGCTGGTTCATTGAACCCACACCTGTTTCTGGTTCACCACCCGCCACCGAGGTCTCTGACAGCGAGGACCAAAGCGGGGTGTGCTTGTCACACCTTGTTTCATCCTTACCAAGGACCCCAGAGCACGAGGGTCTTGTTCTCATGAAGCTGAGGGAGGCGAGGCGTCCTGGGTCCCGCAGCCCCCAATGCGCTGCTGAAGGGCCTGCTGGGGAGCGGGTGGGCAGCACCGAGGGCCAGCTTTGAAAAAGGCTGTACCGGCTTACCAAATCCGGGGACCATTTTCGTGGCAAAAGTGTCCCTCACTCTGTTAAAAGAATGCATGGTGACACAGATTTCCTTCAGAGCCAGGTCTGAATGTCTTCCCCTTGGACTGAAGTCCCTGCTGTTAGAGCGGGGGAGCCGGCGGCGATGGCGGCGTCCTCGTGCTGCGCTCGTGCCGGCGTCAGGGTCCCCCTGCCATCTGGAGTGAGCAGGAGGCGGCCAGGCCAGGCCTTCCCAGCTGAGGTTTGGGAGTTCCGTGCCTTTGGTGCTGAGGGTGAGCGTGTTCACGGTGACTTCGTCCCTTGGTCATGAGGAGGTTCGAGCTAGGAACCCCCTGCAAGTGGTCAACGCATCCGGCTTGCTGTTCTAAGTGGAGGCGGCAGGCACAGCTGGGACCCACGCCCCTCAGAAGCAGGCTCTGTGGTGGTCGGAGCAGGCACCTCACCAGGCCACGCTCCATTTGGGGCTGCTGAGAAGCTGGCTGTGGCCAGTCCTGAGGTCTCTGCAGCCCTCGGGAGCTTGGAGGCCCGGCTGGTTTTTCTAAGGAGTTGGCCGGGTGGCCATGGCTGCCCACAGTGGGGTGTGACCTTGGGCTTGTGGCCTCCTCAGTGAGGGCCTCCTGGCAGGGGCTGAGAGCCCAGCGTCAGTGGGGGGCTTCAGCATAGACCACCACATGTGTGTCTCTGGGTGCTTGGTAAATGCACCCTGTGCTTCGGTGACAAGTTTTTTTGTCTAGTCAAGTGAAGCAGTGGAAATGCAGGGAGCATCTTAAATCTGTTTTATTTCTAACTGATTTCAATTCCACCTTTACCCTTAGGCCGACCAAGCATCTGAGGTGCCGGGACAGTACCACCTTGCCATGGGGCTTCAGGCCTGCTGTGACCCCTTGGGGAAAGTGAGCCCCATGGCCACCTGCCCAGTTCCCAGGTCTTGTGCTGTCAGAATTCCTGGTGGGCCCTGAGCCCAGTCACCTTCCTGTTTCTGTCTACCTTTGTACATTCTGTGTGCATAGAACACTCTTGGCCAACAAAGTCCAGCCTTGTGAGCCCTGGCTTGTGAGTCTTACAGCTTCTCTGTGCCTGGGTCCTCCAGCTGAGGAAGCATCTTCAGGGCGTCCCCAGGCCTGGCGCCCGCCCCCGTGGCACACACCGGCCTGCGTGTGCTTCAGCTGCTTCCAGGGGTTCCCTCACAGGCGGGGGTCAGGGCACGCACGCCAGGACTCCAAGTAAACTAGAATAATAAGCTTTATGTCTCAGATACCTGGGCTTTTGCCGGCTGGCGCGCAGCCCCAGAATCAGCACCTCCCCATGCTCGCCTCGTTTGTGAAGTGGGTGCTAGCACAGCCTTCCCTGGTTTAGGGGTTTAGGTTGGCTCTTGCTGTGGATTTCCTAGTCCCTTCGTGGCGTTGCTCTTTGGTTCCAGTAACAGGACCAGGGCTAAAAAGGCGTTGTTAAGGTGAACTGCTGTTGGGTCCAGTGTGGAGGGACCTGAAGTGCCAGGATGCATGCTCTGCTGCGAGACAGTCAAACCCCAAGCCCACCTCAGGCCCCATGGTTACGCTGGGTGCATCTCCCGCAGGCCTGGGAGCAGCCTGCACCCCACCGCATTGGCTCTGGAGCCTGGGCACAGGCGGCCAGTCCACCGTCCTGCGTCACAACCCTGCCTGCCTCAGGCTGCTTGGGTGCGTGGGGAGGTGGCAGGGCCCAGCTTTCTCAGCAGCCCGTGGTCGTGCCCCAGCGACGTGGTGAGTGACCAAGCTGCGTTTTAACGCTTTGTCGTGTCTTTCCTAGTGTCGGAGATGTATGCAGTGTGACGCCAAGTTTGACTTTCTCACCAGAAAGGTGAGCTGAGGCCGCTGAGTGGGGGTGGTGGGAAGAGGGGAGGGGCCCCAACAGGACAGCTGCCGCTGCCCCTTCTGGCAGGGGACGGATGTCATCTTATGGCTCGTTTTTTTTTTTTTTGAGACGGAGTTTCGCTCTTGTCGCCCAGGCTGGAGTGCAGTGGCTCCATCTCGGCTCACTGCAACCTCTGCCTCTCAGGTTCAAGTGATTCTCCTGCCTCAGCCTCCTGAGTAGCTGGGATTACAGGGGCTTGCCACCACGCCTGGCTAATATTTATATTTTTAGTAGAGATGGGGTTTCACCATGTTGGCCAGGCTGGTCTCGAACTCCTGACCTCAAATGATCCTCCCACCTCGGCCTCCCAAAGTGCTGGGATTACAAGTGTGAGCCACCACACCCAGCCGTTATGGCTCATTTTGAGTGTCAGCCATGCCCTGTTTCCGTGGAAAGTGACTGTGCTGATTCTGCCGGACGCTATGGGGTGGGGGTGCAGCTTGCGAGGCCTGTGCACCCACCTGCCCCCCGCCCCCTCTGCCCCCTCCGCCCCGTCCCCGTGCCGCTTTGCCCTCGTGAAGTGTCTTGCCCCTAATGTGTGCCCAGCTCATGGCGCCCCGAGGCGCGAGGGCGTCCTAAGCAGTGGGACTTGGGTAGTTGAAAGAAAGCTGAAAAACAGCCATTTTGATCCATGATTTTGAAAAAAGGGCCTCATTTCCCAGGTGAGGCGGATCCCCGCTGCGTGGTGGGGAGCCCAGGGGCTGGCGACAGGAGGTGCGCGTGTGCAGCGGCCGGCACAGGGGCCTCGCGTTTAGGCGTGGCCCGGGGAGTGCCAGGCCAGCCGGGGCCACACCCGGGGCCGCTTGTTCCCTGCCCCTCCTCACTGCCAATCCTCCCGCATCTGCCCAGCACCACTGTCGCCGCTGCGGGAAGTGCTTCTGCGACAGGTGCTGCAGCCAGAAGGTGCCGCTGCGGCGCATGTGCTTTGTGGACCCCGTGCGGCAGTGCGCGGAGTGCGCCCTCGTGTCCCTCAAGGAGGCGGAGTTCTACGACAAGCAGCTCAAAGTGCTCCTGAGCGGTAAGGACGGGTGTCCTGCACAGTCCCGCGCGCTCCGCCAGCCGGCTCCTCGTGTCTGTGGCGATGCTGTGGGCTGTGCACGGGGCGTTCTGCTTCTCTGACGTTCTCTCGCCCTCCCTCCCTTCCCCGTTTTCTTCTGGATTCGTTTAGAAGCGGTTATAGAGCCTTCCCTTCTTTTCAGAGGCGGAATGTCGTCTAAAATGTTGGTGCTGACTCCGCTGGGCACGTCCATCAGGTGGGAGGGGAGGCCCTGGGCCCAGGCAGCACCTTCCTCCTTCCCCCGGGTGGAACCCGGCGCCGGCGCTCGGGCGTTTGCAACCACTGTGGCTCCTCGGAGGGGCCGGAGACCTTTGCCCAATAGCACGATGCAGACCCGGTTTTGAGCCATCTCTGGGGACCTGGTGTGGGAGAAGGGCATTCTCCAGGGGCATAGGGTGTGCCTCCCTGGAATCTGAACAACGAGCAGCGCCTTCTCCCCACTGTCCGTCCACCTCTGGCCACTGCCGTCCCAGCCTCCTGTCCCCTGCCTGCCCGCCGTGGGGTCTGGGACCACCTGCCTTCCTGCCCACAGCTCCATCCTGTGTGAAACGGGCATGGTCCCTGGCTGGACGGTGGGCTTTGTTGTGCCTCCTTTCTGCTGTCTTGGTCCTGTCCTGCCAGCTCTTAGGACGTGTGAGCAGAGTGGTTTATTGTTCTTTGATCTGGACCTTGGTGATGAATTCCCTGCATCGTTTGAAGGATGTAAAAGAATTTCTAGGAGCTTTGTAAGCAAGCAGAACCTGTCTAGAGCAGCGCCTTTGGGTTTACCTCTTAAACCCTTGATCCATGACTGCCTTTTTGCTCAGCTGAAGGGGTCCTTAGAACAAAGCTGTGGTTTGTTTCTTGCTGTTTTTACTCTGTCCTCTGTGCGTGCGTCTCCTACTGGTACTCGTGGGAAGGGTTAGGTGGAAAAGAAGCAGGCCCTGTTCTCACGTTTGCTTTTGTGTTCCCAAGGAGCCACCTTCCTCGTCACGTTTGGAAACTCAGAGAAACCTGAAACTATGACTTGTCGTCTTTCCAATAACCAGAGGTAAGAGCCGGATCCTGCTTGGCACGGGGCAGCATTGTCACAGACCGGGAGCCTCGGTGGCACTGAGCCTGAGAATGACCCGATTTGGACACTTTTATTTGATGTAGATACTTGTTTCTGGATGGAGACAGCCACTATGAAATCGAAATTGTACACATTTCCACCGTGCAGATCCTCACAGAAGGCTTCCCTCCTGGAGGTAAATGCCAGCACGTCCTTTCCTAAGCCAGGAGGGTTTGGTGCCATGCGTGGGTGACAAGAGGAGCATGCACTTTTGGGATCAGGCAGCTGCCCTGAGGAGTGGGGTCTGCTGGGTTTCCAGGACAATCTGCCTTTCCTCTTTCGCGGGGCGTGTATTTACTCAGTGGCTTTAGAACTCGCCAGGTGAGTGGAGACTTAAACTGTAAGACAACAAAGGGACATTTGCCTCAGCATGTCATAATGATTTCCTCTGCTCTAAATGCTCTAACGTATCATTCGGTTTATTGTTGGATTCAAACCAAGGATAAAGCCCCAAATGCAATAACTGAGATCCCCAAAAAGGTCTGAATGGTGGCTCATCGGGAGCCAGCACTTCAGCCCTCCTCCTGCAGGCGTCTGTGCAGACTAAACCCCTGGTGCATTTCCTGGTGAGCTTTGGCCCATCCTGGGCCTCTCCACTAAACTCTGCTGACGGGGAGCTCGCATCCCGTTATCTGCAAACTGTGCTGACAGATGCGTGTGCCGTAACCCATGTTGCTTTCCTTCCGTTCTCTCACCGGCTCTTGGTTGCTCCTTCTCGCCACTGCCTGCCCACCTTCTTGCCATAGAAAAAGACATTCACGCTTACACCAGCCTCCGGGGGAGCCAGCCTGCCTCTGAAGGTCAGCCTCTTCCTCCTCACCGGGGCTCCCCGCATGCAGCGGGCCCGTTCCTCCCCTCGCCACCTGGCTTCTGTCCACGGGGTGGTCCATGCCAAGGTTCTTTGTGAAACCTGAATTCACTTACTTTGGTTGACTTAAGAGAGATGTTGGATCTGATAAGTGGGTTTATAAAGCATAAATGAAGATACCGCAGCAGATGTACTTTCTCAGTTCTGTCTCAGCGGGAGGGTTACCCAGCAATTGACAGCTCTCTGTCAGTACCTGCCAGCCCTGAACAGGCTGAGGCCAGGGGGCGTGGGGGCTCACCTGCCCTTGGGAGCCTCTGCCAACACTGCCCTTCCCCCCGAGGCCTGCTGCTCCCCAGCTCAGTGTGGCCTCCTGGGACCCCTGACTCTCCTGGCACTTCTGTCAGCCTCCTGGATGGTGAGGTGAGATGCCCAGGCCAGTGTTCTGTCCTGAGCTCAGGGATGTGTGTGGAGCCGGGATGGCATCAAGCTGGTTGCCTTGAGCAGGCTGCAAGGTATAGATGCCCAGGTGCAAAGGGTAGGGTCTGGAGAAGCGGGGGTCACCCCAGGCACCCCTCTCTGCCTGCCTCCTCCTGGGGAGCCTGAGGCTCAGATGAAGGCCAGTGTTTAGGGGCATCAGATGAAGGCCAGTGCCTCAGGAGGCCAGGGCAACACAGCCTCCCGGACTGCTCTCCCGGGCAGACCCTCCCCAGGGCTTCTGGCACTGTGTCCCCCTTGTGGTGGCTTGGGGGGTGCAGTGAGCCCCGCTCTGCCCAGTCTCAGTAGAGCCCTTCAGACCCCAGCACCCTGTCTTCCGGTGGGGGTGGGGACAATAGGAACAGTCCCCTGACCTGAAGGCAGCCAAGGGGCCGCCTGCCAGCCTGGGCCCTGTAGGGCAGGCCACACACTCATTCTTTCAAGGCCAGATAGTAAACCTTTGCCAGCCACGTGTGCTGTGGTGAAGGCGGAGGCGGCTGCAGAAGACAGGGTGACAGACGGCCATGGCTATGATCCAGTGGTGCTTTATCAGGCAAATGCAGGCGGTAGGCAGAGCCATGGTCGCCCTGCTCTAGAGCCTAGGCAGGACGTTACACTGACAGGCAAGGTTCCCCAGTGTTGGGGGTGGGGGTGCGTGCCCTAACCACAGAACCGGGCTTATGAAAGTGTGGTTCTAGAGGCCCGGCATGGTGGCCCACGCCTGTAACCCCAGCACTTTGGGAGACTGAGGCGGGCAGATCACCTGAGGTCAGGAGTTCGAGACCAGCCTGGGCAACATGGTGAAACCCTGTCTGTACTAAAAATACAAAAATTAGCTGGGTGTGGTGGTGGGTGCCTGTAGTCCCAGCTACTCGGGAGGCTGAGGCAGGAGAATCGCTTGAACCCAGGAGGCGGAGGTTGCAGTGAGCTGAGATGGCACCACTGCACTCCAGCCTGGGCAACAGAGACTCAAAAAATAATTAAAATAAAGCCAGGCACGGTGGCTCATGCCTATAATCCTAGCACTTTGGGAGGTTAAGGCGGGCAGATCACCTGAGGTTGGGAGTTCGAAACCAGCCTGACCATCATGGAGAAACCCCGTCTCTACTAACAATACAAAAAAAAAAAAAAATAGCTGGGCGTAGAGGTACACGCCTGTAATCCCAGCTACTCAGGAGGCTGAGGCAGGAGAATCACTTGAACCCGGGAGGCGGAGGGTGCAGAGCCGAGATCGCACCACTGCTCTCTAGCCTGGGCAACAAGAGCAAAGACTCCGTCTCGGAAAAAAAAAATGTGGTTCCGGGGCCTCCCAGGGGACAGCGTGTCATAGGTTGCTCAGGCCTCCAAGCACGGTCGGTGGGCCTCCGACTGCAGCCTTGGTGCCCACTCCACCAACCGGCAGAAGAGCCGGCCCTGAGTGCTGATGGGGGGATGTGTGTCTGATGGAGGGGTCTCCTGAGAGGTCAGTGATTGCCTACGATGGGGCTTCCCTCCCAAGTCATCAAGTTCATGGGAGGCTGCATCCCATGGGTCTCTTTCAACACCAGCCCTGACTGAAGAGCTGCTCTCTTCAGCAGTGTATTGTTGGAGCGAGTGCTGGAATTGAGTCATTGTCACTGGAACAGCTGGTCACCGCCCAAAGACGGGGAGCCTGGGTCCCAGAGACCAGTCCCCAACATGGGTGCTGGGTCTGGGGAGATGGCCCGTGACCAGGCTGGGGTGGCATTTCCCTGACACTGGGCCTTTGTAGTGACAATCCCCTCTGTGCTGACGCCGCTTCTCAACGGTGGGATGGCTGAGGCCTCTGACTCCTGGGTGAGGCCAGCTGTGTCCCTGACCATCTGCTTGGCCTGTCAGTGGCCAGGGCACTCTCGAGGTGGCCTCCACTCTTCCCCCAGCCCTGGGTGCAGGTGGGCACCTCTGCAGGAGCCAGTCTTGTCTGGAGGTTCTCTGAAGGCAGGAACCCCCACAGGCCCCAGGGCATAGCAGCGCCTCAATTAGCCGAGAGCAAGGCCTCTCGTGGTGATGTGGCTCTTGTTGTTTGTCCCGGGCCCTGGGGCACCCGGCTGAGTGTCTTGGTCCCTCTCCCACCCCACCTGTGAGCTTGGGGTCTCCCCTCAGAGGCCTGAGGAGATGGTGTTCCCTGGGTGCTCCTGAGCACCAGCCCTCACTGCCAGGCTACTCTTGGAGCAGCACAAGGTTAGGATGTGCTGGCCACCGCCTTGGGGCTGGTGGCCGCCTGGGCACTCAGGGCCTCCTTTGGGCCGTCTTACCTCGTCTCTCTCCTCCAGGAGGCAACGCACGGGCCACAGGCATGTTCCTGCAGTATACAGTGCCGGGGACGGAGGGTGTGACCCAGCTGAAGCTGACAGTGGTGGAGGACGTGACTGTGGGCAGGAGGCAGGCGGTGGCGTGGCTAGTGGCCATGCACAAGGTACCTGAGCCCAGGCCAGGGAGGCTGGGCCCTTTGGCTTAGACAAAAGCTTGCCTTTCCCAGAGGAAGCTCTGTGTCCTGCCATTTGCCCCCTATCCCCACAACCTGTTCCCCCTCAGCTGGGGTGCCCACGCCATCTCCCCTGAAATGCACACAGGCTTGGCTCCACCAGGCACAGGACCAAGCAGGCCTCACTGTGTTGATCTTGTCTGATCTGCAGGCTGCCAAGCTCCTCTATGAATCTCGGGACCAGTAACTCTACGTGGGGCTGAGCTTGGAGTACGTGTGGTCACCAGGACTGAGTCGCTTGGAACAGCAGAGCCTGCTCCTTGCGTACCACAGGGATTAATCCTGCTTGTGCTGGGAAATGCAACTCACTCATGTATTTGGAGAAACAGGAGTGTTCACTTATCTAGTGCAATATGTTCACAGTTTATTAATGCTTTAAACAGCTTCATGTTTTAGAATTTGTGTATTGTCAATACTTAATTGGGGGTGGGAGAGACTGAGCTACACTACTGCTAAACTATTTTTAGCATAATATATACCATTTTTATGAGTTCGCAGGTCTACTAGAAGGTTCTGGCCCATCAATATTCATTTCATTTAATTCTTCCACAGAACCAGTTTGGGCAGTAGGAACTCAGGCTTCTGGTCTGCAGTGGAGCCTGTTCGCCTCTAATAGCCAGTTTACAGCACTTGCCTTAGCCTGTTTCACAGACTTGTCCACTTACCTTGTCACTAATTTGGGGCTTCTGGGCTGTGAGTGATCCTTTGATACTTCACCAAGGGGAACGTGGGGGCTTTGTGTTTTGTACTTTTCACTCACTATTTCACTTTATTAAGATGACTGTACAGCAATTTGTATATAAAGCTTATGATTAAAAACTATTTTGAACATACGGACAAGGCCTCGCCTTCCTGTGTCCAGATCACCTGAACCCTCGTGCCACAGCGCAGTCTGGGTCCAGAAAGAAGACTCACAGCCGCCGGGGTGAGACGGGTTTATTGTGCACATTTACACAGCGTCAGCAGCGTCTGGGCTGGCAGCGGCCATGCTCCTGTGGTCGGGCTGCTCTACAAGGGCGTTCACTTTTCTTCACCACACTATGTACAGTCAGTGCTCCAAGGTGATGGGCTACAGTGCTGCATCAGTGAGTCTGTACACACATTTTTACATAAATTACACACGACTCATACATGAAAAATAGAGCCTAAGGGCCTGTATTTTAATGAGAAAAAAAAAATTTCCAACATAGTTCGGGTAGCTTTGAATGGTCTAGTCAAAAAATACTTTTGGTATATAAAAAGCCTGTACGTACAATTCACACCTCAGTGAAGCGCCCTCCTTGCCTTGAGGCTGGGCCTGGGACAAAGGTGGCCTCACAGCCAGCCCAGGCAGGGAGATCGGCAGAGAGGGGTGGCCCCTGACCCCAGCTCCTCTGCCCCAGCTGCTGCTCCTTGGTGGCGGCCCCTCCTGACACCAGGCGTCTGCCATCCTTCAGGCACCAAACAGCCCCGTCTACCTGGCCCTGGTCTGCCCTCACACCAGTCCACCCCCAGCCCCAACCCCAACCACCCTCCGCTGCCACGGCCTCCAGCACCTGACTCCATTCAGGGAACTGAATTTGAGCTTGCAGGGGTGAGAACCACACTGAGCAGCATGACAGGCTGTGAGATCGGAGGAGAAGAGTATATGCTGAGGCTCTCCCAGTTGTCACTTGGTCTTAGGGGTCCTGGTGCCCGTGGCGCGGCAGTCCAGCCACAGTGCTGGGCCTGCACAATCAGCCTTTAGGTGAACTGGAACAGGAAGCGGAACCCCCAAGGCGGCCGAGCAGAGTGGGTACTGGGAGGCATACACACTGGGCAGCAACACTGGACATGTTTCCATACAGAGGCTCCTTTGGTGATGAAGGGAAGAAGGATCATGTGTGGGAAGTGTGAGAAAGGATGAGTGTCCGATTCGGTGACGGGGGGCAGGGCGGTCGCAGGGGAGCAGGCCTCACAGCGGCGGACAGTGTTCACTGCTGGAGGGGGTGATGGCCTCGGGGCCAAGTCAGTAAGAGCTTCTGTCTTCACTGGCAACCAACCGGGGGTTATGGGACTTCTTAATGGCAAGAGGGGTGGGTGTTTTGAAAGTGGGTATTTATTTGGATTTATAGTAATTGGCAAAATTCAGTCCTTGGAGGCGAAAGTACCTCTCCCAGTTAATGGGCAAACTGGAGAAAGGGCCTCACCTGGAAACTGTAGGATTCACATTGTGGACGCTGTCTGCTAAAGTGAGCACCATTAAGACCATTTTCTAGCTGCAGCTTTCCTGGAAAACAGCACAATAATCTCTTAAGTGGCTCCTGGTAGCTGGCAAGACCATGCGGTGCTCCAAAAGGAAGTTCAGGCGAGTGTTCGCTGTCGGGGTTTGATCCGTGGATACAGCTGGGAAGCAACGGAGCCGCGTCAGGACAGGAAGCCACACACAGGGAGCAGGGCCAGCCAGACCCGACCCCTGCTCCTCACCTCAGCCACCCTGGACAGCCGTGCAGCACCCTTGTCCCTCAGGCCTACGCTCAGCTGCACCTCTACACTGAGACCCACCCAGCCCTCTTTAAAATGTGCCTTGTACCCCCAGAATATCCTATTTTTCTCACAACACTTCATGCCACCTAAAGACTTGTGACTGCCTGTGGCTCTCAAGGTCATAAGCTCCCCTGGGCAAGGGTCTCTGCCTGGCTCCCTGCTGTGTTTGCCTGGCCAAGAACGTTGGCTCAACAGCAAGCCCCTGGCAGCTCTGCAGGGCACAAAGAGAGCAGAGGCAGCTCCCTCTGCCAGAGGACTGAGGGAATCACAAGTCCAACACAGAGCTAGCAGCCTGCACGTTCCCACCTCTCCCTCCACTGGAGAAATTTCTAGGCTGCAGAGATTTCTAGATTGGGGAAAGTGTGGGTGGGCTGAGCCGGGCCACTTGGTGAAGTTCATCATGAACCGAGCTCATTGAGCGGCCCCTCACTGGGGCACTCAGCCTCCGCACGGGCCTCCATGGCATAAGCATGGCTGGGGGAACCTCCTGGGGCCCTGCCTGAGCCTCATGCCAGCTCTGCCAAGTAGGCACCTCCCCCTCTACAGAGGGGGCTGCTGAGGCTCAGAGAAGCGAAGCCTCCCTCCCCAGCCCCACAGCAGGATAGGACCGCATGCTGTACAGAGACACGGGCAGCTAGTTTCCCAGTAAGTAACCTGAGTGCTCACCCCCAGCAGGTTTTTGGGCACATAGCCCTCCCGGTCTCCAAGGCGAGCCCACCACCACTCAGTCTCGCTTTCGTCCTTGCGCCTCAGGATGGTGAGGGCGTCCCCTTCGTGGAAGGACAGCTCGTCACTGTTCTGGGCCTCGTAGTCCCACAGAGCATACGCCACACCTTTGTTCATCACACCCAGCTTTTCCTGCACCCCTGGAGCCAGAGAGCAATGGTCAGGCCTCAGCAGAGGGTGGCCTGCAGCAAGGGACCCTGCTCGAGGAACAGGACACAGTCGTGCTGCTGCCGAGGCTGCTCTCAGCAGGCCCCACAGAGGCCAGCGAGGGAGATGAGACACTATTGAAGACTAGGGCCCCCACCCGATACCTCCCCTGCCCGGCCCAGCTGCTGCTCCTGCTGCCGGCCCTTTCTAAGTCCTGCAGGACAGACAGGACAAACGAGCTCCTGAGCCCCAGGGCAAGAGTGTGCTGTTCTTAAGGTGACGCTTAGCAATCACAGCCAGAACAGATTTCTAAAGTCACTAGCTAGAGCAGCTGTGACTGCTCTTGGATGGTAATGAACAAACTACACACAACTGAGCCCTGACTGAGCAGCTACTTGTGGGTTCCCAAGAAAGGGCCCTTCTGTGGGACACTCTGCTTCTGAGACCCAGTTGTGGTGACCATGGGGAGCTTCCCTTCCCTGTGGTGGTGCCACTGTGACGGCAGCCTCCTCCTCACACTGGCGGGACTCACCTGGGGGCTGCTGTGCCTCCCCTAGCCCTGCCACACAGCCTGAGAGTTTGTTGCTTGGCTCTGTTGTGGGAGCTTGGGCCAAAGAGGGCATCACATGGCTGTTTTCATGGATAATTTCAAACCTAGAGTCCAGTGTAGGGCACATAGTATGTTCTCAAGTAATGTGTGGAATAAATGACTTGTGACTGTTTAATACTCAGAATAGAGAAGATGTTCCAGCTCTTGGAAAATGCGGCCCTGGCTAAAGCAGCTTAATTAGGACATGAGCCTCATTCATCAAATGTTTCCGGGGAATGGCCAGGGCCCCAGGCCACCCCAGGAAAGGAGCTGGCCCTGCTTCCAGAAGCAAGGGTACAGAACATCTATGCAAAGCACAGCCAAGTCATTTTGTTTTCTTGGGAATCTGGCACAGAATCCTTCTAACAACATGGACTTTCAAACATGTTTTCAGGAATGAAAACAAGGGGCAGTGTGACCTTCACTCGAGTGAGACATCCTGGCTGCCCCTGAAGAAGGTGGAACAGCTCGAGAATGCTGTGCTGCCAGGCACGGTGGCTCACACCTGTGATCCCAGCACTTTAGGAGGCTGAAAGTGGGCAGATCGCTGGAGCCCAGAAGTTCGAGACCACCCTGGGCAACATGGCGAAACACTGTCTCTACAAAAAAAAAAAAAAAGTACAAAAAATTAGCTGGCTGTGGTGGGACAAGCCTGTAGTCCCAGCTACTTGGGAGGCTGAAGTGGGAGGATCAATTGAGCCCGGGAGGTCGAGGCTGCAGTGAGCCATGATTGCGACATTGCACTCCAGCCTGGGTGACAGAATGAGACCTTGTCTCCTGTCTTAAAAAAAACAAACAGAAAGCTGTGCTGAAGCTTCTCTGGCACCGGCTGACTGTTGCCATGGCAGTACCACAGCAGACAGCACCACTGTGGCCCCAGGCCTCCCCTGCGTACCATATAGAAACTGGGAGCACTGGATGTAGCCTTCCTCCATCTCCTCACACTTGTCTGCAGCAGTTTCAATGTCGCTTATGGTTGAGGCAAAAATGGCGGCACCACTCTCCACCAGCTGTTTGCAGAGGTGAACGCTGTTACAAGAGGCAGCGCAGTGCAGCGGCGTCCTGGAATAGAGCGTGGGTGAAGGTGCAGGCCTGGCACTGCCTGTCCTGTAGGACGTGGCCCTCAGAGATTTCCCTCTAAGGAATCTCGCGGAAGGCGTTCACCTTTGTGCCATCAAGTCTCAGTGTTGTTTCTTTAAAGGCAGGATTTCCATGAGCCAATTGTTTCAGACCATACATACATTTTGAAAAGGGGGCACAGGGAATGGGTTAAGAAATGGCCAATCCACAGATGTTCACGCCACACTGCATGGTGATGTGAATGTACATAACACACTGAAACACACATTTAAAAATAGCTAAGATGTGAAATTTTATGTTATGTGTATTTTACCACGATTCAAATGCAGCACAATGTCAGCTGTCTGAAAGTTCAAAATAACCCCCACAGGAGACCAACACGCCTCGCCCAGCAGCAGAGCTCCCGAAGGCAAACGGAATGAACAATGCGACAACCTACATGCCTGACCCAGGGGGATGCTGAGGCTGCTTTTCACACGGAGCACAGAGTGTGAAGAGTCCATACGGAACATATGAGAAGGGGAAGATGGAATGATTCACAGAATGCTTAGACTGCAATGTTAATGACGAGGCACAGAAAGAGCATAACCACAGCCACGTTTTTAACAAAATCATCAAGAGAAAAGGCTGGAAAAAAAGGCAAGGAAACCCTGGCAACAGCTGTCTTTCAAGGATGAAATGATGGGTGTTCTTGCTCTAATTCTCTCTTCCGTGCTTCCTAATTGTCTAGAACACGCCTGTTTTCCTTATGCAAAGCAGGGAAAGTAAATCTGTCCACCCCACACTCCTACGGGCCTCACCATCCATCACTATCAGCAGCATTCACGTTGACACCAAAATCCAGCAGGAACTTCACGATGTGATGGTGGCCGGCGCAGACGGCGTTGTGCAGTGGGGTGATCCCTTCGTCGTTGGGCTTGCTGGGATCTTCCACCTAGGACACACGGCCTGTGAGCGCCCATCCCCTCGCCCCCAGCAGCGTGCACTGGTCCCCGGCTGCAGCTCACCTCATAGATGATCCTCTGCACCAGATCGAACTCTCCTTCCAGAGACGCGTCTAGGAGCAGTGCCAGGGGGTTAAACCGGACTCTCAGCCCGTGCCCCGTCCGCTCCGAGTTGGGCTTCTTCAAGTTGGTCCGCTTGTTCTGTTGGGAAGGAAGCACGCTTTCCAGTTAAAGGTGGTCCACTGAAGTCTAAGAACCCACGCCTGCTGGGAAGGAGTGGTGGGAGCTAAAGCCCAAAGACAGTGGCTCCGCGAAGCAGCCCTGGAGTGGTAGCAGTAGCAGCGCCCAGGTGACCACCTCAAATAAGGGCCAGGGCCACTCTGCTCACTACAAGGGAGAGCCCTGTCTGAGGCCTGAGTCCCTGGCTCACGCACAGAGGGACACGGCTGTGTTTGAGCTTCTGGCCACTCCTCGGAAGACTCTGTGGGAGGGAGGGTGGCGTGTGACTGCCAAGTAGCTGATGGGAGCCAGCAGCTCGTTCCTGCCCACATGCGACAGGGTTCTTCCTGCTATGGCACCAGATCCTAGTGGAGAGAATCCCACTGAGGGTTCCCTGAGATGGCGCCTGGCTCCCTCTCTGCTCCGTCAACACTGACCTCCCACCCAGGGCCTTTGTCTAGATGCTTCTTCCCTCGTCTCTCTACAGGACCTTCAGGTGCCAGCGACAGCTCCCCTTCCTCAGGAAAGCCTCTGGAGCTCCCTGACCAGCTGTCTGGGAAAGGCTTGGCCACATTGTGCATTTGTGTGGCCGAGCCCCATTTGTCATGCCTTTTCATGCCCCATTTGTCTGTGTGACTGTCCGTCCTCCCTACAAGACGTAACTCAGGGACATCCCTGGTTCCCACTGCTCCCAGCACAGCCTGACCAAGGGAAGGACCCCAGAGGTCCTGGTTGCATGAATGACCAGGAAGGCCAGGCTTTGGTCTAGCAATGACACCCACCGTGGAGGTGGCAGGAGGGTGGCTGGCAGGGGGAAGAGGTGCTGGAGGGACCTGCTCTTCCCCTGGAGATGGGGCCTCAGCCACAGGACTCGGGATCTGCTCCGTGGTGGGGACCGTGGCCACGTTGTTGTTATTGTCCTCTGCCGGCTCGGCAGTTTGGTGGGTGGTTTGGGGACAGATGAGCTCCTCTGGTTCGGGGGAAGGTAACTCATTATCATTGGCATCTGATGACGGGGCAGGCTCAGCGGGGAGTGGGGCTGTGGGCTGGGCAGGGGGGAGCTCTTCCAGGTTTCCATTGGCATTGGTGTTTCCATTGTCCACATCGGCCAAGGTGCCCATGAAGTCCTGGGAGGGGCTGGGCTGGTAGAAAGGGGTGCCCTCCATGCCACCGGCCAGGGTGTTGAAGCGCTGGTACAGCAGCTTCTGGATGTTGGGCCCGCCGGGGCCCTCGGGCTCTGTGATGGAGCTGCGCTTTTTCAGGGGCCGGGGCGCGTTGGCCAGCTTCCTGCGGAGGGCCTCCAGGTCTGCATCACTCTGGTAGCGCAGTGGCGAATGCACGATGGGCGTGAGCTTGGTGGGGCTGAGTGGCCGTGGCAGGCTCTCCACGGTGCTGCCATCTGCGGGGGCGGCGGGGCCATCCTGCTCAGGCTCTTTCTCAGTACTTTCTGAAGGTGGCTGAGGCTGTGGTGTGCCCGTGGACAGTGACCCGTGAAGAAACGGCAGCGGCGATGGAGAGGTTGAACCCGAAGGTAAAACGGGCTTACCATACACTGGGGAAGACACAAAGGACAGGCAATTTTGACCTCACTACAGAGATCTAGTCATACACACCTATGATTACACCAGAGACAGGCTCCTGCAAAGACACACATATACATCTGCTGCTGTTATTCAATTCTCATTTCAAATCTCTGAGGAAACCTCCCCCTCTTAGAGCCTCCACTGACTCCTTCTGAAAGGTGCAGTGCCTCTCTAATGTGTCGGTTTTTACATTTGGGTTTCCAGAACTGGAGCTTTTTCAAAAGAAAAAAATAGGGTGCTAACCCGACTTTTCCTGCCGCAGACAAGCCTGCCTGTTTTCTGGCCAAGGAAAAAGACAAAAACCACTAAACATGCATCTGATTCTTGGACTAACTCACATGACGGAGACACACGCGCCTCCTCAGAGCAGGAAGGTTTTACCTGGAGGTCCAGGAGCTCTTGAGAATGGTCTAAGCCTTTCCCACCACAGCCAGAACCCTCCCCACAAGGGAACACTGCACCACCACCTGGGAGGTCCCTGTGCAGGAAGTGACTAGGCACGTCCAGGAATCCCTCAACTGTGAGTCTAGAAGCTGCAGCCAATGCCCAGGAATGTCTAAGAAGGCCCTAGCCTAGACCTGACCCGCGGCTTCCTCCCGTAAGAGTCGGAAACACCATCAGCCTCTGTGGTAGGTGTGGAACTAAGCTACCTTCTCTCAGCTGCCTTCTTAGAACATCTGAGCTCCATAACCCAAACCAAGGCTTTCCTCCCCTCTGGGCTATGGGGGAGGCTCCTACGCAGCAGACGCCCTCCTTAAACTGCCCATGCCCAGGGGTCGGGCTCAGCCACTACCAGGAGGGCCAGTGGTCAAGGCCACCCTCTACGCACTGGACAGCTCCCGGCACAAGTTACCACGAAACAGAAGGAAAAGAGGAAATTCTCGACATCTCACCCTTCCCGGAGCTGGATTTCCTAAGTAGCACACGGAGGTGGCTGCTCAGACAGGAAGTCAGAGAACTGTGAGCCATCTGCAAAACAGCCTCCTCCATGCATTCCAGCTTCCATTCCCTTCTCACACTGACACCCAAGGCTGTACTTTTATGTAAGAATTAAGTTTAATCCTAAATAGCACGTGGCCCAAACGTAAAGAAATACATTAGTATTTTCTTAATTAAAAGTATAATTTCCTAGCCCCAAGAAAAGGAGAGTATAAACCCACTCTACCTGCTTTAACTGACTTATTTAAGGCGCTGTGTGCTGCCGGCTGGTAATTCTTAGGTGGTGTGGCTTGCTGGAGGTACATGGAGTATATGGAACTTGAATTCACTGTCTGGGGTCCTTTCCTGGGAGACTGTGGCCTTGACCCTTTATCAGCCAGGAAAGGCCTAATGGCCACTGTCAGTGGGAGTTCAGGCTTGCTGTCCCCAGCTGGAAATGCAGGTGGTCCCGCTGGCGGGTACGTGGGACTTGGCGGTACGGAAATCCTCTGCTGAATCTGTTGTGAGGAGCCTGGCTGGGGGGTGCTGCCTGTGGCGGGCAGCAGGGTGGGCCTCTGTCGACTTGGCAGGCCTGCACTGGGCCTGGGCAAGCTGCCTTCCTTCCTCCTTTCCAGGGAGCTTGTCGACCCAGGACCCAGAGGTGTAGGACTTGGGTATGTCCCATAGCTTGGAGGCAGCTGCTTGCCTACACCCGGGATGGGAGGTGGCACTTTACCAATCTCGATGCCCTAAGTTTAGGTGTTAAGAAGAAAAACAAAGTCACCCTTTGAACAGTTAAGAATATTTCCACCCACATTCCCAAGAGAATACACAGTAGAATTTGTAATCCGTCAAATTGGCTGTGACCAGGACTTGGGGCACACTGTTGAGCTCATTGCCTGTCTGCAAAAGTTCTGACCGAAAGGTGTGTGTACTCGTGGGCTGCTCAGGCTCTTAGGGCCCAGTAACCCTCTAGGACTTTGGGTGTTGTCTGGACAATAACAGGATTAACTTGCCTCCTGACAAGTCATACCCTTTAGCTTAGTACTAAGGCAGAAGAGAGCCCTGTTGAAGAGCCCGCTTGTGTTCTGTGGTAAAGACACAGGCCTACCGGCTTCTCCGTGGGTCCCAGTGCTGAGAAGGGCACAGGCTGGCTGGAGACAGTGCCCTGCTTGACAGACCCCTCCACGCTCGGATCCTTCCAGTCTGCACCGGCCACCTGCACTGGTTTCACGGAAGAGCTAGAATTCTGTTTTAATGTTGGCCAGTTTCCATCATTAGCTTGAAAAGAACACAGAACTTACGTAAAACTTTTCTCAATGTAGTTGAACCAACCTAAGAATAACACTCTGCCAGAAACAAAAACAGCACTGGGACATCCCATTCTGATGCAGATCCATTAACCGAGTGGTCAACCACCAGCCACATGCACAACTGCTGATCTCCTCCAGCACCCACAGACCCGTGCACAAGACCAAGGGACGGGCTCTGCTGGCAGCTCACTGCCAACGCCCAAATCGCCTCAAGTGTTACCAGAGACTCACGCCAAACCAAGGCTCCACTGGTGTGGGCCTGGGGCTGCACCCTATTTTAACACAGGTCAAATCCATTGCATCAGCACCACCAAACAAAATAAGCACTGGCCCTTACTTTTGAAACACTATTTATGAATACAATTACATAGAGCAATAAAAAAGATTTATCTTTTGACTTCATAATAGGTTTGACCTGTAGTACTTTAATTATTGAGATAAAAATTTCTGCCCTCTAAGGTAACTTATGATCACAGGAGGCCCGTGCAGGTTCCCACTGATTTGCGTAGCAGGAGGAGCAGGCTATCATTCTGTTGCAGTGATTAGAAAGCTGGTCATCAACCCCAAGTTTTCAGGAAAGCCACTGAAATGACAGGTTCTTTACAGAGTATTTTCCAAACTGAAAAAGGGTGCAGAAGTATCCCCTTGTAACACAAGGCCCCTCACAGTGGCCGAAAGTCCATTATAACACAGGCTCCTGGTTCTCTTTTACAGGAACAGGTGCTGAACTGAACTAAAGTGTTCAACGCTTCCAGCGCCATCAGCAATATGGGACAGACAGAAATCAGAGGGACTCTTTTAGGCCCTCCTGGCAGGAACAGCACATCCCCTTCCCTTATCCCATCTGCCAGCACAGGCAGGAGGGGATAACTAAGTAGCAGCAGGAAAATCAGTGGTCCTCACAACAACGTCTGAGCCAGAACTCCGGACTCATAGCACATGACGAGGAAGCTTCCCGGCTGCGCTCTGAGCGCCTGGGCAACACAGGGCCCATCAGCCGCAGCCTCACACGGCTTGCTCCTAAGCCAAACTGACCCGATGCAGCCGCACCGCAACCCCAGCTGCATACACTGCTGGGCTGTGAAGTTATGATGCAGGCTCCAGGCAGCGGCTTCTGAGACAGCTCTAGTCAAGCCCCGTGGGTCCTGGCGAGGCATTCCAAGGCCCCTGGACCAACTGCCATCTTGCTCCACGTGGCCTGGAGGATGTGTGGCCAGAAACCTGCAGCCTCCCCAAGGACAGGGCCTGTGGTCTCAGGGTCACAGGGAATGTGGCTGTCCAGGTGCTTCAGAAACCACCCAGCAACAACAGGAAGTTTTATGGAAATCAGCCATAGTGGGGACTAAAAAGCAATTTTCTCCTTTCTTCAGAAGAAGGCAAGAGGTACAGAAGGAAAATCATTTTATAGAGGAACAATTATCTTTTAGTATGATTGTAAAACTAAAAGCCTCATAATAAACTCAGAAATATCTTAATTTTGTAAAAACAAACAAAAAACCCTCCAAAACAAAACCCGCGCTACGCCAGCATCTGTCCCTTGGTGTCACACTCTTTCTAAGGATGGGAGGGTACACGTGGCCCCACCCAGACTCCATACCTGTCTGTTGAAGAAAGGGACAAATTACGTTTGTGTGGCATCTTTTTCAAATCTAGATGTGATGAGCAGACCTTTGTCAGTTTGGAAAAACAAGTGACAGGTGATTTTGTACATATTAAAGAGGACGCAGCTTCCCACTAAGCTTGTCAGCCAACATACGGTTTACAAATGGGCTTGCAGAGGGCCGCGAGGAGCCATAATTAGGCCCGACGTCGAGGTCTGACACTGTCCATGAGCTGGTCACTCTGGGTTTACTGTGGCCATCTGTGTGACACAGAACCAGGACAGCCAACAGCAAGGGATTAGAGTCCCTGCCAGGAGGCTTCACAGCCCAGCTCCACCTCTGGGCTGAGCTGCTGCCCCGACTCTGAAGGTGAGCACAGGTTCCCCGTGTCCATGACTTTCATCCACAGCAGAGGCTAGGACCAGGGCTTCGTGAAGGCATCTCCTTGCTGCAACCCCTTGAGGCAGCACAGCAGACACCAACAAGGACGGGACACAGGAGACATTTCTCACCTTGGGGAGTTTCTCAAAGGAAGTCAGCAGAGAAGTAGCTGGCTGTGCTAATTACCTCCCACTGGAAACAGACAAATATCTACTCCTACCACAGGGTGGTTCAAACTATAAATAACAGCTTAGCAGAGCAACCTGCAGTTAGGGGTTCATGCCAACCCCACACTTTATGTGGCTGCTGAGACACGGCCGTAAGGGATCTGAGTGGGGGCTTGTGGCTCACAAGTGCTGGTGATGCTCTTCTCTTTCGGAGTTCATAACAAGACCCAAGCTCCCCAGTGGGGGCAACAGATGTGTCGCTGTCCCTCCTGGGGGCCAGGCAAGAGAAAATGAAGCAAACAAAGATGAGCACAAATCCACCACAATCCCGAAAAAGGGGCTCGAAACACAGGCCTGATGGCCAGAGAGTAACAGTACTGTTTTCATAAACGAAGGAATGTTTCAATACATCAGGACAGGGATTCCTGATGCTGTGTGTTTCAGGGAAATGTGTCAACCTCAGTCATAAAGAAAGTCTTATTGCAAGGAAGCCCCAACACTTTTAATGCACTGGTTGAGAAACAGACTCTCCATGAACAGCTTGCCCTCTGCTTGGCAGGGGCACCACCCATGGACTACACTAGAGGTCCAAGTCCATCACACAGCACCATTGTGAGGTCAAGACCAAACCAACGATGTGTGGACTTTGATCAATGAGGACAGAGCGCTGTTTGTAGGGGCAGCCCCTCCACTTGGCTGGCTGTAGCCGAGTTGTGGTGAGGCATCCATGCCGGGCCTCAGTGTCCTCAGAGTAAATAAACCTGCAGTAAGAGAGGACACTCGTGGGTCAGTTTTTTTTGTTTTGTTTTGTTTTGTTTTTTTTGAGATGAAGTTTCACTCTTGTTGCCCAGGCTGAAGCACAGTGGCACGATCTCACTGCAACCTCCGCCTCCCAGGTTCAAGTGATTCTCCCGCTTCAGCCTCCTGAGTAGCTGGGATTACAGGTGCACGCCACCACGCCCGGCTAATTTTCGTAGTTTTAGTAAAGACAGGGTTTCACCATGTTGGCCAGGCTGGTCTTGAACTCCTGACCTCAGGTGATCCACCCGCCTTGGCCTCCCAAAGTGCTGGGATTACAGGCGTGAGCCACTGCACCCGGCCCATGGATCAGAGTTTTAATTAATCATTTGTGTTTTGAAAAGCCACACAGTAGAGACCTCTAGTTCAGTAAAAATAACTTGTTTTCCTTTTAGGATTGTTACCACAGGGGAACACAGCTCTCCAAGCGCCTCACGGGGAGACTGAGCCTGGAGTCTGACGATGTGTGGGGCAGAGCCTCAGGAGCCTGCCCCACCCCCCGCCCCTCCACCGCAGGCCCCATTCCCTGCTCACAAACTCTCCCCCAGGAAGAGGGCCAGGACCACTCACCGGATTTGGATCTTCCATGAGCAGCATTTGAGGCAATACTGAGAGACTGGGGCTTTATAGGGTCCCCCAGCACAGGAAAGCTTCCGGCACTGGGAACCTGGATATAAGGCCCCACAGCAGCGACCCTGCCCGATGTGCTCAGAGGGGACTGTGGTGATGACGTGCCATTCACACGGTTCAGCTACAAATTGGGAAGAAATGAGAGTCAAGATTCTCCTACATTCAAAGAAGTCCTAAGCTTAGTGCAAGAGACTGCCAGCTCGGACAGAAAGCACTCACTCAGTGGTTGGTTTTTAGGAAGCCTGTCATCTGGAAAGATCAGCATCTAGAAGGGGAGACTGTGGAGAAGGAACTGTAGCTTCCTATGAGCAATTCTCCGACAACACCCACCCATCTGGAGCTGTACACATGAGGAGCTGATGTGAGGGCAGAGCAACTTCCCCGTGATCCACATGCAGCTTCCCTCTTACTCAGGATACTCTTCCTCCCTTGAGTGGGCACAGAGACACTGGTCAAATCCTGGGCTCTGAGCCTGGCTTCAAATCCCCTCTGTGACTTACTCGCTGTGCTGCTTCGGGCAGGTGACTCAGCCTCTGTGCTCACACCCGTGGAGTCGGGATAAGGGCTGTAGCCGGTACTGTCTAAGCCACGTGGGGCACAGTGAGCACGTAAGGCTCTGACTCCCAGCAATGGGCCCAGTTCCCTGAAGGCAGCGCTGCCTTTCTCAGCCAGGACACAGAGCCACAGACAGAGGACACTGTTCACATAACACTGCTCAGGAACAGAGGCGCCTGGAACAGGGATTCTAGAGAACTACTGACGTCCTCAAGATTTCAATATAGGCTCTAAATAGGATCCATAACCCCTGTGATTGTAAGATTCTATATGCATGAGGACAGGTCATTTCGGGGTGAGGGGTTATGGCTTTCACAATTGCTCAAAGGTACCTAGGACCTTTGGGTGGAGACGCATCTCTGCAAAAATACTGACTTCTTCAAGGCGATCCCTTGAAGTGTAGGTGGAATGAATCTAGCTGTTTGTGATGGATAACTTTACACATCACCTTGACTAGGTCACAGTAACCAGATATTTGGCCAAATACCAGACGACATGTTGCTGAAAAGGTATTTTCCAGATGAGATTAACTTTTTTTTTTTAATTTCCATAGGTTTTTGGGAAACAGGTGGTGTTTGGTTACATGAGTAAGTTATTTAGTGGTGATTTGTGAGATTTAGTGCACTCTAGCAGTGCACACTGCACACAATTTGTAGTCTTTTATCCCTCACTCCCTTCCCACCCTTTCCCCGAGTCCCCAAAGTCAACTGTGTCATTGTTATGCCTTTGCATCCTCATAGCTTAGCTCCCACTTATGAGTGAGAACATACAATGTTTGGTTTTCCATTCCTGAGTTACTTCACTTAGAATAATAGTCTCCAATCTGGAAGAGATTAACTTTCAAATTGGTAGATTTGAGTGAAGCAGATGACCCTCTAGAAGGTGGGTGGGCCCCATCCAATCAGTGGAATGCCTTAAGAGAAACAGAGAGACGCCCTGAGAAAGCGGGATCCTGCCTAGAGTTGGCCTTCGGACTCCAGCTGCAACATCCTCCCTGGGCCTCCACGCTGCCGGCCGCCCTCACAGATTCTGGACTTGCCAACGTCCACAATCATGTGAGCCAATTCCTTAAATCACATACACACACACACACACACACACACACACACACACACACACACACACACGTGCACGCGCACGCTACTGGTTCTCTTTCTCTAGGAAGCCCTGACTACTACGCCATTACTGAGGAGCATATGTAAGCACAGGGAAAGTGCTTGCAGCCTCTCTCTCACATGGCCTCTTTGTTGTTAATCTTGAGAAAAAGGAAAACCAACATCTGAAATCATAAAGTTGTACAAATAAACTACTGATCTTTAAACTCACTGTGTTGTTTTTTTAAAAGAAGGGCAGATTTGTAAATGAGAGACTGTGACATCCACAGAACTGGAAGCTCCCTTCTACGTCTACCACCCTCCACACCCACTCCCCCTAGGCAAAGGCCTTCAAGCCCATGCTGCCTCCTCAGAGCATCTTTCAGAGCAGTAGAGGCTAACAAGAGGACACTATTCTGTCACCAAACTATATGCAGAAGGGAGATGTGGGAAGGGAGTCCTTGCTGGTGGGTCAGGAGAGTGGGTGCTCCATTCTCCTACCACGAGGGCAGAATGCACTCAGCTCTGCATTCAGGCACTGCTCCCCTAATCACTGAGTGCCACAGGTGCGAGAAAGTCAAGTGCCACATCCGGCCAAAGACACAGAGTGCAGGCGCCCCTCCTCCATGCAGGCGGCTCAGTGGTACATGTGCTCACCAATGCACTGTGAGCAGCAGCAAGACTCAGGACTCCCTGCCTGACTACAGAGGGTGGTAAAGGGGTATAGGCCCTGGGACCAGGGAATAGCTTTCAGATGGTGCAACCAGAATGAAGTAACGACCTGGAAAGACACCCGTGCTGCAGTTAGAAAAAGACAAGGTGAGCAGTGAGACTAGTGTAATTCCTGCAATCCCATTTTCAGTTAAAGTTCTGTACCTTTGTGTCTTTATTAGGGAAAAGACTGGAACCATTAGCAACTATCACCTCTAGAGAACAGGGTGGAAAGGACTTTCACATTTTCCCTTAAATATTTCTGTACTTAAGAGATTTATCTTAAGGAATCGACTCATGTGATTGTGGACGCTGGCAAGTCCAAAATCTTTGATACTGAATTTCAAAGGTTAATACTCATTTTTTCAATGAGCATTTATTCAATGAGTATTTTATCGTATTATTTTTTCATTGAGTATTTATTCAATGAGTATTTTATTGTATTACTTTTTCAATGAGTATTTACTACCTTTAAAATTCAGTATCAAATAAGGATTTTTTAGAAGCATAACCCCTTACATAGCATTTTGGTCAAGAGTTTACAAAATCCTTCTACATGGCTTATTTATAAGAATCCTTACAACAACTCACGGGGCAGGTAGGACAAATCACTTTACAGCAAGAACATGAGGCTACGCAAGTCAAAGAATTTGCTCAAAGTGGCACAGCTTAAAATGGCAGAGTGCGGACCGTGACAGATGCTGTGACTCCAGAGCCAACAGCATCCCCCAGTGAAGAGGAGACAGAAACACATGGGGAGGAAGGAAGGCCAGGACACTGAGAGCAAGGCTGCAGGCTGAGGATGGTTCTGCCTCCACACACCAGGAAATAAATGAGTCACTGGGAGAAGGAACTCTGTTCTGTCATTTTTGATGGTTTATGGCCTATTTATGTTTTATCAGTTATGGTGGATGGGGGAGCATACTGCTACTTACAGAAGATGGGCAATGCTTGGATAAACTATCTTTAGTAGTTTATCTCACAAAAACTTTTTCACATGCCTGAATTTTTTTCCCATAGAGACGTTCACGCAGTTCACTGATTCGCTTGTCCATCATGGCCACCTCCATGTTGCGCTTATTTAAGAGTTCCTTCTGCTGCTGAAGTTTTGAATTTTGTTCCTGGTTAAGTTGGTTACGAATCTACAAACCACAAAATACAACCTTTATGATTTGTGTTAATTAAAAGTCAAATTCTCATTGCCAGGGAGATTAAAAAAGAAAAAGTAGCATTAAGTTCTCATGTATATTTACATGCATGCACTGCCACCTTGTGTGGAATATTTCACAGGTACAGCAGAGATAAGCCAGGACAGCGTTCTCATGGAACAAAGAAAGAGCAAACATCTGTAAGCATCTTCTTCAAAGCACACGAAATGACTAGTGCCAATGATGATTACAGGAGACTAGTGCGGTGTTTGGGACTCTCAGAAACTAAAGGATGCTCTGCTCCACCCCATGGAGCTGCTTCAGGCCTGAGCCCACCACATGATGCACCTTACTGTGGAGGCAGCAGGAAACTCAAAAAGGACCAAAAAGGATGGCCTGAGTCACCAAGTGAAGCACCTTTACATCATTTTAGTGGCTTGCAACCAGCATTTTAAAGAAATGAACTAGGACAGAACAGAAAATATCAGAGTGTACTTCCCATAGTAAGAGCTGTCTTAAACTTTCGGATGCCCACAGCACTAGTACATACACACTTCCGTGTGTATACTCAACAGGACGTAAAATGTACTTTTAAAAACTGGATTGCAGGCCGGGTGCGGTGGCTCACGCCTGTAATCCCAGCACTCTGGGAGGCCGAGGTGGGTGGATCACCTGAGGTCAAGAGTTCAAGACCAGCCTGGCCAACATGGTAAAACCCTGTCTCTACTAAAAATACAAAAATTAGCCAGGTGTGGTGGCATGTGCCTATAATCCCAGCTACTCGGGAGGCTGAGGCAGGAGAATTGCTTGAAACCAGGAGGCGGTGGTTGCAGTGAGCTGAGATTGCCCTACTGCACTCCAGCCTTGGTGACAGAGGCAGACTCTGTCTCAAAAAACAAACAAACAAAAAACAACAATAAAAACTGGGTTGCAGGCTGGGCGCAGTGGCTCACGCCTATAATCCCAATACTTTGGGAGGCCAAGGTAGGCAGATCACGAGGTCAGGAGTTCGAGACCAGCCTGGCCAACATGGTGAAACTCCGTCTCTAATAAAAATACAAAAATTAGCCAGGTATGGTGGCGGGTGCCTGTAATCCCAGCTACTGGGGAGGCTGAGGCAGGAGAATCGCTTGAACCCTGGAGGCAGAGGTTGCAGTGAGCCGAGATCGTGCCACTGCACTCCAGCCTTGGACTCCGTCTCAAAAAAAAGAAAAACAAAACAACAACAACAAAAACAAACAAACAAAAACCTGGACTGCAGTCCAAAAAGTTGGAAATAAATGACATCCTTATATTACACTCATCACATTTCACCAAAAAATCCTTAAAACGCTGCACTTTTAACAATCGCTTAAAATGTAGAAGTCATGAAACCTTATAATACTGTAGTACTTCTATGCATTTACGTTAAAGAACTTAACAGCAACCACAAGTGATTTTACTCTATGTAGTTAAATACCCTCATTTCATAAAATGATGTAATATTTTTTCTAGCAAGTGCTAATAAAGCAGCAAGACCTATTTCTGGCTTGAAAAATCGCCTGCTGAATGACAACTTCTGAGACATGAAAATCTTAAGGATTGTTAAGGACTGAATGTGTCCCCCAAAATCTCTATGTTGAAGCCCTAACCCCATTGTAATGGTGTCTGGAGGCAGGGTCTTTAGGAGGTAATTAGGTTTAAGCAAGGTCATGAGGGTGGGGCCCCCCATGATGAAGTTCACGGAGAGAGACTACAACTCTCTCTCCACTACGTGGGGACACAGCGAGAAGGCGGCTCTCTGCAAGCCAGGGAGTGAACATTCACTGGAAACTGAATTTGCTGGCACCTTGATCTTGGACTTCCAGCCTCCAGAACAGTGGGAAATAAATGTCTATAGTTTAAGCCATCCAGCCTATGATATTTTGTTATAGCAGTCTGAGCTAAGACAAAGATTTAACAATAGGCACCTAGCTCATCAAAAGAGTTTACACAAAGGCCTTAAAATATCACCCTAAGTTTAATTCTTTACTGGATTATTATCTGCTAATTGAATTATTTTGTGCTGAAAACATCCTAAGTGAAAGAAGCCGGTCACAAAGGACCGCATACAGGGTGTGTTTTGGTTAATATCCTTTAACCAAAATGCTGGGGACCCGGAGCATTTCAGATGTTGGATTCATTCAGATTTTTAAATATTTATGTTATATTTACCTGTTTAGCATCCTTCCTAATCTGGAAATCCAAAATCCAAAATGCTCCAATGAGCATGTATTTCCTTTGCATGCCACGCTGGAGCTCAGGAAGTTTCAGATTTGAAGCATTTTAGATTATCGGATTAAGGATGCTCAACCTGTACTGCATGATTCCATTCATATGAAACGTCCAGAATAGGCAAATCTACAGAGACAGAAAGTAGATCTGTGGCTGCCAGGCTCTGGAGGGTATGGAGGTTGTGGGGTGATGGCTAAGAGGTGCGGGCCTTTTTTTTGGGTGATAAAAATGTTCTAAAATTAACTGTGGCGGTGGATGTAACTGACAAGTCGGTGAAGGTACTGAAGCCACTGAATTGTATCCTTGAAATGGATGAATTGTACGCTGTGTGAATTAGATCCTTTTTTTTTTTTTTTTTTGAGACAGAGTCTCACTCTGTCACCCAGGCTGGAGTGCAGTGGCGCAATCTTGGCTTACTGCAGCTTCTGCCTCCCGGGTTCAAGTGATTCTTCTGCCTCAGCCTCCCAAGTGGCTGAGACTACGGGCATGCGCCACCACGCCCAGCTAATTTTTCTATTTTTAGTAGAGACGGGGTTTCACCATATTGGCCAGGCTGGTCTCAAACTCCTGATCTTGTGATCTGCCCGCCTCGGCTTCCCAAAGTGCTGGGATTATAGGCGTGAGCTACCGCACCCGGCCTATCCCAAGTCATTTAAAAAATTATTTTGTACTGAATATATCTTGTGCCTATTATTAAATTAGAATCTACTAATTTGTTTCCACTTCCTAAGGTTTCCAACCCATGCTAATGAAAGATAGAAAGATGAGAATGTTTTAATACAACCATTGCCAGACCCAGGAGTTACCTGTAGTTCTTGGTACAGTCTTTTTAACTCCACCGCCGCTGGTCCCGTCAATTTGCCATTGTAAGACTGGAACCCATTCAGTTTTCCTTTCTTTAAATCTTCCAATTGCTGACTAAGCTGATCAACCCTTAAAATTGCAGTCTGTACTTCCTGCTTCTTTTCCTGGAACATGGCACTGAACCTTTCTATTTCAGCAGCTATAATTGACCACACAAGAAAAGAATAAAAGATTTAGTTGATCCTTTTTTTTTTTCATTTCTATACACTGAACTTAATTCTAGTATCATTTAGTGCCAGACCGTGGAGAAAGCTGTGATATGCAGAATCCACAACACATTTCAAAAAGCCTTTGGGACACATGTATCTGATTACTCATAAAGCAAACAATTATATTTGCATTAATTCCCGACTATTCTTTAGGGTAATCAGTCCATAAGCTAGTTTGTTCAAGTGACTTAGAAATCTCTGAGACCAAAGGTTTTGTGAAGGCAGGGCCATCCAAGCCTCTCTCGTGCATCACTGTGACTTAAAGTAGGCACAGACTGAACCAATGAATAAAATAAGAGTTCATACAGAAAAAAAGTGAGCATCAGCATAACTTATCTTAATGCACGGATACAAGTTAAGTTATTCAAGAAAAACAGACCCTCTGAATGAGTAAGTCTTGGAGCGCCCCACCCTAATCCAAAGGGCCGCTGGTACCAACGTAACAAGAGGATTTTTCTACTGCGTCTGAGGGCCGCAAGAGATCTTTTTATTTTTTTTTGAGACAGGGTCTCATTGTCATTCAGGCTGGGGAGCACTGGCCGGATCGTGGCTTACTGCAGCCTTGACCTCCCAGGCTCAAGCAATCCTCCCACCTCAGCCTCTCAAGTAGCTGGGACTACACAATTTTAAGATCACTTAACCTAACCCACCCATCCTTTTAGATGCAAATAACAGAGCAAAACTTGAGCACGCTTGCTATTTAGTCCTGTGAATTTGTGACTGAATTGTCAGGCAGTTAGACTATGTTTCACTGGATCTGGGCCTGGTGAGAGTGGTGTCGAGGGGGTGTTGCAGGCACGTACACAGATTGCCGTTCATGATTTTGCTGTAGTCGACTTGTCCTCTCATTGCACGAATTTTCTTCAGCTTGTTCTCCTGGGCTTCAACTCGTTCTTTCAATTTCTGAAGCTTTTCATTTTCAGAAATAGACTGCTGCTGACGGCGCTCCTGTTGCTTTAGAAAATGTAAACGCTGTTCCTAACAAAAGAAAGAAAAATGTAACTTTGAAAATTGAAGGCTGGGCGCGGTGGCTCACATCTGTAATTCCAGCACTTTGAGAGGCTGAGGTAGGTGGATCACCTGAGGTCAGGAGTTCGAGACCAGCCTGGCCAACATGGTGAAACCCTGTCTCTACTAAAAATACACAAAGTAACTGGGCGTGGTGTGCGCCTGTAGTCCCAGCTACTTGGGAGGCTGAGGCAGAAGAATCGCTTGAAACCAGGAGATGGAGGTTGCAGTGAGCTGAGATCGTGCCACTGCACTCCAGCCTGGGTGCCAGAGTGAGACTCAGTCTCAAAAAAAAAAAAAAAAAAAAAAAAATTGAAACTTATGATTACTTTTATATACTCAAAAAGAAAAATGTGAGAGTATTCTACAGTATCACTCATCTTAAAGAATACTAAAACACTAGAGGAATCTTATATCAGACCATAAAAAACTGAAATTACTGGGCGTACCTAAGTATGAAATAGTAAGAGCTGCGGGATTTTTAAGAGAGAGGGTTTTCTTTTTCTTCTTTTTTTTTTCTTTTGAGACGGAGTCTCGCTCTGTTGCCCAGGCTGGAGTGCAGTGGCATGATCTCGGCTCACTGCAAGCTCTGCCTCCCGGGTTCACACCATTCTCCTGACTCAGTCTACCGAGTAGCTGGGACTACAGGCGCCCACCACCATGCCCAGCTAATTTTTTTGTATTTTTTTAGTAGAGACAGGGTTTCACTGTGTTAGCCAGGATGGTCTCGATCTCCTGACCTCGTGATCCACCCGCCTCGGCCTCCCAAAGTGCTGGGATTACAGGCGTGAGCCACCGCGCCCGGTGAGAGAGGGTTTTATTACACTCATCTACACCAGTTAATATAAGCGCTTCTGCAGAAAACCTTCCAGCAGGAGAACATGCACTAACACAGTCTCCTCTTCACTCTATCACATCCGTGATGTTCCAGTGAGCCTTACTTTCCTGGTGCAAGTAATACATTTCCTGCTGCTACAAAGTGGCTTCCAAGAATCTAATTCATTTCCTAAAGGAAATGAACACTGACCAGCAGAGAATTTTACACTGAAAAGAGATAAAGGTGATCAGTAAAGAGATAAATCTTCAATTTGTTGTGATACTGAACAATCAAGGAAGTGTCTGCTTCTTCAGGATTATTTTCTTCAATAAGGAAACATTTTAGAGTCAAACAATACCAGAACAATCTAAAAATAACAATATATGCAACATTCTTCAATAGGGTTTTCCCTATTAATGTGAAAACATACCTTAAAGAGTCAACATTAAGTATTCATGATCCCATATGTATGCATAAAATACACCTACATAGGGAGAGGTTTAAGGTGTGATTATGAAGGCACTACATACTACACTCTAAGGTAAAACAATATGTGCTTAAATATTTAAGATGTAGCATTAACTTGTGATTCACATTACTGAAAATATCTATAACTATTTTGAACAGCAATACTCTTGGATCAATATTTGGAAAAAAATAAAAAGCAGAATTAGAAAATTTTTACAATGACATAATACTATGTATATTTTATCTTAGAAATCTTATTAATGGGATAAAGTACTTTCCAATTGAACTTAACTTTTAATCATTTTCTCATAAATCCAATAAATATTGAGACAACTTTTTAAAACAAGTCCAACCCAAATTATTATTTACATAAAAGTGGATAGTACAATGAAGTATATACAGTCATTCAATAAATTTTAAAAAATCAGATTGGACATTTTAGTCATAAAGAAAATCTCTCTACAGAAGAAAGCAATAAGAACCTAGTTGGTAATGTTTAAATGTTATCTTTAAAGCCAGTTTGGAATTTTTTTTTCTTTTTTTTTTTCATTTTGAGACAGAGTCTTGCTCTGTCACCCAGGCTGCAGTGCAATGGCGCGATCTCAGCTCACTGCAACCTCCACCGCCGGCTTCAAGAGATTCTCCTGCTCAGCCTGAGTGGCTGGGATTACAGGCGTTAGCCACTACATCTGGCTAATTTTTGTATTTTTAGTATAGACAGGGTTTCACCATGTTGGCCAGGCTGGTCTCGAACTCCTGACCTCAGATGATCCACCTGCCTCGGCCTCCCAAAGTGCTGGGATTACAGGTATAAGCCACCACGCCCGGCCAGTTTCAGAATATTTTAAGATCATTTACAACATGAATCATTTCCAGCAGGCATGTGTGATACATCTGATGTTTCAATTAAATATGACTAAACCATTACTTAGAAAGATTCGAGTTTCAATAACCAGTGTAGAACTCAGTATATATAATAAGCATTATCTATACTCCGCACTGTAATAAACCAAACAAGTCCAGCCTAGAGTAGCACATGGGGAAGCCCCGTTAACCACCTGTCATTGTCTTCGTGGCCCTGATCAGTGTTTTCATCACGGATTGCTGCTTTCTTCTTGAACATTAATACCAATGACACAGCCAAGAACATACCCAGAGGCAAAAGGAGATAACAAAAGCACCCTTTCTTCCCGATTTCTTTGTTTTTTTTTTCTTTTGAGATGGAGTCTCGCTCTGTTGCTCAGGCTAGAGTGCAGTGGCACAATCTCGGCTCACTGCAAGCTCTGCCTCCTGGGTTCACACCATTCTCCCGCCTGAGCCTCCCGAGTAGCTGGGACTACAGGCGCCCGCCACCAAGCCTGGGTAATTTTTTTTAAATATTTTTAGTAGAGACGGAGTTTCACCATGTTAGCCAGGATGGCCTCAATCTCCTGACCTTGTGAGCCGCCCACTTTGGCCTCCCAAAGTGCTGGGATTACAGGAGTGAGCCACTGCACCCAGCCTTTTTTTTTTTTTTTAATACAGGGTCTCACTTACTCTGTCACCCAGGCTGGAATGCAGTGGCATGATCTTGGCTCACTGCAACCAACTCCTGGGCTCAAGTGATCCTCCTGCCTTAACCTCCCATGTAGCTGGGACCACAGCCACATGCCACCATGCCTAATTTTTACTTTTTGTAGAGACAGGGTCTCACTATGTTTCCCAGGCTGGTCCTGAACTCCTGGGCTCCAGCAATCCTCCTGCCTTGGCCTCCCAGAGTGCTGGGATTACAGGCAGGAGCCACTGTGCCTGGCCCCTTTCCAAATTTTATCTATGATTTTAATAAGGTCATCAGTTTCCTGTTTGGGGTGTCTATTGTATGTGTCAAAAGTGAGATGCTCTTGTTCTGATAGCTTCCCAACTTCCAGAAACTACAGTATGCATATATTATTATGGAAGTGATAACAAAGAGAGAAAGACTGCATTTAGCACTCCTATGGCATGGTCCTATTTTATAAGCGTTACCCAAGAATATATTAACCCCAGTCTAAAATGATGGTTAAAGAAGGTACTTTTTGAACAATGTTTCAATACCTCTTTTTATAACTTACCTTGGCAACCAACATCTGCTGCTGATTTTCAATCTGCTGCTGTTGCCTAGCTGCCATATCTTGGAGCTCTGAGAGGGTAAGTTCAACACGTGGATTCCCAACCTAAACAAAAAGCACTTATTTTGGAACATAAGTTTATCTGCATAATTGTCTGTCTCTAGTGTCAAAACTCACACATATCAGGACTTTAGATAGGATCCCTAGTAGTGAGGAGAGTACCAACTAGTTTATTTTCTTGTAAGAACTTTTCCTAATTGTTGACTGCTTTTATGAAATATAAATAACTGTTTTTCTAATGCATAAACATCAGATACCGTATTTAGTAAGGGCTCAAGTTTAAGCAAACATTTGCAAATGTGTATTATGAGTGACATTCCTCCTTCTGGAATGACAATTTAGTAGGTATATTTGAGCAAATGGGGCTGTCAAATGTTTAAGGATACACAACCAAAAATATAAATATGCAGGTAACGCCTAAGAACAAATGTCATCTCACTATCACCTGATCTCAGGAAATGAAAATACGTAACAGATTCTAATATATGAATAACTCACTAAAAACACCATATGCATGACTTACATGAAGAACACATCATCCGAGAGAATTACATATGTGAAATCAACATGCAAAGTAACATCTAGATGAATGCAGTTGGCTGTTTCTCCATTCTCCAATCTCTGTCAATGATGCCCTGAACTAAACACTTTACATATATGACCCATTTCGGCCTCAGAATGACCAATGAGGTGGGTACTGTTACATCCCTGTTTTACAGATAAGAAAACAAGCACAGGGCAGTCAGCTTGCGAGGCAAAGCAGAGACACAGAGTCTATGTTCTCGACTGTTCCTCACAGTTCATTACTTACTAAGCCCACACCACGTGCACTGTGTACTGTGACAGACATGCTATGAGCATTGTGCCATATGCTCTTCAAAACAAATCTGCATGGGGTTGTGGGGGTTATGTGAGCCCCCACTCTGGGTGAGGAGCTATGGGGGTGAGGGGAAGGAGCATGCCTAGAGGCACGCAGCTCATTAAAGCCCTAGAGCTCCATTCTCACAAGCCCATCTCCAAACCCTTCAGTTCTGAGCAGGGAGGCCACACAGTTCCTCCTCAAGCTCCCACGTTCTACTTCTAGGTTCATATATACTCTTAGGATACCTTCACCTTCTGCCACCCTTAAACCTCTTATAATTCTTAATAGTCAGTTACAGTTCCTGTTCCTCCAGCTCCATGTCTTCCCAAACTTTTATGATGTTTGAGCACATTCTTGACTCTTGAAACATGGGATCAGGATTTAACAGTCTTTTTTTTTTTTTTTCTTGAGACGGAGTCTCGCTCTGTCACCCAGGCTGGAGTGCAGTGGTGTGATCTTAGCTCACTGCAACCTCCGCCTCCTGGGCTCAAGCAATTCTCCTGCCTCAGTCTCCCGAATAGCTGGGACTACAGGTGCCCACCACCACACCCGGCTAATTTTTGTTATTTTTAGTAGGGACAGGGTTTCACCATATTGGCCAGGCTGGTCTTGAACTCCTGACCTCGTGATCTGCCTGCCTTGGCCTCCCAAAGTGCTGGGATTACAGGCATGAGCCACCGCGCCCGGCTGGATTTAACAGTCTTAACTGGAACCACCATTCTGTTTATCTAAAAATCCTGAAAAAGCAATACGGTACAAGATTTTTTTTTTTTTTTTTTTTAATTTAGAGACTGAATCTCACTCTGTCACCCAGGCTGGGGTACAGTGGTGCAATCACTGCAGCCTTAAGCTATCCTCTCGCCTAGCTAGGACTACAGGCACAAGCCACCATGCCTGGCTGATTTTTAAAATTTTTTGTAGAGGCAGGGGTCTCACCATGTTGCCTGTGCTGGCCTCAATCTCCTGGGCTCAAATGATCCTCCCACCTAGGCCTCCCAAAGCGCTGGGATTACAGGTGTAAGCCACTGTGCCCAGACTTAAACACTTTTTGACTAGAGTAAAACTATGTCTATTCAACAAATCTTTCAATTAACATTAATTTTATAATTTCACAACTTGAAGAAAAAAAAAAATCAAAAACTACCTTTCTGGTCTCCCCCACCAAAGGCTTCACAAAACAATGAAAAGAGGATAGAAGAGAAATTTAACTGTCTGGTGTTCTGATGTTTATATCTATGAATAAGATAGAGCTTATTAAAATATTTTACTTACCTAAACCAAAAAGTATTTTATTTGCCAATACATACATTTATACTCTTTATGTTGCGTGTGTTTTTCTAAGTACAAAATTAAGATACGCCATCTTGTCATAGGTAATTCATTGTATCTTATACATCAACTTATAATGTAATGAAATTTTATGGAAGATCTTACATATAGAAAGGTGTAATAAATCATTATGTACAGCTGAATGAATTATTTCAAAGTGAATATGCCTGTGTGATTTAATTGTATTTAAATGGGTTATAAAAACATAAGCTACCATAAACCTGTAAGTCAACAAATATGTAACAATTTACATTTCAGTAATTGTGCAATGTGAAAATTTGGGAAAAAAGAAGCACTTTTTCCACAATTTCAAAGAAAATGAAAACTCTTCAATGCAAACTGGATTTTTTAATAATAGGCCTATCACTGTATTACATGCAAACTATCCCTACTTACAATTTTAAATTTTTTATACAAACTCAATTTATTCAAACAAACCTATTACCTAATTCTTCCCTATTTCTCTTCATTGATTGCATCTAATAAGAAGAAGTCAAACCCTGTTCCCTCAGGCAATTCAAGGTCCCTAATTATGGTAGAGTTGTCGGATGAGTTCAGCTCCAGGTCACACAGTGCACAAGCCACTTCCAACAACTAAGTTAAATTAGCAGAAAAGTTTTCTCAGCAACAGTCAGGCAGGTGCCTACAAATACGGGACCCCCAAAAAGGAAACATCCCACCAGCCTTAAACCTGCTCCGATGATCCCTTCGGCAGGGACTACCACCTGTGGCCCCAGGGATCCAGATCTCCTCCAACACCGATGTTCACTACCTGAACTCTGGGTTCCAGGAACACTGTTTCTGCTACTCATGAACCCAGCTCACTCTCCAGCCTCACGGCAACATCACTTGTTTTCCACAATAAACACGGCCCACCCCGCCTCAGGTCTAGCTAGCCTCCCACCCTGACCCCAGCATGAGCAGAGGGAAATAGTTTTTATTATCACTTATCTGATCATATCACTGCCTTCTTTCTCCAAACTTCCACAAATCTACTTGCAGAAATAAGAGACTTCATTAGCTGGCTTACAAAATTTTTATAAACAAAATATTTGTCTCTCCAAATATTAGTAATAAGGCTAGTCTTACATTCTATTTAATGTACTATTGAAATATTTTGCTAATATGTGGCCACGCATGATGGCTCACGGCTATAATCCCAGTTCATGAGTTTCAGACCAGCCTGGACAACACGGTGAAACCTCATCACTACAAAATACACAAAAATTAGCCAGGAATGGTAGCGGGCACCTGTAGTCCCAGTTACTTGGGAGGATGAGGTGGAAGGAACGCTTGAGCCTGGGAGGTTGAGAATGCAGTGAGCTGTGACTGCACCACTGCACTCCAGCCTAGGGAACAGAGCAAGACCCTATATTTAAAAAAAAAAAAAAAAAAAAAAAAAGAATTTTGCTATGTGCCAAAAAGTAGTAAAGACTACAATTTTACCTATGAACAGAGGAATTCATCATATTACATACCTTATCCAATACCTGTCCAGTTAATGACTCTTCATTATTGCAGTTCTTGAAAAACTATGCCATTTCTTTTTCGTATAATTAGTCTTTCACCTAGAAGCACTACATAGGCCGGGCGCTGTGGCTCACACCTGTAATCCCAGCGCTTTGGGAGGCCAAGGTGGGCGGATCACGAGGTCAGGAGTTCAAGACCAGCCTGGCCAACATGGTGAAACACTGTCTCTACTAAAAATACAAAAAATTAGCCGGGCATGGTGGCAGGTGCCTGTAATCCCAGCTACTCGGGAGGCTGAGGCAGGATAATCGCTTGAACCCAGGAGGCGGAAGTTGCAGTGAGCCAAGACCGTGCCACTGCACTCCAGCCTGGGCAACAGAGCAAGACTCCATCTCAAAAAAAAAAAAAGAAAAAGAAAAAAAAAGAAACACTAAATAATGCTCTATAAGGAGTGGTATTTTGACATTACAATTTCAGGCAAATATACATACTAATTTAGTCAACCCAATTGTTCCTAGTCAGAGAACAGACTCTGGTACAGATTTGAATTTTGTGTCATGCTTGGATAAACCCAAAATATTCTGCTTTTGCTTGGCATACATATGCCAAGTGCCTCAGAGGCAGGGGAGCATCTTCGACGCCTGTTTTGTTGTGCACATGTGCTGGCTCTACCTGCTCTGAAGTGCTCTCTTGTTTAGCTTTTGTGACCCTGAAGTGCTTTCCTGTCCTATAACTTTATTTTTATTATAAGTTCAGTCACAGTGCAATCTCCCCAAACAGCATCATCATAACCCAGAGAAGAGAGAGAACATGTATATGTTTAAAGGAGCTAAGCTACAGCATAAACGATGGAGGTTTAACTATGAATGGTGCTTTTTCCTTCAATGCCTAACATACATTCCTTTGTGATTACAAAATCAGTTAATAGAAAAGACTAGTGGATTTTGTCAGCAATTAAACATCTACTGGCAAATGGGTCACTTCAGATGTCCCTAATCTTGATATGCTGATTTTAATATTCAGCCAAATTACTTCATTATGGTTATAATAGGCAAGAACATCTCACATCGGGGTCTGTTGTGGGGTGGGGGGAGGGGAGAGGGACAGCATTAGGAGATACACCTAATGTTAAATGACGAGTTAATGGGTGCAGCACACCAACATGGCACATGTATACATACGTAACAAACCTGCATGTTGTGCACATGTACCCTAAAACTTAAAGTATTAAAAAAAAAAAAAAAGAATGTCACCATAATAATATTTGGAATAGGCAGCCACTGCTGCAGCCTCTGGAAGCCTGAAAAACGGGAACCAAGAGCAAGAGAACGACTCAGTCCCTGGGTGTCGGCGGTGGCCGTGGGGGTGAGACGGATGGGGGTGGAGGCGCTGCTGCTGTGGGGGCAGGTGGTGGCGGCGGCCGCCCGCTCCAGCCATGCTGAATAAAAACAGGAAGGAGAAAGAATCACCAAAAGCAGGGAAGAGTGGAAAAAGTTCAAAAGAAGGACAAGACACAGTGGAATCAGAGCAAATTTCCATCAGGACAAACAGCCTTGTTGCTGTCCCCGTCTACAGTATCTGCTAAATAAAAGTACCAGCCTCTCAGCCCATAGTGAAGAAAGACAAACGGCAAAATTCTTCAAGGTTTAGTGCAAGCAATAATAGAGAACTTCAAAAACTACCATCCTTAAAAGATTCGTTGTCACCAGCACTTTGTGAAGGTTCCTGGGGTGGCCTGCAGCAGCTTTTCCCGCAGCTCCCTCACACTGCCACCTTATGACAGGGATAATGAGATGGACCCGGATTTCAGAAACAATAAAATGTGGAATGTGTCCATGAAATAGGGTTGAAAGGTTGACTTGGAACTCAGTGGGCCTGTTGCTTTTCTCTATGAAACGTCTGTAGCTTCTTAGCACAGTGCGTCCATTTAGAAAGGGGGGTCTGTTAACTAGTACATGGTCATTGTTTAATGCACCTTTTAATCTCTTCCTTATCAGTGGCGGTTATGTCTCCTTATAAGTTCATTTATTCTTTTGACTGTTCTGTTTGTGTTCAGTATTATTCATCTGTACTTTTATCTTTAATTATCCTATGTCTTTTATTTTAACCTTTTCTTCATTTATTAAGTTGAATAGAGAGTTGACTTATTTTTAGTTTGCTTTTTAATAATAAAAGAATTTAAAGCCACGTATTCATTCTGAGTATAACTTTCAGCCCTATCCCTAGATTTTATTTTTTCCTTAACTTTTCGAGTCACAGGCTTTTCTTTTTTAGAGTTAACTGAGGCATAATTTACATATCCTAAAATTCACCCATTGTAACTGGAAAATTTAGTTATTTTAGCAAATACATAGAGTTGTGCAACCATCACCACAACTCTGTTTTAGAATGTTTCCATCTGCCTCCAAAAGTTACCTCATGCCATTCACCATTAATTTCCACTCTGGGCCCCAGCTGCAGGCACCCACTGATCTGCTTTCTGTCTCTAGACTTACTTTCTTCCGGACGCTTCATATAAGTGAAGTCATACCATAGGTAGTCTTTCACACCTGCTGTGAGGTTTTTGAGGTTCATCTGTGTTGAGTGGTTTCTTTTTAATGCTGCATCATATTCAGTCAGATGGATACACCACAATTTGTTTATCCATTCACCAGTTAATGGACATTTGGGCTATTTCTTAGCTGGTATGAGTAACAGTGCTGCTGTGCACATTTGCATAGAAGTCTGTGCGAGCAGATATTTCATTTCTCTTGAGTAGATACCTAGGAGTGGAATTCCTGGCTTGTATGGTGAGTTTATGTTTAGCTTTTTAAAAGACTGCCAAACTGTTCTCCAAAGCGATTGCACTATTTTACATTTCCACCAGCAATGGACACCAGTGTGTCCACATTCTTGCTAATATTTGTCTTTTTGCTTATAGCTTAATTCTTGTGGATGTGTAATGGTGTCTCACTGTGGTTTCAATTTGCGTTTCCCCAATGACTGGAAATGTTAAGCATCTTTTCATATGCCTGTTAGCCACTTGTCTCTCTTCTTTGATGAGATGTCTATTTTTAAGTTGGTTGTCTTCTTCTTGTTGAATTGTAACAGTATGTTATCCCAGATATGAGTCCTTTATCAGAAAATACAATGAAAATAAATTATTATAGAAGTACAAAATACATCCACAATGTTAATTATTGTAGTCAGTAGACATAAAATTACCCTGTTAAGTTGATATGAAAGTTTCAAAATGCTTATTCTCAATTTCTGTTATTCATTGCAAATCTTCAGATTTGTCTATATGTGTTAAACATTTCTTTTGAGCTTTTAATTTCAGGGTTTTTTTTTCATTTGTGAAAGTTCTGTTTGGTTCCTTTTTCGGTCTGCAGTGCCATTTTAAAATATTTTCCTATTCTCTTGAACATACCAACAAAACTTGTCATTTATTTAAATAAAGTAAATACAGCTGTTTTTTTTTGTTGTTGTTTGAGATGGAGTCTCGCTCTGTCGCCCAGGCTGGACTGCAGTGGCGGATCTCGGCTCACTGCAAGCTCTGCCTCCCGGGTTCATGCCATTCTCCTGCCTCAATCTCCCGAGTAGCTGGGACTACAGACGCCCGCCACCACGCCCGGCTAATCTTTTGTATTTTTAGTAGAGATGGGGTTTCACCGTGTTAGCCAGGATGGTCTCGATCTCCTGACCTCGTGATCCGCCCGCCTCGGCCTCCCAGAGTGCTGGGATTATAGGCGTGAGCCACTGTGCCCGGCCAACACAGCTGTTCTATAGCCTGTGTCAGGTCATACCAGTATCTGAGGTGTTTGTCACATTTTGTTCGTGATGTCTTATTTCCTTGTGCACGTGATTTTTAAAAATTGTATACTGGTCATTGTATTCAGATTATTTGAAATAAACTGTAACCTAGAATCAAAAAAATATATATTATTTGGAATAAAAAATTCCCTAAGCTTTCAAGCTCCAGTGAGATGACATGAAATAGTTCAACAGTTTCATGCTCGTTCCTTTTTGCACTTAGTTTATAGGAGAACACACCTTGCCAAAACATCCACTTCTGGCCTCTCTCCACCAAACTCCTCTCTCTCCTTCCAAGCCTGGCTTCCTCCCTAAATTCCCTATTTCTATGAATGGCTCTCGCCTTTTTCCAGAAGCCTCAGCAGCAACATCTTTGATTGAGCCATCCTTGCCCTAAATAAAGGCTGCTGCTCGAAAGTGCTCTTCATGACCTCCCACATCTGTGCTTGCCACTCCGTTCTAGAACCAACACTTTCCTGTGAGCATATTTCACTCATGCTCTTCCCGCTGCCCACAGTGCCCTTCCCCCACTGCTTCCTAAACTCTGCCTATCACTTAAGACCTAGGAGGCAATGCCATCTGCTTCCTGAAGTTCTTCCTGATTCTTTAAGGACTCTCTCATACCATTGTTTTGATATTCAGGATGTTTATTCACTTTCAGAGATGGGAAGAACTCAGTACTTTTTAAAATGAATTCTTGAATTCATTCTAGAGATTCAGCAATTAACATGTAATGAATGCCTGCTGCATATCAGACATTTACATATACCCAAGTTTACAGTTGTCTTAGATGATGCTTACAAAAACTCTCGGAGGAAATTTTTATTTTATTATTATTATTATTATTATTATTATTATTATTATTTTGAGACGGAGTCTAGCTCTGTCGCCCAGGCTTGAGCGCAGTGGCGCCATCTCGGCTCACTGCAACCTCCACCTCCTGGGTTCAAGCGATTCTCCTGCCTCAGCCTCCCGAATAGCTGGGACCACAGACGTATGCCACCATGCCCAGCTAATTTTTTGTATTTTTAGTAGAGATGGGGTTTCACCATGTTATCCAGGATGGTCTTGATCTCCTGACCTCATGATCCACCCACCTCGGCTTCCCAAGGTGCTGGGATTACAGGCGTCATCCACCGTGCCTGGCCCCTAGGAGGAAAATTCTTAAGCTTATTTTATAGGTGAGAAAGCTAAGGCTCTGGGCAGCTGGTTGACTGGCTTTCCCACGCTTAAGTGTCAGGTCAGTAGCAGTGCCAGGATCCTAGCCACATCTCCTGACAGCAAGCAGGCACTCTTTCCATCACATGGGAGGTGATGCCCTCACCACCTGGCTGCAGCTTGGTATCCGTGGTTGCTCCTAATCAACAGCCATTTATTATGTCAAAGGGTAAACACGCTACCAGACACCATGAAGACATCTTAATAATCTAAATCATATGAAAATACTGCTTTTTTGTTTGTTTTTTTCAGACAAGAGTCTCGCTCTGTCACCAGCTAGAGTGCAGTGGCGCTATCTCAGCTCACTGCAACTTCCGCCTCCTGGGTTCAAGCGATTCTCCTGCCTCAGCCTCCCAAGTAGCTGGCACTACAAGTGCGTGCCATCACGCCCAGCTAATTTTTGTATTTTTAGTAGAGATGGGTTTCACCATGTTGGCCAGGATGGTCTCGATCTCTTGACCTCATGATCCGCCAGATCAAAAAATGATCAAACATCAACAATTTCACATAGTTCGAACTAATGGGAAAGGATTAATTTCTCCCCCTTGAAAAACATAAAAGTTACTTGATTCAAGAATAAAACAATTTTAAAACTAAGATAAAGGCAATAATGAGAACTCTATAGGCAACTCTTTATTTTTGGAAGATTATGAGAAGTGACCAAATAGACCTAATGTCACCTGCCCAATGACCCGAAGGGCTTTGGAGTGGAAGGATCACTTGAGGCCAAAAGTTCAAAGCCAGCCTGGGCAACATATGAGACACCATCTCTACAAAAAAATTTAAAAATTGCTGGGCATGGTGGTGCACACCTCTAGTACCAGCTACTTTGGAGGCTGAGGTGAGAGGACTGCTTGAGCCCGGGGTTCCAAGCTGCAGTGAACTATGATTGCACCACTGTACTCCAGCCTAGGCAACAGAGCGAAACCCTGTCTCTTTAAAATAAATAAATAAGAACTGAAAATCTATAAATTACCATTTAGAAGAAAAACTGGATGCCTTTTCTGCTTGTATCACCATACCCTTGAAACTGTATTTTCAAATACTTCCTTTGAAAGTCTCTGAGATTCCAGGAGTTGTGACACCATTGCAAAGCACAGCAAACAATGACCTCACAAGGCTCGTCTCCAGTCTCATTCCCGTCCTGCTCTTTATCTCCCACTGCTGATATATAATTCTTGCAGGCCAGCACCACAGAGATCTTTCTAAAACACAGCTTGCTTAAAATCCCACAAGATTAATCTGAGCTCTTAGCATGGTGAAGACCTGGCCTCTCCCAGGCTGGTCCTCTTGCTCTCGCTCTCCTCCCTCTCCGTGTCCCCTCTCAGTGTCTCCTCCCCCTTGCCTGTCCCTACACTTCATGCTGCACAGTCCTGTTTATAACTCTCTGTCACCATACAGTTTCATGTCTATTCCTCTGTATCTTTGTGGAATCCTCTGATTCTTTCTTTTGGGAAGTATTGCCCAACATCAATCTTGATAAAGTTAATCATACCCCTTTATTTTGGTGCCTTATTCCACTTTTACTACACTTTTCATACTAGCATGATTTGTTCACACATCTGTCTCCAAAAATGCCCTTTCTTTCTCTATAAAATCTGAGAGGAGACTTCAGGTGGCCTCCACTAACCATCTTGCTTTTGTGTCTTTATTCTGTCTACAATTAAAATAAGTTGCATAGAATTGTTTTAAAAATAATAGAGAAATTCTAAGCCTCCGTGGTAGTCACCTGAGTGTCTTCTTTTTTTTTTTTTTGAGATGGAGTCTCACTCTGTCACCCAGGCTGGAGTGCAGTGGCACAATCTCGGTTCACTGCAACCTCCGCCCCCCGGGGTTCAAGTGATTCTCCTGCCTCAGCCTCCCGGATAGCTGGGATTACAGGCACCCATCACCACGCCCAGCTAATTTTTGTATTTTTATTATTATTATTATTTTTTGAGATGGAGTCTTGCTCTGTCGCCAGGCTGGAGTGCAAGTGGTGCCATCTTGGCTCACTGCAACCTCCGCCTCCCAGGTTCAAGCAATTCCCCTGCCTCAGCCTCTCGAGTAGCTGGAACTACAGGCGTGCGCCACCACGCCCGGCTAATTTTTTTTGTATTTTAGTAGAGACAGGGTTTCACCATATTGGCCAGGATGGTCTCAATCTCCTGACCTTGTGATCCGCCTGCCTCAGCCTCCCAAAGTGCTGGGATTACAGGCGTGAGCCACTGCACCAGGCCTAATTTTTGTATTTTTAGTAGCGACAGGGTTTCACCATATTGGCCAGGATAGTCTCAATCTCCTGACCTTGTGATCTGCCTGCCTGCCTCAGCCTCCCAAAGTGCTGGGATTACAGGCATGAGCCACTGCACCAGGCCTAATTTTTGTATTTTTAGGAGAGATGGGGTTTCACCATGCTGGCCAGGCTGGTCTCAAGCTCCTGACTTCACTGATCCACCCTCCTTGGCCTCCCAAAGTGCAGGATTACAGGTGTGAGCCACCCTGCCCAGCTCTCAGTATCTCTTTAAACTGTACATGTTTTATACATGTACATATATTTCTGTGTATATATTTCACAATAAAGAATAGAAAAAAATTAGACCAAATGTCTAGTATCTTATCTTGTAATTTAATCATCACAAGATTTAAAAAGACTATAAATATTTTTAGCAGTTTACAGAAAATGTCTTTAAATTTGTCTTTGTTTTACTTCCACACTGCACTGATCTTTTTTCTTTCTGTTTTTTGAGATGGAGTCTCGCTCTGTCACCCAGGCTGGAGTGCAGTGGTGCGATCTTGGCTCACCGCAACCTGTGCCTCCTGGGTTCAAGCAATTCTCCTGCTTAAGCCTCCCGAGTAGCTGGGATCACAGGTGCGTGCCACCATGCCAGGCTAATATTTGTATTTTTTTTTTAGTAGAGACGGGGCTTTACCATGTTGGCCAGGCTTGTCTCAAACTCCTGGCCTCAAGTGATCTGCCCGCCTCAGCCTCCCAAAGTGCTGGGATTACAGGTGTGGGCCACTGTGCTTGGCCTACACTGATGTATTTTAAAATTTTTTTTTTGTAGAGACAGTGTCTCACTATGTTACCCAGGCTGGTCTCAAACTCCTAGTCTCAAGTTATTCTCTTGCCTTGGCCTCTCAAAGTGCTGGGATCACAGGCGTGAGCCACAACACATACTGTATAACTAGTTTTTTTTAAAAGTATAAGCAGTTTCTCAAGTAAAATGTCATTTCAAAAATGACAAACATCCCTAATGCAAAACTCTAGCAAAATAATTAGAATAAAACCTACTTATGCTCACGTAATATTCATCAGTATGAAATCATTCCTCTTTGTTCCTATCTCTTCAAGGTTATATATCTTCTGGTTTGAAGAGTAGGTTTTACTTGCCCATTTAGCAAACAAAAAATAGGTGATAATGATATCAAGATACCTTATGAACACGGATGCTCATTTTTATCACATAAATTATATGCTCAGTATTCCCAGTCACAAAGGTGGCAAAAATATAAAATGTTCAATAAAATCAAGCCTCTCTAACATCTCATTAAATTCTGAAGCCAGAATATTTCATATTCCAATAATTACTAAGTCTCACAAATTAATAAGAGCCAATTAGATATCTAAAATGCATACTAGCTCCCTATCCCCTGCAATAGTACTACAACATGCTATTTTAGTCTATAAATGTGAATAACTTTTTTTTTTTTTTAAACAGAAATGAGGTCTACTCTGTTGTCCAGACTGGTCTCAAACTCCTGATCTCAAGTGATCCACCTACCTCGGCCTCCCAAAGTGCTGGGTTTACAGGTGTGAGCCACCACGCCCGGCCCAATATGAATAAATTTTAATCATAAGACTTATTCACATAAGGCCCAGGTGGTAGCTCATGCCTGTAATACCAGAACTTTGAGAGACTGAGGCAGGAGGATCACTCGAGCTCAGGAGTTCGAGACCAGCCTGGCCAACATGGTGAAACCCTGTTCTCCACTAAAAATACAAAAATTAGCCAGGCGTGGTGGCGCATGCCTGTAGTCCCAGCTACGTGGGAGGCTGAGGCAGGAGAATTACTTGAACCTGGGAGGCAGAGGTTGCAGTGAGTCGAGATTGTGCCACTGCACTCCAGCCTGAGAGACACAGCAAGACACTGTCTTAAAAAAAAAAAAATTCATCCATATCCATTCAATTCAATACACATTTATACCCAAGGCAAGATGCTAGGAATAATTAGGGCTAGAAAGAAACTGGCAGGAAAATGGGCTATCAAAGTGCACAGATAACAACAGAAAACGCATCCCATGCCACATGAGAACTATGACAACACCCTGGGAGCGCTCTGCTTCCAACCTCATGGCTGACAGGACACCCTGTATCACACTCCTGGTAACAACACCTAAAAGGCAAGATAAAACACAAAACATGTTTTTAAAAGCATCACTGAGTTGGCACAACAGTAAGGAAACTACAGGGACCAAAAATAAAGAGAAACCAGAAACCTTGGGCAATAATAAAAGAACTCCACAGCTGGCTTTTGTCCTGAAGGTTTTTGCCCACCTGCATACTTGCTCCCTGGCAGCTGGTGAAGTCTGGCATTAGGAGGTAAAGACTTAAGCTCATTCCATTGTGGAGAGTCCAAGAGGAGATGCCCACAAACGTCCAGGATGCGAAGACCTACAACCTCAATGTAAGGCTAACTATGAAATGAACCCCCCAACAGAAGGGGGCAGTAAGGAACCTACCTTTCTCTATCACTGAGTGGAAGGAGAGACGGCCCCCTAACTATCTGTAACCACTAGACAGCTCTCATGAAAGCGTCATGATCCACAAAAGGACAGTAGAAATTGAGCCTAGCTTGTGCCTAGTTACTGACAAAGGCCTTTCAGGAAAGGCCTGACTTTATCCAGGTGTCAAAAAATGCCCAGAGGTAAAGTTCCAAGGAAAACGAGCAGCTCATTGTCAAAAACCAAAACACAGAGCAATCAAGGAGCCAGGACTCAACAGTCAGCAGAAGTCACGTTCAGATTGAGAAATTATTAGTTGCTGAACATAAAATATGTTTAGTGTGTTTAAAATGTAACCAAAGAGCAACTAAGAAGATTTAAGAACTAACACTTCTTTTTTTTTTTTTTTTTTTTTTGAGATGAAGTCTCCCTCTTGTCCCCCAGGCTGGAGTGCGATGGCGTGATCTCAGCTCACTGCAACCTCCGCCCCCTGGGTTCAAGCGATTCTCCTGCCTCATCCCCCTGAGTAGTTGGGATTACAGGCGCCTGCCAGGACGCCAGGCTAATTTTTGTATTTTTAGTAGAGATGGGGTTTCACCATGTTGGCCAGGCTAGTCTAGAACTCCTGACCTCAGGTGACCCACCCACCTTGGCCTCCCAAAGTACTGGGATTACAGGTGTGAGCCACTGTGCCCGGCCTAAAACTTCTAGAAGTGAAAATTTTAATGAATTTTACAACAGCTTTACTGAGGTATAATTCACATATAATAAACTGCATATATCTAAAGTACACAATTTAATGTTTTGACAAATGTATAAACTATGAAATCAGCACAATCAAGAAAATAAATCCATCCTCTCCCCAAATTTCCTTGTGCCCTTTTGTAATCCCTTCCTCCTATCTCTTTGCCCCCCACTCCTGGTTCTCATATCCACAGGCAAACACTGACCTTCCCTGTTACTAGAGATTATGTTTTCTAGAATTGTATATGAATGAAACCATAACAGTATTCAGTATGTAATCCTTTGGCTGGCTTCTTTCAGCACAATGATTTTGAGATTCATCCATGTTGTAGCATGTATTAGTAGTTCATTTCTTCTGATTGTTCAGGAATATTCCACTGTGAGGATATACCATAGTCTATTTGTGCATTTATCTGTTAACGAACATTTGGGTTGTTGCCAGATTTTGGCTTCAAGCCAAATCAAACTGCTATGGACAGCCATGTACAAGTCTGCACAGACATTTGCTTCCATTTCTCTAAGGTAAATATTTAAGAGTAGAGTTGTTGGGTCATACAGTAGATTTATGTTTAAGTTTCAAACTACCAAATTATTTTCCAGATTATACCATTTTACATTCCCACAAGCAATACATAAGAGTTCCAATTTCTCCCTTTCCTCACCAACACTTGTTATGATCAGTCTTTTTAACATTAGACATTCTAATAGGTGTGTAATGCCACTTCATGGTGGTTTTAATTTGTATTTTCCTAAAGACTAATGATGGTGAACACCTTTCCATGTGCTTACTTGACATTCATATATTTTATTTGGGGAAGCACCTGTTCAATCTTTCACCTGTTTCTTTTTCTTTTTTTTTTTTTTTGAGACAGAGTCTTACTCTGTTGCCCAGGCTAGAGTGCAGTGGCGCGATCTCAGCTCACTGCAACCTCCACCTCCCAAGTTCAAGTGATTCTCCTGCCTCCCAAGTAGTTGGGATTACAGGCGTGCACAACCATGCTGGGCTAATTTTTGTATTTTTAGTAGAGACAGGGTTTCGCCATGTTGGCCAGGCTGGTCTCGAACTCCTGACTTCAAGTGATCCACCCGCCTCAGCCTCCCAAAGTGCTGGGATTACAGGCATGAGCCATTGAGCTCGGCCTATTTCTTTTTTGAATTGGGTTGTTTGTTTTCTTATTATTAAGCTTTGGGAGTTCTTTATATATTCTGCATCTGAATCCTTTATCAGGTACATGATTTGCTAGTATTTTTCCTAGACTATGTCATACCTTTCAAAATAATAATAATAAAAGCACCTTTTATGTATTAAATAGACAGACACAGCTGAAGACAAAATTCACTAACTGAAAGATGAATCTTAGGACAGTATCCAGAATATAGTACAAAGAGACCAAAAAAGAGAATATATAAAAAAGAAATTAAGAGACAAGGAGAATAAAATGAAAGATGAAGGTCTAATAAGAGTTCCAAAAGAAGAAAACAGAAAGAATGCAGAAGATAAAATACTTCTCGAGATAACAGAGAATGTTCCAGAGCTGTTGACAGATGCCAATCCTCAGAATCAGTAAATTCAACAAAGCCCAATAGGGAAATTAAAAGAAATTCACACCTGGCTCTGCTCACAAGGGAGGATTAATCCCAATTTCATTAAATCCCAAAACTCCACTAATTGACAGTAAAGGGATTTTTACATCAAATAATATAAAACCACAAAAGCGGGACTAACAGCAGTGCACACAACACAGATGTTTGGAAGTTGGCAAAAGAACAGACGAGAAATAACTGACCTAGTACATCTGAGACAAACCTCAAGCCAGAAGGAGTAAAACTGGATAAACACTCCAGTTACAGCACAGAATCTTCAAAGTTTCAGGAACTGACAACACCATGTACCTCTGGAAAGGGGAATAAAATGTAGGGACTGAAAATAAGGCAGACTGAGTGAACAATATTTAAGAGGCAGTTAAATCCCTATCTACTCCCCAACTCCATGCTCCTAGGTGACTGCCTCTATCCTCTCCTGGCATAAGTCTAAAAGTTTTTCTCTAGACAGTTGAAATGTTATCTGGCCTAGGAGATGATAGGCACAGTTGAGTCTTGGGCACCATATGGAAAACGGTGCCTGGGTGATTACATTAGCAATGAATGCTTCTGGAAATAAACATCACATTTATGGTCAATTGATCTGACAAAGGTGTCAGGCAATTCAGTGGGAGAGAGAATAGTCTTTTCACCAAATGGTGCTGGGATAACTGGATATTTACATGGAAAAGAATTAATTTGAATCCTTTAACTCACACTATACACAAAAATTAACTTAAAATTGATCATAGAACTACATGTAAGAGCTAAAACTATAAAGCTCTTAGAAGAAAACACAGGAGGGTAGGATCAATTGGTCTTGGCAACTTACTGGATATCCTAGAATAAAGCAAAAACTGACTCAGATTTTAAAACTGCTTGGCTGAGAAGACAGGAAAAAGTTCTTCCAGGACACCTAAGTCGAATGTGTCTTTCCTCTTTGCTGATCTGGCTCTGAATCCTTTCACTGTAGCAACTCAAGAGAACTCTATGCTTAGTCCTGAGTGGTCCTAGCAAACCACGGAACCTGGGGACATCTTGGAAGCTTCAACACAGGCATATATAATGAGAACAAATCAATTTGCCTTTATAGCATAATGACAAACCAGCACAGTAGTATTAACCTGACTTGCTGGCCTACAATTTTCAGAGAGCAGAACTTCCCCGGCTTCTTAGTTCAGCAGCTGCTGATGGACATCAATCACACCAACTCAGCATCCTGCCCTTCTCTTCCAACCCACACTCCCCCCTTTCTTCACAGCTCTCCTTAATCTATCCTTAGATGTCTCAGCCCAGAAGTTAGAAGGCTTATTAGCATGTCATTATTCTATAACCAAGGTATACACAGAAACATTTTGGGGGAAGATGTTTTTCATATCTTAAAATGCACGTAAAACCGCTCTGTAGACAATAAAGTGTTTTAGAAGGTAACGTATTATTAAGCTTAAAAGGTAGATGTGTAAGCCATAAAATACAGTAACATCTTTGATGTGATGCTTCCAATCCTAAATTATTCCTCTAGAGGAGCTCTCATACCTTCCTCTAATTACAAGCCACATAAAGGATAAAAACACATTTTTCACTTTGGTTTCAGGTTTCAATTTTGTTGATCTTGAAATATACACATTATCTCCTTATTAACAAGAAAAAACTTCATCAAGGAAAAGGTCTCATCACATCAAAACTGGTCTACCCAATTTATCATACATTTGGAATGCTTTCCTTTTGAGTCTCTTCCATATATTATATCATATACAACACACCTCACTTCTTCAACACACGGCCTACTCAATGTATCTATTTAATCTTCCCTGAAGTTCAGGTCATGGTAATTCTTTCTTCCTTTCTTTCTTTCACTTATTATTATTATTATTTTTTTTTTTTTGGAGACAGAGTCTCGCTCTGTCACCCAGGCTGGAGCGCAGTGGTGCAATCTCAGCTCACTGCAACCTCTGTCTCCTGGGTTCAGGCGATTCTCCTGCCTCAGCCTCCAGAACAGCTGGGATTACAGGCACCTGCCATCATGCCCAGCTAATTTTTGTATCTTTAGTAGAGAGAGGGTTTCACCATGTTGGCCAGATTGGTCTAGAACTCCTGACCTCAGGTGATCCGCCTACCTTGGCCTCCCAAAGTGCTGGGATTACAGGAGCTAGCCACCGCGCCCGTCCCATGGTAAATCTTAGAACTCAAAAAGATCTTCAACATTCTGTTGGACAAACAAGCTATAAATGCTTGCTAAAGTGTAACCTGGATGTTCCCAAGCTTGGCATGGCAACATAGTCACATGGGGAGTTTTCTAGGCCCCACTCCAGATTTACTGAATGAAAATTTCTACCAGTGGTGTGTGTGCGTCTATTTCTTAAGACGTCCTGAAGCAGATCCGCCTGGAAGAACTCTGTAGAGGCTCTTGATTTGCAGTGGACAAATCTCTACTCCAATGACAGAAGGCAGGAATGTGAAGAGGGAGAATCTATAATCTTAACAACAGGAATATTTCTCCCTGAGTGGCAGAAGGATTATGATATTGAAACCAAAGAGAAGAAAATATAATCTAGTATACCACATGGCTCTGCAGTGGATAATACCTGCAAAATCTAAAATAATGAAACTGCTAAATGGTTTTCAACTTTATAACCAATCTACAGACAAAGCAAAAAAGGTTTATAGTTAGATAACAATATACAAATATTGTCAACCTTTACAACATGAAAGTCTGGTACAGCTGCAAGAGCTGGAAGGAAGGAAGGAAGGGAGGAAGGGAAGGAGGGAGGGAGGGAGGGAGGAAGGAAGGAAGGAAGGAAGGAAGGAAGGAAGGAAGGAAGGAAGGAAGGAAAGATGGCAGGGGCCTAATATTATCATTTTACAAAGAGCAAGGTCCAGAGATACTGTTTAAAGTTGATAGTACAAATAAACAGAGATTTAAGTATATGAGGTAGGGTCACAAATATAGCCAATAAAAGAACTAGCAATTCAATAATAAGTTGGGAAGTAGAGAGGTGAAATAACTTGCTCAAATTCAGCTCATTAGAAAGCTCCGAGGCCAGTGGGCTAAACATGGGCCAGTCACACTCTAGATTCCATGCACTTTACCAGTATCTCACCATGCCCAGCCCTGTGTGAGGAAGGAACTTGCCTAAGCTTAGATGCCTAGTTAGTGTTACAGCCAGAAAAAGAAACTCAATCAGGCTGGGCGCGATGGCTCACGCCTGTAATCCCAGAACTTTGGGAGGCCAAGGTGGGCGGATCACAAGGTCAGGAGATTGAGACCATCTTGGCTAACACGGTGAAACCCCATCTCTATTAAAAATACAAAAAATTAGCCGGGCGTGGCGGTGTGCGCCTGTAGTCCCAGCTGCTGGGGAGGCTGAGGCAGGAGAATGGCTTGAATCCGGGAGGCGGAGCTTGCAGTGAGCCCAGATCAGGCCACTGCACTCCAGCCTGGGCGACAGAGTGAGACTCTGCCTCAAAAAAAAAAAAAAGAAACTCAATCTCTAGTCTTAAAATTACTTGTTACAGTTATCTTCAAATTTTCAGAAAAGACCACATTAAAAATGTCCCTATTTGGTTCATTCTTTCAACATACACCAACATTTCGGCTTTTTTTGAGATGGAGTCTCACTCTCTTGCCCAGGCTGGAGTGCAGTGGCACGATCTCGGCTCATTGCAACCTCTGCCTCCTGGGTTCATGTGATTCTCCTGTCTCAGCCTCCTGAGTAGCTGGGACTACAGGCGCATGCCACCACGACCAGCTAATTTTTGTATTTTTAGTAGAGATAGGGTTTCACCATATTGGTCAGACTGGTCTCGAACTCCTGACCTCAGGTGATCCACCGACCTTGGCCTCCCAAAGTGCCAGGATTACAGGTGTGAGCCACCACGCCCAGCCAACACCAACATTTCTTACAAAGAGCTCCTCCACAGCTCCCCTCACCTATGATAAGCATTCCATCTATTCTCCAAGTCTATACCACAATGATGGAGGAAGACACTGCAGCCCACCATCCATTGTGTCTGTCAAAACCTGACAGAGGATCCAGAACCAACACTGAAGATGCAAAGCAAGTCAGCCTACTCAACTCTTAGTCTACAAGCTAAGCCCATAGCCCATCTGCCGCCACAGAGATGCTGTGTTTACGTGCACAGAGGCACCCACTGCCTGCTCCAGGAGAGGACATGGCAGCAGCATGTGAAGGGCAGGTGGAGGGCTGCTCCAAAGGAGACATGATCTGATTCATGGACCATTATGTGAATAGGTAACACCACTCAGTGACTGCTGCTTTATAATTTCATATAATATTTTGAAATATTCAATAGAAATGACAATATCTACCCCCAAAATAATTATTTAAAAATAAGTTATCACCCAAACTCATTACTACCGGTAAAAAGCAATTAAAAAAAAAAAAAAAACAGGGTCTTACTCTGTTGACAAGGCTGAAGTGCAGTGGTATAATCATGACTCATGGCAGCCTCAAACTCCTGGGCTCAAGTCATCATCCCGCCTCAGCCTCCTGAGTAGCTGGGACTACAGGCAGATGCTACCACATCTGACTTTTTTTTTTTTGAGATGGAATTTCGCTCGTTGCCCAGGCTGGAGTGCAATGGTGCGATCTTGGCTCACTCCAACCTCTGCCTCCTGGGTTCAAGCGATTCTCCTGCCTCAGCCTCCTGAGTAGCTGGGATTACAGGCGCCCACCACCACGCCCAGCTAATTTTTTTGTATTTTTAGTAGAAACAGGGTTTCACCATATTGGCCAGCCTGGTCTTGAACTCCTGACCTCAGGGGATCTGCCCGCCTCGGCCTCCCAAAATGCTGGGATTTACAGGCATGAGCCACCACGCCTGGCCACATCTGACTTTTTTTTTTTTTTTTTTTTGACACGGAGTCTCTATTGCCCAAGCTGGAGTACAGTGGTGCGATCTTGGCTCACTGCAACCTCTGCCTCCCGGGTTCCAGCAATTCTCCTGCCTCAGCCTCCCGAGTAGCTGGGACTACAGGCGCATGCCACCATGCCTGGCTAATTTTTGTATTTTTTTGTAGAGACGGGGTTTCACCAGATTGGCCAAGCTGGTCTCAACTCCTGACCTCGTGATCTGTGCGCCTCAGTCTCCCAAAGTGCTAGGATTACATGTGTGAGCCACACACCTGGCCTCATCTGATTAATTTTTTAAAACCTTTTATAGACAGAGGGTCTCACCATCTTGCTCCAGCTGATCTCAAACTCCTGCCCTCATGTGATCCTCCCACCTTGGCCTCCCAAAGTGCTGAGATTACAGGTGTAACCCACTGCACCTAGCCATCAATTTTTAAAATTCAATTTAATTCACTGTCACTTACCCCATTTTCAGTACGTTTTTCTCCAGGTACATTTATTACATTTCTCTGAGTTCGTTGCTCTTGGGTCTGACGGCCACCTAAAGAAATAAAAGAACCAAACTCACCAAAAGGCGTATTAGAAAAAAGTAATATTCTCCCATTTCTTCATGTATTCAAATATTTATTGAACACAAGTGTAAAATACCAGGCTGAGAAATTCAAGACTTTAGTACAGTTGAAAAAATGGTCTTACAATTAATCTTTTATATATAAAGTTGTTCAGGCTGCGCTCAGTGGCTCACACCTATAATCCCAGCACTTTGGGAGGCCAAAGCAGGAAGATAGCTTGAGCCCATGAGTTCTAGACCAGCCTCAGCAACATGGGGAGACTTTGTTTCCACAATAAATATTTTAAAATTAGCCGGGTATGGTGGTGCACCCTGTAGTCTCAGCTACTTGGGGGGCTGAGGCGGGAGAATGACTTGAGTGAGAGGGGTCGAGGCTGCAGTAAGTCAGGATTGGGCTACTGCACAATCTTGCTCTGTTGCACTCCAGCCTGGGCAACAGAGCAAGACCCTGTTTAAAAAAAATAAATTAAAAATAAATGAAATAAAGTGTGTAAATGAAATCTTTTCTTTTTACATTCTATCTCAGAATCTTGAAATTGACTTGTTATCAAAAGGCTTTTAACACTTAAAAATGGAGAAGATGGTAAATTTTATGTGTATTTTATCTCAATTAAAAATAAAAATTTGGGGCTGGGCGAGGTGGCTCATGTCTGTATTCCCAGCACTTTGGGAGGTGCTGGGATTCTCCCAAGGTGGGAGGATCACTTGAGCTCAGGAATTCAAGACCAGCCTGGGCAACGTGGCGAAAATCTGTCTCTACAAAAAAAAAAAAATACAGAAAGTAGCGAGGCATGGTGACATGTGCCTCATGTGCCTGTAGTCCCAGCCACTCACGAGGCTGAGGAGAATAGCTTGAGCCTAGGAGGTAGAGACTGCAGTGAACCATGATCGCACCATTGCGCTCCAGCCCAGGTGACAGTGAGACCCTGTCTCAAAAATAACATAAAGATAAAAATTTGGCATTCATATTACCAAGAGAGGAAAAAAAAGAAAAAAATTTTCAAAAAGGCATTTGCGGCCAGGCATGGTGGCTCACGCCTGTAATCCCAGCACTTTGGAAGGCTGAGGCGGACAGGCTGCTTGAAGCCAGGAGTTTGAGACCAGCCTGCCCGAATGGCAAAACCCTGTCTCTAGTAAAATTACAAAAATTACCCAGGCGTGGTGGTGCACACCTGTAATCCCAGCTAACTAGGAGGCTGAGGCAGGAGAATTGCTTGAACCCGGGAGGCGGAGGTTGCAGTGAGCTGAGATAGCACCACTGCACACCAGCCTGGGCGACAGAGTGAGACTCTGTCTCAAAAAAAACCAAAACTAAAAGCAAAAAAAAAATCCAAAAGGCATTTGCATTTTAGGGCCAGGCATGGTGGCTCATGCCTGCAATCCCTGCAGTTTCAGAGGCCAAGGCAGGAGGATCACTTGAGACCAGGAGTTCACGACCAGCCTGGGCAACAGCGTGAAACCCTATCTTTACCAAAAATACAAAAAATTAGCTGGGCGTGGTGGCACACGCCTGCGGTCCCAGCTACTTGGAAGGCTGAAGTGGGAGGATCACTTGAGCCCAGGAGGCAGAGGTTGCAGTGAGCCAAGATCATGCCACTGCACTCCAGCCTGGGTAACAAGTGAAACCCTGTCTCAAAAAAAAAAAAAAAAAAAAAAAAAAAAAGACATTCACTGAGATGGGGGCTGGACGTGGTGGCTCATGCCTGTAATCCCAGCACTTTGGGAGGCCAAGGCGGGCAGATCATGAGGTCAGGAGATTGAGACCATCCTGGCCAACATGGTGAAACCCCATCTCTACTAAAAATACAAAAAATTAGCCCGGCATGGTGGTGCACACCTGTAGTCCCAGCTACTTGGGAGGCTGAGACAGGGGAATTGCTTGAACCCGGGAGGCGAAGGTTGCAGCCAAGATTGCGCCACTGCACTACAGCCTGGCAACAGAGTGAGACTCTGTCTCTAAAAAAAAAAAAAAGAAAGGAAAAGAAAAAAAGAATATTAGTAAGTTGAAGGGAGAAGTTTAGTGAGCAAAAGCAAAACAAAACATGAGACAGCACCCAATAAGCTACTCTCTATGCCACCCTTTTAGGCAAAGGTAAAGGGGCAGAGGGTAGAGTGTTACAGGTGGGGAAGATGGAATTCTGAGTCGGGGCATGAAAGAGAGAGTGAATGTACAGCTCCTGGGCTCATGCAATCCTCTCACCTCAGCCTCCCAAAGTGCTGGGATTACAGGCATGAGCCACCATACTCAGCCCGTTTCCAAACTTTATAAAGTGAGAAAAAAATAACCACTCTCCTCAGGACATTAAGGATTATGTACATATTAATAAGTAAAAGGCAAGACTTTTTATTTAAGTATAGATAAGTGAGGGAGGGTATAGGTGTCTGAAGAACTCAGGTAGAGAGTTAAAATAAATCCTTAGCACTAAAGCAGCACTTCAACTGTCAGCCAGTCTAATCCTCCTCTTCAGGTGGATGTTCCCAGAGAGGACGGACCCTGGTCTAAGGTAAAAGTAGATGAAGAGTTGAGCCCGGAGCCTTGGTGTCCTGGCTCCAGATGTAATGGTGTATTCTAAAAGACAGCCTTATGCTACGGAAAGATGATTTTAAAGTAGATAGTAGCTCATTCAAGGGCAAATTTTCCTTTACTATAAAATACAGATAAAGGGGATAACTTGCAATAAAGAAGTATTATTTTTACAAAGGATTGTCCTTTTATTTGCTTGAGTTCATTTTTTTAAATATTAGAAGTAATCCATAATCACTGTTAATTAACAAGTTAAAGGTTTTTTTGTTTTGTTTTGTTTTTGTTGTTGTTTTTGAAACACAGTCTCGCTCTGTCGCCCAGGCTGGAGTGTAGTGGCGCGATCTCAGCTCGCTGCAAGCTCTGCCTCCCGGGTTCACACCATTCTCCTGCCTCAGCCTCCTGAGTAGCTGGGACTACAGGCGCCTGCCACCACACTCGGCTAATTTTTTGGTATTTTTAGTAGAGACGGGATTTCATCATGTTAGCCAGGATGGTCTCGATCTCCTGACCTCGTGATCCAACCTCCTTGGCCTCCCACAGTGCTGGGATTACAGGCATGAGCCACCGCGCCCGGCCAAAGGTCTTTTAACTGTACAGTGTATACGTGTTCAAAAAAATTTCCTTATTTTCTTTAAATTTTAATTCAAAAATATATAGTATATTCCCATGGTTCAAAAATCAAAAAGAACAAAGAGGTATACAATCAACAACCCTCCCTCCTCTGTTCTACAGCCACTTTTCCCTTTCCCCCCAGGCCAACAACATCCCCAGTTGCGTAGATATCTTTCCAAAACTGCTTTATACATATACACATACAAACAGATAGATATGCACATTACTCTTTGCTCATCTTTCCACAAAAAAAGACTAAGTGTGCACATTCTTTTGCACCATGCTTAATTCATGTAACATGTTTAGGAGATGGTCTGGGTCAGGGCACAGAGGTTCTTCATTATTTACGGCTGCAGAGCATTCTGCTGTGTAGATGGACCCTAATTTATTTAGCTCAGCTCTCCTGGTGGGCATTTAGGTTGTTCCTACCAGCAATGCTCAGTGAATAACCCTGTTTATATATCATTTTGTATGTGCCAGGGCACAGCTTTAGGATAAATTCTCAGAAATGAAACTGCTGGGTAAAAGGTTTTATGTTTTGTAAGTTTAACAGCCATTGCCAAATTTCCTTCTATAGAAGGTGCCAACCGCCTCCCACAGCAATGCAGAAGACGGCCTGTTTCTCAGAGTCCTTGTCAACACTGTGCTATTAACTGTTTTAATCTTTGCCAATGTGACAGTTAAAATATAGTATTTCAAGATAGTTTTCTCTGCATGTCTTTTATTAGGAATAAGGTGAATATCTTCATATATCCTAGGGCCATGTATATTCCTTTTCTGTGAACTGTGTGTGTATATATTTTTTCTATTATTCTACTAAGCTTTTTTTTTTTGAGATGGAGTTTCACTCTTGTTGCCCAGGCTAGAGTGCAATGGCGCGATCTCGGGCTCACTGTAACCTCTGCCTCCCAGGTTCAAGCGATTCTCCTGTCTCGGCCCCCCGAGTAGCTGGGATTACAGATGCATGCCACCAAGCCTGGCTAATTTTTGTATTTTTAGTAGAGACGGGGGTTTCACCATGTTGGCCAGGCTGGTCTCGAACTCTTGACATCAGGTAATCCACCCCACTCGGCCTCCCAAAGTGCTGGGATTATAGGTGGGAACCAGCACGCCTAGCCAAGTTTTTTTCCTATCAAATTTTAGGAATTCTTTACATGTAAAGAGAATTAGCCCTTTGCAATATGAGCTACAAATGCTACTTCCCAGTTTATAATTTATCTTTTGACTTTTTTTTTAGATATTATTGCCATGCAGTTATTTTTGGTTTTGTTTTATTTATATGTATTTCCTGAGACAGAGTCTCGCTCTGTCGCCCAGGCTGGAGTGCAGTGGCCTGATCTTGGCTCACTACAACCTCTGCCTCCCAGGTTCAAGCAATTTTTCTGCCTCAGCCTCCTGAGTAGCTGGGATTATAGGCGCACACCACCACATCGGGCTAATTTTTAGCAGAGATGGGGTTTTACCACGTTGGCCAGGCTGGTCACAAACTCCTGACCTCAAGTGATCTGCCTGCCTTGGCCTCCCAAAGTGCTGGGATTATAGGCGTGAGCCACCACACCCAGCCTATTTTTATTTTTTGAGACAGGGTCTCTCTCTGTTGCCCTGGCTGGCTGGAGTGCAGTGGCACAATCATGGCTCACTGCAGCCTTCACCTCCTGGGCTCAATCGATCCTCCCACCTCAGCCTCCCAAGTAGCTGAGACTACAGGGCATCCACCAACACAACCAGCTATTTAGTATTTTCTGTAGAGATGGGGTTTTGCCATGCTTCCCAGGATGGTCTCGAACTACTTGGCTCAAGTGATCTGCCTGCCTCAGCCTTTCAAAGTGCTGAAATTACTAGCCTGAGCCACTGCACCCAGGCTTTGTTTTAAATAATTCATTTATCAGTCTTGTCTTTTATGTTTTAGTGTTACACTTACAAAGGCCTTGTTCACTTCAAAAATAAAAGATCTTCCAGAACTTTCTTCTAGTATTTTCATGGTTTTATATATTTTTAAAATCTAGATGTTTGACCAATCTGATATTTACCAAAAACAATCCCTTTAGTGTGGCGGTGGGTGCCTGTAATCCCAACTACTCGGGAGGCTGAAACAGGAGAATCGCTTGCACCCAGGAGGCAGAGGTTGCAGTGAGCTGAGATTGTGCCACTGTACTCCAGCCTGGGTGACAGAGTGAGACTCCATCTCAAAACAAAACAAAACAAAAATCCCTTTAAACACCAAGTCCCTTTATATGTCTGAGTACGTTGTTTAATTAACTTAGAGTCCTGAGAAGGAAAGAAGCGTTGGTGCCTAAAAAGTGTGATGTAATTGGCTGGGTACAGTGGCTGACACCTATAATCCCAGAACTCTGGGAGGCTGAGGTGGGCAAATCACTTGAGGTCAAGAGTTCGAGACCAGCCTGGCCAACATGGTGAAACCCCATCTCTATTAAAAATACAAAAATTAGCCAGGTGTGGTGGTGCACACCTGTAGTCCCAGCTACTTGGGAGGCTAAGGCAGGAGAATCCCTTGAACTCCGGAGGTGGAGGTTGCAGTGAGCCAAGATTGCACCACTGTACTCCAGCCTGGGCGACAGAGTGAGACTCTGTCTCCAAAAAAAAAAAAAAAAAAAAAAAAAAAAAAAAGTGCCGTAATGGTAAACAACACTAACAGAAGCCAAAGTAACATGGGATACCAACTTTCCCTCTAGCCACTTGTAAGTGCAGGGCCGGGTGTGTGTGAATAATTTAATATTTATTCCTATTTTTCTTAAATTAACTTTCCTAGCAAAAATTAACAAATGAGGAAGAAAGCAGTTATCTACCTTGTTCACTGTTCTCAGTTGGGGAGTCCTCGTGTCGAAGGAAAAATTTCACTTCTTCCCTCCGTGGACCCCATTTCTGAAGATGTTCGTACATCATATGATCAAAGGGTATGGGACGTTCTAGGAAAAAGACCACATCTTTTTTACTCCAGAATTAAAATGACTCCAACCAAAAGTAAATTTTGTAAAAAACTTAAATGAATGTATATATGCACACATGTATGTCTACATGTTACAATTCAAAGATATTACAAGCACTGAATTTCAACATTACTGAGTAAAAGCAAGAATATGAATGGGAAATAATTTAGGCAACAGATAAACACAAAAAGTATCCACGAAAGCAATTTTGCAACATTAAATAGGGAACACTGAAACATGCCTTTTACAAAACTTATTTATCACAAAGCACTGTGTCTCCCATTCATTTGTTTGTTTGGTTGAGATGGGGTTTTGCTCTTGTTGCCAAGGCTGGAGTGCAGTGGCACCATCTTGGCTCACCGCAACCTCCGCTTCTGGGTTCAAGAGATGCTCCTGCCTCAGCCTCCCAAGTAGCTGAAATCACAGGCATCCACCACCGTGCCCAGCTAATTTTTTGTATTTAGTAGAGAGAGGGTTTCACCATGTTAGCCAGGCTGGTCTCAAACTCCTGACCCCAGGTGATCCACCCGCCTTGGCCTCCTAAAGTGCTGGGATTATAGGCGTGAGCCATCACACTCAGCCTTTTTTTTTTTTTTTTTTTGAGACAGAGTTTTGCTCTTATCACTTAGGCTGGAGTGCCATCTCGGCTCACTACAACCTCTGCCTCCAGGGTTCGAGAGATTCTCCTGCCTCGGCCTCCTGAGTAGCTGGGATTACAGGTGCCCACCACCATGACCAGCTAATTTTTGTGTTTTTAGGAGAGACGGGGTTTTACCATGTTGGCTAGGCTGGTCTTGGCCTCTTGGCCTCCTGGCCTCAGGTGATCCACCCGCCTTGGCCTCCCAAAGTGCTGGGATTACAGGTGTGAGCCACTATGCTCAGCCTCCCATTCTTGAAAGAAACATAAATTGACCAGGCCATGTTATTTCTTAAAATGTCAGGCGTGGCAATCAGAGGTACGAAGGCTGGACAGGGCACTTCCTGGCAACTCAGGCAACATTATTGTGAATGTTTGTCAGTACCAAGTTAATAAAAATTAAATCCTATATAACTAAATGTATTTCAAATATTTTTTTAAAAATCAAAGCTTACTCACAATCTCTCACTCCTTTACTTTTTTTGAGACAAGGTCTTTGCTCTGCCACCCAGGCTGGAGTGCAGTGGTATGATCTCAGTTCACTGCAACCTCCACCTCCCGGGCTCAAGCGATCCTCCCACCTCAGCCTCCCAAGTTAGCTGAAACTATAGGCATATGCCACCATGCCTGGATAATTTTTGTAATTTTTGTAGAGATGGGGTTTTTGCCATGTTGCCTGGGCTAGTACTGAACTGCTGGGCTCAAGCAATCTGCCTGCCTCAGCCTCCCAAAGTGCTGGGATTACAGGTGTAAGCCACTGTACCTGGCCAGTATCTAACCAATTACTTGAGAAGAGCACTAACTCAGTTGTTGAATTTAAAGGAACACTTTTATATGTATAATGCATTCCATTTTCCTTCTCTGTGAACTGTCTCAGGTATTATGCCTATTTTTCAAAAATCTGGGTTGTGGCTGAGTGGGGTGACTCACGCCTGTAATTCTAGCACTTTGGGAGGCCAAGGTGGGCAGATCACCCGAGGTCAGGAGTTCCAGACCAGCCTGGCCAACTTGGTGAAACCCTGTCTCTACTAAAAATACAAAAATTAGCCGGGCATGGTGGCAGGCACCTGTAGTCCCAGCTACTCAGGAGGCTGAGGCAGAAGAATCACTTGAACCTAGGAGGCGGAGGTTGCAGTGAGCCAAGATCGCACCATTACACTGCAGCCTGAGCAATAAGAGAGAAAACTCTGTCTCAAAAAAAAAAAAAAAAAAAAAAGGCTGGTCATGGTGGTGCACGCCTGTGGTCCCAGCTACTCAGGAGGCTGAGGTGGGAGGATCGCTTGAGCCAACACACCTGGCTAATTTTTGTATTTTTAGTAGAGATGGGGTTTCACCATGTTGGTCAGGTTGGTCTCGAACTCCCGACCTCAGGTGATCCACCCACCTCGACCTCCCAAAGTGCTGGGATTACGGGCGTGAGCCACCATGCCTGGCCTACACCCAGCTAATTTTTTGAATTTTTTGTAGAGACAGGGTTCACCATGTTGGCCAGGCTGGTCTTGAATTCCTGAACTCAAGTGATCCACCTGCCTCGGCTGCCCAAAGTGCTGGGATTGCAAAACTAATCTTTTACATAATCAAGATGTTTATATCAGGTTGGGCGTGGTAGTTCACGCCTGTAATCCCAACACTTTGGGAGGCTAAGGCAGGTGGACCACCTGAGGTTAGGAGTTCAAGACCAGCCTGGACAACATGGTGAAACCCCATCTCTACTAAAAATACAAAAATTAGCCGGGCATGGTGGCGCATGCCTGTGGTTCCAGCTACTCAGGAAGCTGAGGCAGAGAACTGCTTGAACCTGGGAGGTGGAGGTTGTGGACAGCTGAGATCGTGCTACTTCACTCCATGCACTCCAGCCTGGGTGACAGAGTGAGACTCTGTCTCAAAAAAGAAAGTTCATATCAGCTCACGTGCTCTATCAAGAAGCACTGAAAAGCTGGCATATAAAAAAAAAAAACCCTAGGGACTGGGCGTGGTGGCTTACACCTGAATCCCAGCACTTTGGGAGGCAAGAGTATCATTTGAGCCTAAGAGTTCAAGACCAGTCTGGGGAAACACAGTGAGACTTAATTGCTACATTTTTTTTTTTTTTTTTTTTGAGACAGAGTCTCACTGTGTCGCCCAGGCTGGAGTGCAGTGGCGCAATCTCGGCTCACTGCAAGCTCCACCTCCCGGGTTTTACGCCATTCTCCTGCCTCAGCCTCCCGAATAGCTGGGACTACAGGTGTGCACCACCTACGCCCGGCTAATTTTATTTTTAGTAGAGATGGGATTTCACTGTGTTAGCCAGGATGGTCTCGATTTCCTGACCTTGTGGTCCGCCCACCATGGCCTCCCAAAGTGCTGGGATTACAGGCGTGAGCCGCCGCGCCCAGCCTCCTTTTTTTTTAATTAGCCGGGTGTGGTGGCACACATCCATAGTCCCAGCGACTAGAGAGGCTGAGGCAGGAGGATTGCTTGAGCCCAGGAGGTTGAAGCTGCAGTAAGCCATGACTGCACAATGCACTCCAGCCTGGGTGACAGAGCAAGACCCTGTCTCAAAAAGAGAAAAATGAAAAAAAAAAAGATTAAAAATGCTAGAATGATCTGGGGGATAGATTGGTTAACAGATTTCAGCCAATTCTGTTTTTAGTCTCACCATTTTCAAAAGTATTAACACCTGCAATTTCTTAAACTTCCCTAGCTTCTTTGGCATGAGTCAGACTTACTGTTACCTTAGATTTTAGCTTTTTGAGGTCTGCTAAGTCATTAACCACCCATCCATCTGTGTTGAACATTCCAAAATATTACAATGCTATCACATCCTGTTCTTCAACCTTGTAGCTTTAAGCTATTTTATCCCTTTTCATTGTAATTTTAGTGTAATTTCAGGAAAGAACAAAGATTGATACGGATGCATGTATGGTTTATTCATACTACTTAAGCAGAAGTCCATGATACTTTTAGACTATAAAATAGCATTTCTCATTAGCCAGGCATGACAGTGCACATCTGTAATTGCAGCTACTCAGGAAGCTGAGATGGAAGGATCCCTTTAGCCCAGGAGTTTGAGGCTACGACTGCCATTGCGCTCAAGCCTGGATGACAGAGCGAGACCCTGTCTCAAAACAATCAAAGCAAAAAAAAAAAAAAGTTTCTCCTCTGTGAGTCTACAGAAACCTAGAGTTCCGTAAGATGTCACTAAGGGCTTCATGAGATATTGTAACTGAAAAAAATTAGCATTTTTGAACTTCATACAGAACATGATATTAGCATTTAGAGTGACAGACAATGGCCAAGCAGCCCTGTTAGCAATGTCAACAGTGGTCTCTCAGCCCTGAATGGCTGTGTGCAGGACCACGTTCCTTTGATAAAGTTCATTCTCAATCAGGAGTTGGTAGATGGTGAGAGTATTGCAGGGAGGAGAGGATGGTGGGCTGATGGCATTAGCTTCTCCCTCCAGAAACATCTTCCCCAACACCTCTTTATATGCTAATGACTGATTTATAGCAACAAACAAGCTCTAGCTCTGAAATAGGAATCTTGGAATTTTTCATTCTACTGAGAGAATATTTATACCTCATGAGCTGACTCCCTGGCTCTGCTATTGTTAACACTTAAAAATACACATTGGGTAGGTTAAAAGTGAACTGTACTGTGTATTTTTGCAATTTTTTTTTTGGGGGGGATGGAGTCTCACTCTGTCGCCCAGGCTGGAGTGCACTGGCATGATCTCGGCTCACTGCAACCTCCGCCTCCCGGGTTCAAGCGATTCTCCTGCCTCAGCCTCCCGAGTAGCTGGGATTACAGGCATGCGCCACCACACCCAGCTATTTTTGTATTTAGTAGAGATGGGGTTTCACCACGTTGACCAGGCTGGTCTCAAACTCCTGACCTCAAGTGATCTCCCCACCTCAGCCTCCCAAAGTGCTGAAATTATAGGTGTGAACCACCGTGTCCGGCCAATTTTTTATTTTTTGAGATGGAGTCTTACTGTGTCGTGCCCAGGCTAGAGTACAGTGGCGCCATCTTGGCTTATACAACCTCTGTCTCCCGGGTTCAAGCGATTCTCCTGCCTCAGCCTCTTGAGTAGCTGGGATTACAGGTGTGCACTACCACGCCCAGCTAACTTTTGTGTTTTTAGTAGAGACAGAGTTTCACCATGTCGGCCAGGCTGGTCTCAAACCACTGACCTCAAATAATCCACCCACCTCGGCCTCCCAAAGTGCTGAGATTACAGGTGTGGGCCACTGTGCCCAGCCTGCAATTCTTGCTTAGTTATTAATTATGTCTTCCTGCTTTATATTGTATTAGTGTTTATGTCTTAACAAACATGTCTGACAGTTTTTGAAGATGAGGTGTAAGATAAAGAGGAGAACTCTAGACTTATACCCACATTCAAAAGAAATGAAGGCCGGGCCCGGTGGCTCACGTCCATAATCCCAGCACTTTGGGAGGCCGAGGCAGGCATATCACTTGAGGTCAAGAGTTCCAGACCAGCCTGGCCAACATGGTAAAACCCTGTCTCTACTAAAAATAAAAAAATTAGCTGGGCATGGTGGCGGGCGCCTATAATCCCAGCTACTTGGGAGGCTGAGGCAGGAGAATTGCTTGAATCAGGAAGGCAGAGGTTGCAGTGAGCCAAGATGGCACCACTACACTCCAGCCTGGGATACAGAGTGAGACCCTGTCTCAAAAAAAAAAAAAAAGAAATGAAAACATGTCCACACAAACTTTTGTCCATGAATGTTCACAGGAGATTTATTCATAAGAACCAAAAACGTAAACAATCTGCTATGGTCTGAATGTTTGTGTTCCCCTAAAATTCATATGTTGAAACTGAATCCCCAATGTGGTAATATTAGGAGGTGGGGTCTTTGAGAAGCGATTAGGTCATGAGAGCTCTATCTTCATAAATGGGTTTAGTGCCCCTACAAAAGAGGCCCAAGACATGGTGGCCCACGGCTGTAATCCCAGCACTTTGGGAGGCCAAGGCAGGTGGATCGCTTGAGCTCAGGAGTTTGAGGTCAGCCTGGGCAACATGGCAAAACCCCATCTTTACTAAAAGTGCAGAAAACTAGCCTGGGAGGTGGAGGTTGCAGTGAGCCAAGATGGTACCACTGCACTCCAGCCTGCGTGACAGAATGAGACCTTGTCTCAAAAGTAAACAGGCTGAGCGTGGGTGGCTCACGCCTGTGATCCCAGCACTTTGGGAAGCCAAGGCAAGCGGATCACTTGAGGTCAGGAGTTGGAGACCAGCCTGGTAAACATGGCGAAACCTCATCTCTACAAGAAATACACAAAAATTAGCCGGGTGTGATGGCGTGCCTGTAATACAGCTATAAACTTGTGTTTATACTTAAGATTTATAACTCTAAATCTTCAGTGCAACCAAAGAATTTGATGTCAAGACAAGAGATAAAACTTTGTGAGCTACACAATCTAAGCACAGATTCAAGGTATAAGTGATTGTAATTTACTGTTCCATTCCTAGGTAAGTTCTAGATTTGCATAAAGAAAATCCTGCCATTCATAGAAATATAATGCACATTATGCTGCTGACTTTTTTCTTCTTTTTTTTTTTTTAAGAGATGGGGTCTCACTCTGCCACCCAGGCTAAAGTGCAGTGATATGATCATAGCTCACTGTAGCCTTGAACTTCCGGGCTCAAGGGATCCTCCTGCCTCAGCCTACTGTAGCTGGGACTACAGGCGCAAACAATCACGCCTGGCTCTAGCTTTGTCTTATTTAACAAACATCAAAGGCAAAAACAGAAACGGTCTCATCTTAGTTGAAAATGAAATCTGTCTGTGCTTAGCTCAAGTTCATATCAGAACTAAGTATCTGTAGAGCAAAAAACAATGACAAGTTAAACATTAAAGAAGTAAATTTCAGCCGGGAGCAGTGGCTCACGCCTATAATCCCAGCACTTTGGGAGGCCAAGGCGGGCAGATCATGGGGTCAGGAATTCGAGACCAGCCTGGCCAACATGGTGAAATCCCGTCTCTACTAAAAATACAAAACTTAGCCAGGCGTGGTGGCACACGCCTATAATCCCAGCTACTCGGGAGGCTGAGGTGGAGAATAGCTTGAACCCACGAGGTGGAGGTTGTAGTGAGCCGAGATCCTGCCAGGGCACTCCAGCCTGGGACAGAGCAAGACTCCATCTCAAAACAAACAAACAAACAAAATATATATATAGAAGTAAATTTCATTCCATATTTTTAGTTTTGAAAGTAGCATTTTTTTATATACACATATGCCTATAAAAAGATTTTTAAAAGCAAGTGTATTGGCCTTTTCTAACTGCAAGGCCTATATTTAGCTAAATCATGTTTCTCAGTTTTGCATAAAATTGTGTCTTAGGCCACATTTTTATTCACATTGCTTAGGCTTATCATTTAGTAGCTTTATTTTTAGTTGTTTTACTAATCAACATTGTCAGTAAATTTTCATTTTTTTACATTAAAATCAACTTTTAAACTTTTACATTTATTAAAATCAATTTACAACCTATATTTAAATATACCAAGTCTGAACATAACCTAATAAAAATTAAAACCCATTTTGTCTTAAGCCAGTTATTTAACAGAAATTTATTGTTTCCCTCTATTCATCGTGTGTGTGTGTGTGTGTGTGTGTGTGTGTGTATATTTTTTTAAAGACAGGGTCGCACTCTGTCCTCTGTCACCCAGGCTGGAGCACTGAAGTGCAGTGGTGTGATCAAGCGATCGTCCCACCTCAACCTCTCTAGTAGCTGGGACTACAGGCATGTGCCACCACGCCCAGCTAATTTTTGTATTTTTTGTAGAGATGGGGTTTGGCCACATTGCCAAGGTTGGTCTCGAAGTTCTGGGCTCAAGCAATCTGCCAGCCTTGGCCTCAAGTGCTGGGATTACAGGTGTGAGCTACTGCACCTGGCAAAATTTTGAGAAGATTAATTTCAAGAAAGCTTCGCTATATTTTTTTAAGGAAGTTTAACTGAACATAATTTTCGTTTTAAAGTAGAAAAAACACAACCCGATCAACATGACAAGACCCTGTCTCTACAAAAAATAAATAAATAAAAGGATTGTCTGGGCACTGTGCAGTTTGCCTGTGCTCCCAGCTACTTGTGAGGCTGAGATGGAAGGATCCCTTGAGCCCAGGAGTTTAAGGCTGCAGTGAGCTATGATCATACCACTTCACTCCAACCTGGGCAACTGAGCAAGACTCTGTCTCAAAAAAAAGAAAAAGAGGCTGGGTGCAGTGGCTCATGCCTGTAATCCCAGCACTTTGGGAGGCCGAGGCAGGTGGATCACGAGGTCAGGAGTTCGAGACCAGCCTGGCCAATATGGTGAAACCTCGTCTCTACTAAAAAATGCAAAAAATTAGCCGGGCATGGTGGCGCATGCCTGTAGTCCCAGCTACTCAGGGAGGCTGAGGCAGGAGAATCACTGGAACCTGGGAGGCAGAGGTTGCAGTCAACTGAGAATGCGCCACTGCACTCCAGCTTGGGCGACAGGGCGAGACTCTGTCATAGAAAAGGGGAAGGGAAGGAAGGGGAGGGGAGGGAAGGGGAGGGAAGGCAATGGGAGGGGAGGGGAGGGGAGGGAAAGGAGGGGAAGGGAAGAGAAGGGAGAGAAGGGAAGAAAAGGGAAGAGAAGTGAGGAAAGGAAAGAAAAGGAAAGAAAAGGAAAAAACACTACTGATCTGGTTAGGTTTTATGTCCCCACCCAAATCTCATCTTGAATTGTAATCCCCATAATCCCCACATGTCAAGGGAGAGACCAGATGGAGGTCACTGAATCATGGAGGTGGTTTCTCATGATAGTGAGTGAGTTCTCATGAAAACTGATGGTTTTAGAAGGGGCTCTTCCCCCTTCACTTGACATTTCTCCTTCCTGCCACCTTGTGGAGGAGCTGCCTTGCTTTCCCTTCACCTTCTGTCATGATTGTAAGTTTCCTGAGGCCTCCCCAGCCTTGCAGAACTGTGAGTAAATTAAACCTTTTTCCTTTATAAATCATTCCATCTCTGGCAGTTCTTTATAGCAGTATGAAAATGGACTAACTACCCTATACATATCATGTAATATAAAATATACCTAATTAGCATCTTGTATAATGGAAATCTATTATAAGACTTTTAGGAACTTTAAATAAGGTTAAAAAACCTCAAGTAGGAAACTTAACAAAAGATAAAAATGGAAGGTTTTATCTACCTTACTGACTGCCATTAGAACTGACACCTGTGTGGGGAAGGGAACCACACAGAGTAGCTAATGACCTGGCCAAATTAACAGACTGTTACAGGCTGAACTGTGTCCCCGCTAAATTCATCTGTTGTAGTCCTGACCTCAAGTACCTCGAAATTTAACTGTATTTGGAGACAGGACTTTTAAAGAGGCAAGAAGATAAAATGAAGAGATCAAAGTGGCCCCTAATCCAATATGACTAGTGTCCTTACAAGAGGGGGAGGTTTGTCCACAGACAGGCATGGAGGGAAGAAAAGAAAACCATCTACAAGTCAAAGAGAGAGAGAGTCTTCAGAATAAACCAAGCCTGCTGACACCTTCATCTCAGACTTCTGGCCTCCATCACTGTGAGAAAATAAATTACTGTTGTTTAAGCCACCCAGTCTGTGGCACTTTGTTACGGCAGCCTCAGCAAAATAATGCACAGATCCACAGTGAAACGGCTCTACTGGAAAGCACTGATAATTACTATTGAAGGATTCTATCTACGACATACTGATCATACTAATGTCAGCAGTTATGGGGGCAGTAATTTGTTTTTTGTTTTTTTTTTTTTTTGAGATGAAGTTTCACTCTTGTTGCCCAGGCTGGAGTGCAGTGGCACAATCTCGGCTCACTGCAACCTCCGCCTCCCAGGTTCAAGCGATTCTCCTGCCTCAGCCTCCCGAGTAGCAGGGATTACAGGTGCCCACCACCATGCCCAGCTAATTTTTTGTTTTTTTAGTAGAGACAGGGTTTCACCATGTTGGCCAGGCTGGTCTCAAACTCCTGACCTCAGGTGATCCACCCACCTCGGCCTCCCAAAGTGTTGAGATTACAAGAGTGAGCCACAGTGCCCGGCCAGGTGCAGTAAGTTTTATGTGAGGGTTCTCTGAAACCTAAAAAAAAAAAAATCTCTGTAAGGGTTCCTCTAGGTAAAAGGACTGAGAAAGGCTGTTACAGTGCTTGCCCTCTCCCTTTGATGGCATCCACTGGAAGTTACCTTCTCTTCTTCCTAGATCCAGCTTCGTTGGCCATTTTACTTACTAATCTGTGTTTACTAAGTGCCTTCTATGAACACTAGGCTGGACACTGGGGATATAATGGTGAACAACAGACAAGTTCCCGCCTTCAGGAATTTTAGTCCAACAAGATAGAGATAAAAACTACTACTACATTATGTTTGTTTGTTTTTTTTTGAGACAGTCTCGCTCTGTCGCCCAGGCTGGAGTGCAGTGGCACACTCTTGGCTCACTGCAACCTCCGCCTCCGGGTTTCAAGGGATTCTCCTGCCTCCCAAGAAGCTGGGACTATAGGCGTGTGCCACCATGCCTGGCTAATTTTTGTATTTTTAGTAGAGATGGGGTTTTGACGTGCTGGCCAGGCTGGTCTCCAACTCCTGGCTTCAAGTGATCCACCCGCCTTGGCCTCCTAAAGGGCTGGGATTAGAGGCAAGAGCCACCGTGCCCGACCTGTATCATGTTTTGATAAATACAACGACAGTATTAGAGCACAGGGACACTAACACCCTTTGAGATTCACGGAAGGGATGAGAGGCAAAGAATAAATAGATGTTAGCCAAGCTCCTAGGGATTGTTCTAGACAACGAAGGAGCATGTACAAAAGCCACGGTAAATGTACTGTGCTGTGACTCTGTGCTCCAGGGTGGTAGTCCTCATCCTTGAGGAGGTAAAACTAAGTTATGATTTGAGATGGGCTGGGAGACAAGGATGGCACCAACCGAGTGACTCGTATGAGAGAGACAAGCATTCTCAAGAGGCCATAGACCATTTAGGGCTATAATACTCGTGTAAAAATTTTATTCCCTTACAATGGGAAGGCAGATGAGGAATTAGAATTGATAACAAGTAACAGAGAACAAAAGTGCTAAGAGGCTAGAGAAGAAAAAAAACAAGGGAATGAATGATCAGGCTCTAACACTGCTCCCCTTAAAAACGTTAATTACAATTACTTAACTGCCTGCTTCCTGTAGCTGTCATTAGGCTAACAATTGAGGGCCTGTCCTTTTACTTCTAATTTAGTAATAGTCCAATGTTTATCAAAGTCAAGTTTCTCTCCATGTATCCTTAAAATTCTTTACTCTGAATTCTAAGTAAAAAGCACAAGACCTTGCAAAAAAATTGTAATTTATATACCCACAAGGGACTTGTATCTAGAATACATAAAGAACTTTTACAATTCAGTAACAAAAAGACAAATAACCCATTTTTAAAATGGGCAATGGGGTGGGGTGCAGTGGTTCACACCTGTAATCCCAGCACTTTGGGAGGCCCAGGCAGGTGGATCACTTGAGCCCAGGAGTTTGAGACCACCCTGGGCAACATGGCAAAACCCTGTTTCTACAAAAATTAGCCGGGCATGGTGGTGCATGCCTGTAGTCCCAGCTACACGAGAGGCTGAGGTGGGAGCACTGCTTGAGCCCAGAAGATAGAGGTTGCAGTGAGCCAGGATTGTGCCACTGTTCTCCAGCCTGGGCAACAGAGAAAGACACTGTCTCAAAAATAAATAAATAAATAAATAGGCAAAGGAACTGAATAGACATTTCTCCAGAGAAGATATAAAAATGGCCAATATACACATGAAAAGATTTTCACCATCATTAGTCATTAGGGAAATGCAAATCACAATCACAATAAGACATATCTTCACAACTACTAGGATGGCTAAACTCAAGCAGACAGTATCAAGTGTTGATGAGAATGTGCAGAAATTCTCCACATCGTATACTTCGTATACTGCTGCAGGGAATGTAAAATGAAGCAATTGCATTAGAAAACAGTCTGGTGGTTCTTGAAAAGGTTAAACACGAATTACCATATGACCCAGAGATTCCTAGGTTTATACTACTAAGAGATATGAAAATATATGTCCACACAAAAACTTGTACATTGTCAGGTGCGGTGGCTCATGCCTGTAATCCAAGCACTTTGGGAGGCCATGGTGGGTGGATTGCCTGAGCTCAGGAGTTCAAGACCAGCCTGGGCAACATGGTGAAACCCCGATTCTACTAAAAATACAAAAAATTAGCCAGGCGTGGTGGTGCGCGCCTATAGCCCCAGCTACTGGGAGGCGGAGGCACAAGAATCGTTTGAACCCAGGAGGCGGAGGTTGCAGTGAACCAAGAGCATGCCACTGCACTCCAGCCTGTGGGAGAGACCAAGACTCCATGTCAGAAAACAAAAAACAAAAACAAAAACAGTTTGTACATGAAAGTTCATAGGAGCATTATTCATAATAGCCAAAAAAAAAAAAAAGAGAGACAGCCCAAACATCTATCACTCTGGCCTGGGAGACAGAGTGAGATACTGTCTCAAAAAAAAAAAAAAAAGTATACAAAAAAGCATTTTGTAAAACTCAGTCCTGTGCAATATAATTACATTTATTTTAATTACTCAGTTCTTTATTACCACAGATAACTAAGAACTACAAGCAATATTTTCCATTTGATAAATACTAAATTATATGTACTTAGTTACTTTTTTTCCCCATCTTTATCAGAAAAAAAGCAAATCCAGCACAAGCTTAGCTAAAAGATGGTGATTTGATTTTATCAATGTAACAATCTTTACAGGACCTAATACATACCATTTCCCCTCCACACTTCAGCTAAATGGCAGCTGCCTTCTCCAGGTTCCTTGCAAAATTCTACAACATCTCGACAGGTTGTTTCCGGTGTTATAGGAACTTCTGTTAAAATCTGTTCATTGTTGCTCAAGAAAACAGTTAATATCATCTGTAAGACAAAAGAGTAAAGCTGTAATTTAGATTCCTTATCACAAACAGATTAATCTGTAAATTTAAAGTGATCCCTCTACCCACCCCCCGCCCCCAAAATGCCTACAGAATTATTTTCTGGAAATAATAATAGATAAGCTGATTCTAAAGTTCATGTAGAAAGATGAAAAAGACAAGTCAGGAAAATTCCAAATGAGGAGAGTAATAGAAAAGAAAGAGCACTATCTTATAAAGTGCTCAAAACAACATGACAGCAGTAGATATATATATAGATCAATGGGGCAAAGTCATACCCCAGAAATAGACCCAATTACCTATGAAAAAAATGGCAAATGATGAGGGAGGTATCTCAAAAATCAAGGAGGGAAAACGACTATACAATGAGTGATGTTTGAGCAAAATATATCCATGTGGAAAAAATGGTTTCATACCATATATCGTACACTAGCAGAAGTTCCTAATAGATCAAATATTTAGATACAAACCCTAAAGCCATAAAAAGTCCAGAATAAAACCTGGGTATATTCCCTTTTATAGCTTTGGAATAAAGGTGCTGTTTCAAACTATGACTCAAAAATCAGACACTATTTTTAAAAAGACTGATATTCAAGTACATTAAATATAATAATCTCTTTTTTTTTTTTTTTTTGAGATGGAGTCTTGCTCTGTCGCCCAGGCTGGAGTGCAGTGGCGCGATCTCGGCTCACTGCAAGCTCTGCCTCCCGGGTTCATGCCATTCTCTTGCCTCAGCCTCCAGAGTAGCTGGGACTACAGGCGCCCGCCACCACGCCCGGCTAATTTTTTATATTTTTTAGTAGATACGGGGTTTCACCGTGTTAGCCAGGATGGTCTCGATCTCCCGACCTCGTGATCCACCCGTCTCGGCCTCCCAAAGTGCTGGGATTACAGGTGTGAGCCACCACACCCGGCCAAGAATCTCTTATAATCCAGAAAAACAAGGTAGGGGAAAACATTTGCAACTCATATTACAAATACAAAGCTAATCCCCTCAATACATAAAGCGCTCCTAAAAAATGATAACAGAAAGACCAAAAATCCAATTCCTTTAAAGAAATTAGCCAGGAAAGTGTATTAATATATCACAGTAAAAGAAAAATAAATGACCCTTAAACATAAAAATACATTATAGTGTATTTGAAAAAATAAAAATCGTCTAGCCTTACTTTATTTTATTTTTTTGAGACAGGGTCTCACTCCGTCACCCAGGCTGGAGTGCAGTGGCGTGATCTCAGCTCACTGCAACTTCTGCCTCCTAGACTCCAGAGATCCTCCCAAGTAGCTGGGACTACAGGCATGTGCCACCACGTCCAGTTAATTTTTGTATTTTCTGTAGAGACAGGGTATTGCCATGCTGCCCAGGCTGGTCTCAAACTCCTGAGTTCAAGCAATCCTCTCGCCTTGGCCTCCCAAAGTGCTGGGATTACAAATGTGAGCCACTACACCTGGTGTTTTTTTGTTTGTTTGTTTGTTTTTCTTGAGACAGAGTCCCACTCTGTCGCCCAGGCTGGAATGCAATGTCGCGATCTTGGTTCACTGCAACCTCTGCCTCCCCAGTTCAAGCAATTTTCCTGCCTTGGCCTTCTGAGTAGCTGGGATTACAGGCGCATATCACCACGCCCAGCTAATTTTATTTTATTTTATTTATTTATTTTTTTGAGATGGAGTCTCGCTCTGTCACGCAGGCTGGAGTGCAGTGGCGCAATCTCGGCTCTCTGCAAGCTCTGCCTCTTGGGTTCACGCCATTCTCCTGCCTCAGCCTCCCGAGTAGCTGGGACTACAGGCGCACGTCACTACGCCCGGCTAATTTTTTGTATTTTCAGTAGAGACGGGGTTTCACCGTGTTAGCCAGGCTGGTCTTGAACTCCTGACCTCATGATCCGCCCGCCTTGGCCTCCCAAAATGCTGGGATTACAGGCGTCAGCCATTGCGCCCAGCCTTATTTTGTATTTTTAGTAGACACAGGGTTTCGCCACATTGACCAGGCTGATCTGGAACTCCTGACCTCAAGTAATCCGCCTGCCTTGGCCTCCCAAAGTGCTGGGATTATAGGCGTGAGCCACTGTGCCGGGTTTTTTGTTTTTTTTTTTTTTAATTTCAAAAAAATACTAACACTTTGATCTAGCATCTTAAGACATCATATTGGAAGGAAATTTTTTTTTCCCCTTTTCCTCAGTGGAACAATGAAAGAGATACTTTAAAAACAATACACCTAAAGTAAAAATTAGGCTAGGCATGGTGGCTCACATCTATAATCCCAGATTTGGGAGGCCAAGGTGGGTGGATCACCTGAGGTCAGGAGTTCAAGACCAGCCTGGCCAACTTGGTGAAACCCCAACTCTGATACAAAAGAAATACAAAAATTAGCCAGGCGCGGTGGCACGCACCTGCAGTCCCAGCTACTCAGGAGGCTGAGGCAGGAGGATCACTTGAACCCGGGAGGCATGAGGTTGCAGTGAGCCAAGATCGCACCACTGCACTCCAGCCTGGGTGACAGAGCAAGACTCTATCTCAAAAATAAATAAATAAATAAATAAAAATAAAGGAATAAAGTAAAATTTAAACCAAAGATTTTCTTTAATCAGAAGGTATTATAAAACATTTATGTCTAATCTTTGACAAAAGGTCAGAAACAGGCCAGAAATGGTGGCTCATGACAGTGGTCTCAGCTGGAGGCTGAGGTGGGAGGATCACTTGATCCCAGGAATTTGAAGCTGCAGTGCAGCTTACAATCACGCCACTGCACTCTAGCCTGGGCAACAGAGCCAGACCTTAAAATCTCTGCATTCGAGTAAGCATATGATTTTAGTTTGTTGTTAAGATTTTTTTTTCATCCAGGCACAGTGGCTTACGCCTGTAATCCCAGCACTCTGGGAGGCCAAGGTGGGCGGACTACTTGAGATCAGGAGTTTGAGACCAGCCTGGCCAACATGGCAAAACACTGTCTCTACTAAAAATACAAAAAATTAGCCAGGCGTGGTGGCCCGCGCCTCTAGTCCCAGCTACTCAGGAGGCTGAGGCATGAGAATCACTTGAACCCCGGGGGGCAGAGGTTGCAATGAGCCAAGATTGCACCATTTCACTCCAGCCTGGGCAACACAGCAAGACTGTCTCAAAAAAACAAAAAAAACAAAAAACAAAAAAAAAGATTTTTTTTTCTTACAAGTGCCCTAAATTCCTACATTCTGAAATTAAGCATCTTTACATCTATGGTCAGATTTTATGTAACCAAAATTGATAACAGCTTTGAACTGGTTTCCTTGCCACTAATCTCCCCCGACTCTAACTCCTCACCGTTACCATTTCATTTTTTTTCTTCTTCTTTTTTTGAGACGGAGTTTCGCTCTTGTTGCCCAGGTTGGAATGCAATGGCATGAACTCGGCTCACTGCAACCTCCGCCTCCTGGGTTCAAGCGATTCTCCTGCCTCAGCCTCCCGAGTAGCTGGGATTACAAGCATGCACCAACACACCCAGCTAATTCTGTATTTTTAGTAGAGATGGTGTTTCTCCACATTGATCAGGCTGCTCTCAAACTCCCGACCTCAGGTGATCTACCCACCTCGGCCTCCCAAAGTGCTGGGATTACAGATGTGAGCCAACACGTCTGGCCTACCATTTCATTTTCTAAAAGTCAAATAAAGTTATTCCCTTGCTTAAAATATTTAAGAGCTCCCCACTGCCCAACACCAGCCCTTCCCAAAACACCTTCGCTGGTATATAAGCAGGAGATAGGTTTCTTAACTGAGCACTCCTTAAGAGTCTAATGTAATGATCATATATATTTCTTTTTTCCCTCCAGGGAATCTCATGAGGCTTGGATTTCTATAAAATATACTCTGAGAAAACCTTCCAGGTTCTAAGTCTCTCCAAGCACTAAACCTCCCTCCATCAGCATCAATGGAGTTCTCTCTGGCAGCCGTCCCTCTGCCCAAGTACCCTTCCTGTTTGCCTGTAAATTCCTATTCACAATTCAAAACTCAGCTCCTAACTACCATTTTTGCAAAAACATCCCTTTACCGCCTCCGCTCACCAGGGAGGCCACATGCTCCTTCCTTTACGATCCAGTGGCTCTTCACACAGATCTCTATTGCATCACCTCAATGACTCCCTCCCTTTATAGACTCTGCACTCTTCCAAGCACTTCACTTTTGAGTCTTTAATTTCCCATTGCTGAGTCAGGACCTGACGCATAGGAGGCACACTAAAATCTGGTCAACTCCATGAATGACACACAAATATAGAACCCCCACCATGCCCTAAGTTGAGAAAAAATATATACACACACAATTGAAGTAAGATATATCCAGTCTGTTCAATAAACAAGCATCATCCCTCTTCCCTGAGCACATTTCTATTTTACAATAAATTTTTTAAAAATTAAGTAACAGTTACCTCTGCTCACTAACCTGTAAGAAGAATTTATAAAAACTGGGGATTTTTGTATACTGAAATAAGTAGCCTGGAATCTACAGAATTTGGAATAAAACAGGTAATCACTGGATCCAGCTCAAACCAAGGCCAAGACTAATACTTTAACAGTTTCATCAGAAACAACTGGAATATAGTTTTATTCTTACTTATACACATTTATTCTACAGTTGTAATGGTAAATATTTTCCAATGTGACTTCACAATCTATGCTCTTAAAGATCTAGTAATATCGGGAGGCTGAGGCAGGACAATGGCGTGAACCCGGGAGGCGGAGCTTGCAGTGAGCCAAGATAGCACCACTGCAGTCAGGCCTGGGCAAAAGAGTGAGACTCTGTCTCAAAAACAACAACAACAACAAAAAGATCTAATAATAAATTTTCCCAAATCATGCTTTATAAATTGAAGTTTCAAATGAGTAAAAAAATTTTTTTTTACTACCTTCCCTTATATGCTATTCCTACAGTTCACTAGCAACAAGCAGAATGCCCTGTTTCACTCAGTACTTCGGAATCGGTTTTTCTTCCTTGTTCCTTACCCTTCTACCCACTAAGGCATCCCACGGTTTGCTCTCAACGCTCTGAGCTAGCAAAACATTTGCACAATCATTGCCTCATGAATATAGCACGCGTAAAGCAGTACCCTTAGGCACTCACAGAGGCACAGCTTGTGCTTACTTGCTCTGAAACGCGGAATTCTTTATGAATGCATTGTCAGAATGAAGGATGGTATGGCAGCATTTTGGGGTACCTTCTGAATTACCAAGACTCTTCAGCTCATGAGTAAGTTCAATATGATGAGGGAGGGGGAGAGGCACGATGACAGGTTGTAAATCTGGATATTTTTAAAAGCGAAGAACACCCAAATAACTTATCCAAAAGTCACTAAACATTATTTCAATTTCTTGTGTTCCATTTTATCACTCGCAATAACCCTGTCTTTCCTAATTTTAGCAAAATTCATTTTCCCTAATCTCTATTATTCAAGCTAATTTCATTATAATCATGGCAGACTTTAAAGCTTTCTAGAGAAATTAAGCTGGTTTTGACCTGGATGACCCTAAAGCATCACCGAAAACTGAAGCTGAAAAGCCGTGTGACTGCTAATGTTATTCTAGTAAGATTTCTTCAGCTTAAACATGACTAAAGAAGCTCCAAAACAAATATAGTGTATTGATTCTAGATGCACTTGCTTGTATTTTAATAACATCTTTGAAATCATAGTACACCTCACGATGGCATGACACAATTTAATGGGTAGCATATTTTTTTCTTTAATAGTATGTACAAAACAGATGAAATTCAGTAGGATTAAGGAAACTAAATGAAAAAAGAAAACAAGTTAATACGTTTATCCTTCCTAAATGATTAATATGTTAAAAATAAAAGATTTGGGGCCGGGTGCGGTGGCTCACACCTGTAATCCCAGCACTTTGGGAGGCCAAGGCAGGCGGATCACTAGGACAGGAGATCAAGACCATCCTGGCTAACACAGTGAAACCCCATCTCTATTAAAAATACAAAAAATTAGCCGGACATGGTGGTGGGCACCTGTAGTCCCAGCTACTCGGGAGGCTGAGGCAGGAGAATGCTGTGAACCCGGGAGGTGGAGCTTGCAGGGAGCCGAGATAGCACCACTGCACTCCAGCCTGGGCAACAGAGCGAGACTCCGTCTCAAAAATAAATAAATAAATAAATAATTAATTAATAAACAAATAAATAAAAGATTTGGTTAGCTACAGTTAGGAAAACAAAAATTTCTAATTGTGTGCTGTAACAAATATAGCATGTAATGACAAGATGCCCTACTTATGCCTTTCCTCAAACTGCTTCTCTGCCCTGATGAATCACACAACAAATCCTGCCCCTTTCTGCTCACTGACAGTACTCTCTACCCATCCTGACCTGACCTGAGAAAGACTGGAACCAATGTCTGCCCATCTTGACCCAACCTCAGATAAAGCCTCCTCTTCTCCCCTGCTGTAACAGACTGTGGCTATTTATAGTACAACTTTCTTACATTAAATTATCAATAGTTTTCTTGACTACATCCTCTACTGGAACAGTATCTGTGACTCATTACCTGGTCTTGAAATCATCTAAGTGTGTCTTAACTTGCTCCATTTTTTTTTTCATTCAAAAAAGTTGGAAAATATCATACTAGACCATAAGGACAATACTTGTGTTCTCCAGCTCAGTGCCTGGACACACAGTGGTGCTCAAGAAATGCAGGATGAGGCAGGCAGAAAACTGACAACCATTATTAAGTAGCTTAAGACGTCATCTTACCCTTGCTTTCAGGAACATCTGAACTAAGAAAATCAACTGAAATCAAATAATCACTAATTTAAGTAAACCACACAGATATTTTAACATTTTTACAAACTTGGTATTTAAACTATTTTCTTGGCAATCCAAGGAAACCAAAGCAAAACACAAATTGAGGATGTATAAGCTATTAAAAAACAGGAATTAGCTGGGCATGGTGACTCAAGCCTGTAATCTCAACACTGAGGGAGGCAGAGGCAGGAGGATCGCTTAGGCCCAGGAATTTGAGACCAACGTGGGCAACATGGTGAGACCCCATCTCTACTAAAAACTAAATAAATGAATAAACAACTAGCTGGGCATCATGGTATGTGTCTGTAGTCCCACCTACTCGGGACACTGAGGTAGAGGATCACATAAGCCCAGGAGTTCAGTGCTGCAGTGAGCTATGATCACACCACTATACTACAGCCTGGGTGATAGAGTGAGATCCCATCTCTAAGGAAAAAAAAAAATCTAAACAGGAATTATCCTATAATCAAAGAGACAGACAATCACAAGCATTGACAAGGATGTGGAGAAACTGAAACCTTCATATATTGGTGATGAAGATGTAAAATGGTACAGCTATTTTGCATAACAGTCCAGCTGGAGTGCAGTGGCTCAATCTCAGCTCACTGCAACCTCCGCCTCCCAGGTTCAAGTGATTCTCCTGCTTCAGCCTCCCAAGTAGCTGGGATTATAGGCGCACGCTATCACGCCTGGCTAATTTTTTTATTTTCAGTAGAGATGGGGTTTCACCATATTGGCCAGGCTGGTCTCGAACTCCTGAGCTCACGTGATCTGCCCACCTCGGCCTCTCAAAGTGCTGGGATTACAGGCGTGAGCCACTATGCCCGGCCTAAAAAATTTTAAACACAGATTTGCCATATGGCCCCCAGCAATTCCACTCCTAGGTACCTACCCTGGGGAAATAAAAATATATGTCCACGCAAAGTCTTGTATGCAAATGTTCATAGCTGCACTGTTCATAGTAGCCAAAAAGAAGAAACAAGGCCAGGAACGGTGGCTCATGCCTGTAATCCTAGAACTTTGGGAGGCCAACGGTGGCAGATTACTTGAGCTCAAGAGTTCAAGACCAGCCTGGGAAACATAACAAAACCCCGCCTCTACAAAAAATTCAAAAAGTAGCTGGGCATGGTGGCACACGTCTATAGTCCCAGCTACTCAGGAAGCCTAGGTGTGAGGATTGCTTGAGCTCAGGAGGTCAAAGCTGCAGTGAACTGTGATCATGCCACTGCACTCCAGCTTGAGTGACAGAGCGAGATGCTGTCTCAAAAAAAAGGAAGGAAAGAAGGAAGGAAGGAAGGAAGGAGAGAGAAAAGGAAAGACAAGACAAAACCAAAATCTCCATTAACAGATAATTATGGAATATCATACAATGGAATATTATTCAGCAATAAAAGTAACAAAGTATTGACACATGCTACAACATGGATGAACTTTGAAAATACTAAGCTAAGTGAAAGAGGCCAGACACAAAAGACCACATGTTATATGATTCCATTTATATGAAATGCCCAAAACAGTCAAATCCATAGAGAAAGAAAGATGTGTGGTTGCCTAGGACTGGGGATGGGAATGAGGAGTGATGGCAAATAGGCACAAACTTTGTTTTGGTATGACAGTAATGTTCTAAAATTAGATTGTGGTGATGGCTGTACAACTATGTAAATTTACTAAAGATCACTGAATGTTCACTTAAAATAGGTAAACTTTACGGCACATAAATTATAACACAATGAAGCTGTTTTTAAAAAGTAGGATATATAAAACTTCTAGAAAAGGAATTCAGAAACTTGACTTACATGGTACAAAGAACCCTGGAATAGGAAGCCCAAGTTCTATCCTTAGCTATGGCATTGACTGCTGCAACTGGCTGGGGAAGCTGCTCCTTAGTCTATCTCTGGGTCTTGGTTTCTTGGCAAGAACTCAGCAGATAATATGAAACACATATTTGCAGGAAAATGGCTCTCAGGCTTTTCTGGCCCAACCCAATCAGGTAAAGTATTAGATCCCCCAGCTCACCTATACCATCTACTACTTCTTTCTGGTGGAAAAGGAGCTCAGGGATAACAAAAAATAACTGAAGAGAAATAAGGTGATAAAAGCTATACTAAATTTTAGTAACTTGCAATAACTCACTTGGTAGGTTATGAGTAAATAGCTCATAAAAGCCACAGAAAGGATCAGTTGGGGTGAGGGTGGGTGAACACCAGGAAGACCCCTTTAGCTTTCCAGCAGGCCACGCACCCCAAAATGAGAATTGATGCTAAGGTCCCTTCTGGCCCTGATTGCAACTCAGTTCACCAATTTAAAATCTCAGAAACATTAGAGCTGTAAGGAAAACTAAGTCTAAGCCATCACCCTAAATGCTTCATCTCACTTTCCTCAATTAGCCTCTCAAAGACTGAAAAACACACCTGGGAGTTGCTGTCATCCACACAGAAAAAGGAGAATAAAATAAAGGATTGGCTCAACTCCCTTCTCTCTCATACTCCACAAACAATCCATTAGCAAGACTGTCAACCTCGTACCCAGAAACTGATAACTCGTCTCCCTGGCTACTACCCAAGCCCGAGCCACCACCACCTCTCAGAAAGGATGTCTGCAAGAGCAAACTCATTCATCTGTTTCCACTCTCACCCTTCAGATACATCACTTCATTCAAAACCTTCCCGTGGTTTCCTCTCTGAGAATAAATTTCAAAGTCCTAACTATTGTCTAAGAGGCCCTGCAAGACCTGCAACACACACATGCATACCTCTCTGATCTCAGTGCTTACCACACTCTTCATCCCTTCTGCCTCCCTCAACAGGGCAAGCCAACTCCTGCCTCAGGGGCTTTGCACTTGCTATTCTCTGCATAGACCGCTTCACTCAGCTACTGACATTGTATTACCCTCTTCTTTCAGGCCTCTGCTGGAATGGTGTCTTAGCAAGGAAGCTTTCCTTAACCGAGAGTCTACCTAAAATAGCACTACTCCATCCCTCTGTCCTCCTACCCTGGTTTATGTATTTCTGCTTAGCACTCAACCACCACCTGATCTATGTATATATTTGTTTATCCTCTGTCTGTTGTCACTAGAACACATAAGCTTCTTGAGAGCAGAGTTTCAGTTAATTACCTGCTGTGTCAGTAGTGCCTGAAGCAGTGCCTGGCACGTAAGAAGCACTCAATAAACTCCCCCAATTATACGTAAAATGTCCCTTTTTTTTGAGACAGAGTATCACGCTGTTGCCCAGGCTGGACTGCAGTGGCGCGATCTCGGCTCACTGCAAGCTCTGCCTTCCGGGTTCACGCCATTCTCCTGCCTCAGCCTCCCAAGTAGCTAGGACAAAAAGTGCCTGCCACCACGCCCGGCTAATTTTTTGTATTTTTAGAAGAGACGGGGTTTCACCATGTTAGCCAGGATGGTCTCGATCTCCTGACCGTGTGATCCATCCACCTTGGCCTCCCAAAGTGCTGGGATTATAGGCGTGAGGCACCACACCTGGCCACGAAATGTCTTTTTATAGTAGGTTTCTTGAATCATGACAGGTAGGTGTTTGCCTGTTTTCTCATCTTCAAGTTCTCTGTAGAAAAGACAATATTTTACCCCTCTAATCACTGAATTAGTCCACATCAAAGAGAAGAAAAATATTCTTAAAAAAAGTTAGTGTAAGGCTGGGCACAGTGGCTCATGCCTATAATCCCAGCACTTTGGGAGACCAAGGTAGACAGATCATTTGAGGTCAGGAGTTCGAGACCAGCCTGGCCAACATGGCGAAACCCCATCTCTACTAAAAATACAAAAAAAAATTAGCTGGGCGTGGTGGCACCTGCCTATAATCCCAGCTACTCAGAGGCTGAGACAGTGGAATCCCTTGAACCCAGGAGGCAGAGGTTGCAGTGAGCCAAGATCACGCCACTGCACGCCAGCCCGGGCGACAGTGACTCTATCTCAAAAAAAAAAAAAAAATTAGTGTGAAAGTCAGGAGCCTTGAACATAACTATGTGGTATTCGGCAGATTTCACTCAAACCTAGAGAAACAATGGATGTCCCTTGCTCTAAAGCAGGGGTGTCCCAACTTTGGGCTTCCCTGGGCCACACTGGAGAATTGTCTTGGGCTACACATAAAATACACTAACACTAATGATAGCCAATGAGTTAGAAAAAAAGATCATTAAAAAACATATATATATCATGATGTTTTAAGAAAGTTTACTAATTTGTGTTGGGCTGCATTCAAAGCTGTCCTGGGCCTCCTGTGGCCCGGTGCCATGGGTTGGACAAGCTTGAGCTAAAGCTTCTTTCCACAAGGTGGCACTGCAGGGTAACGGGGGTGAGTTCAGCACTACCCCCTTCCCCTGACACAAATTTTAGGGATGAAGAATTAACTCCAAGGAAAATAAAGGTACAGTTTAGTAAGATCATATTAAGTTCAATTTCCATAATTAGGGCTTGTATTATTTTGGAAAAGGAATAAAATTAACCTTAGAGCAATGAAAATTTTTTTCTAAATAAATAAGACTGTAGAAGTACATATTTAACCCTCTTACGAAGGCAGAGACAGCTATACACCCATTTTTTTTAATGTTTCTTTTTTTTAGAGACAGGATCTTGCTCTGCTGCCCAGGCTGAGCGCAGCAGCACCAATCCTAGCTCACTGCACCCTCGAACTCCTAGGCTCAAGTGATCCTCCCTCGCCTCAACTTTCAAGTAGCTGAGACTGTAAAAGCGCACCACAGCTAATTTTTTTTATTTTTTGTAGAGATGGGGTCTATGCCCAGGCTGGTCTCTAACTCCTGGGCTCAATTATCCTCCCGCCTTGGCCTCCCAAAGTGCTGGGATTACAGGCATGAGCCACCATGCTCAGCCTAGACATATTTAAATATCTGAGTAGCATCTACTCAAAGTTAAATAGCCACTACAATAGATCTCAATAACCTTATCAATTCTGTTGAGTTCTAATCACTGTTTTACTTGCGTTAATAATTTCACATTTTAAATTACATTATACAGTATTCCTGGGAATACAAAATAGACACCTTAGCTTCTATTTGCATTATTTACTTAGTATATAGTCCCTTCAGTATTTAAAAGCATAACGCATTTTGAGAGAACCTATCTTAAACCTTGTAGAAATGTGAAATTCATACAGCTTTCCATAATACCAAGATGTGTCATGACTACAGGATATAGAGGTGATACAGCTGACCACATTTATTCTATCCACTAAAACTTAAAGAATACTCTAGAATAGGTTGGGTGTGGCGGCTCACACCTGTATGCCAGCACTTTGGGAGGTTGAGGTGGGCAGGCTGCTCGAGCTCAGGAGCTCGAGATCAGCCTGGGCAACATGGCGAAACCCTATCTCTACAAAAAGCACAAAAAATTAGCCAGGCATGGTAGTATATGCCAGTAGTCCCAGACACGTGGGGGGCTGAGGCAGGGAGGATCACTTGAGCCCAGGAGGTCAAGGCTGCAGTGAGCTATGATCAAACCACTGCACTCCAGCCTGGGTGACAAAGTGAAACTCTTGTCTCAAAATTATTATTATTATTTTTGAGACAGAGTCTCGCTCTGTCGCCCAGGCTGGAGTGCAGTGGCACGATCTCGGCTCACTGCAACCTCTGCCTCCCGGGTTCAAGTGATTCTCCTGCCTCAGCCTCCCTAGTAGCTGGGACTAGAGGCATGCGCCACCATGCCTGGCTAATTTTTGTATTTTTAGTAGAGACGGGGTTTCACCATGTTGGCCAGATGGTCTTGATCTCTTGACCTTGTGATCTGCCCGCCTTGGCCTCCCAAAGTGCTGGAATTACAAGTGTGAGCCACCGCGCCCAGCTGTCTCAAAATTTTAAAAAGGCCAGGCGTGGAGGCTCATGCCTTTAATCCCAGCACTTTCGGAGGCTGAGGCAGGTGGATCATGAGGTCTGAAGTTCGAAACCAGCCTGGCCAACATGGTGAAACCCCATCTCTACCAAAAATACAAAAATTAGCCCGACGTGGTGGCACATGCCTATAATCCCGGCTACTCAGGAGGCTGAGACAGGAGAATCGTTTGAACCCAGGAGGCAGAGGTTGCAGTGAGCCAAGTGACAGAGTGAGACTTCCTCTCAAAAATAATAAAAAATTAAAATTAGAAAATAATACTCTAGAATAAAGAACAGTATCAATTCTGACACCACTGTTCATCAATATTGAAAATTACTTTGGCTGGGCGTGGTGGCTCATGCCTGTAATCCCAGCACTTTGGGAGGCCAAGGCAGGCGGATCATGAGGTCAGGAGATTAAGACCATCCTGGCTAACACAGTGAAACTCGTCTCTACTAAAAATACAAAACATTAGCTGGGCGTGGTGGTGGGCGCCTGTAGTCCCAGCTACTCGGGAGGCTGAGGCAGGAGTATGGCGTGACCCGGGAGGTGGCGCTTGCAGTGAGCCGAGATCGCACCACTGCACTCCAGCCTGGATGACAGAGCGAGACTCCATCTCAAAAAAGAAAAAAAAAAATTGAAAGTGACTGCTTGAGGCTAGGTGTGGTGGCTCGTGCTTGTAATCCCAGCACTTTGGGAAGCTGAGCCCGGTGGATCACTTGAGGTCAGGAGTTCAAGACCAGCCTGGGCAACATGGTGAAGCCCCGTCTCTACTAAAAAAAAAAAAAAAATTAGCCGGGCATGGCAGTGCGTGCCTGTAATTCCACCTAACTCAGGAGGCTGAAGCAGGAGAATTGCTTAAACCCGGGAGGCAGAGGTTGCAGTAAGCTGAGATTATGCCACACTGCACTCCAGCCTAGAGGACAGCGTGAGACTCCTCCTCAAAAAAAAAAAAAAAAAAAAAAAAAGACAAAGAAAATTACTGCTTGAAATAATGGTTGCTTTACTAATGTTGATCACGTGAATATTATGGAAGCAGAACAAACACTGAATTTTAAACCACAGACTATGACCTCTTAGTGGGCTCTAAAATCAATTAGTGCCTCAGGACCAGTTTTGTTTTTTAATGAACTAGAACAGAACAATATATAACAGTTATTAAGAGAATGAAAAGACAAGCCACAGACTGGGAGAAAATATCTGCAAAGTACATATTTGATAAAGGACTTGGCCAGGTGTGGTGGTTCACACCTATAATCCCAGCACTTCGGGATGTCTGTAATCCCAGCATTTTGGGAGGCTAAGATGGGTGGATCACTTGAGCCCAAGAGTTCGAGAACAGTCTGAACAACATAGGGAGACCCCATCTCTACAAAAAACACAAAAAGTAGCCAGGTGTAGTAGTGCAGGCCTGTAGTCCCAGCTTCTTGGGAGGCTGAGGTAGGAGGATTGCTTGAGCCCAGAAGGTCGAGGCTGCAGTGAGCTATGACTGTGCCACTGCACTCCAGCCTGGGCACAAGAGTGAGACCGTCACTAAATAAATAAATACATAAAGGACTTGTATCCTAAATACACAAATAACTCTTTTTTCTTTTTTGAGATGGAGTCTCGCTCTGTCACCCAGGCCGGGCGCAGTGGCTCACACCTGTAATCCCAGCACTTTGGGAGGCCAAGGCTGGCAGATCATGAGGTCAGGAGATCAAGATCATCCTGGCTAACATGGTGAAACCCCGTCTCTACTAAAAATACAAAAACAGCATTAGCCGGGTGTGGTGGTGGGCGCCTATAGTCCCAGCTACTTGGGAGGCTGAGGTGGGAGAATGGCGTGAACCTGGGAGGCGGAGCTTGCGGTGAGCTGAGATTGAGCCACTACACTCCACCCTGGGCGACAGAGCCAGACTCCCCCTCAAAAAAAAAAAAAAAAAAAAAACCTCAATAATCATAAAACAAGCTAATGTTTTTGTTTCTGTGTGTGGTTTTTTTTTTTTTTTTTTTCTAGACAGTCTCTGTCACCCAGGCTGGAATGCAGTGGCGCAATCTCAGCTCACTGTGACCTCTGCCTCCTGGGTTCAAGCGATTCTCCCGCCTCAGCCTCCCGAGTAGCTGGGACTACAGGTGCCTGCCCCCACACTCAGCTAATTTTTGTATATTTTTAGTAGAGATGGGGTTTCACCATATTGGCCAGGCTGGTCTCGAACTCCTTACATTGTGATCCGCCCACCTCGGCCTCCCAAAGTGCTGGGATTACAGGCGTGAGCCACCGCGTGTGGCTGTTTCTGTGTTTTTGAGACACAGTTTCACTCTGTCGCCCAGTCTGGAGTGCCGTGGCACAAGCTCAGCTCACTGCAACCTCTGCCTCCTGGGTTCGAGCGATTCTCGTGACTCAGCTTCCTGAGTAGCGGGGATTGGGGTGCCTGCCATCAGGCCCAGCCAATTTTTGTATCATTAGTAGAGATGGTGTTTCACCATGTTGGCCAGGCTGGTCTCGAACTCCTGACCTCAAATGATCCCCCTGCCTCAGCCAAGGTGCTAGGATTACACGCGTGAGCCACCGCACCTGGCCAAAACAACCTAATTTTTAATGGGCAAATGATCTGAACAGATACTTCACCAAAGATGACATACAAATGGAAAAATAAACATATGAAAAACATGTTCCGTATCATAGGTCATTTGGGAATTGCAAATTATTAATAAAACAACAGTGAAATACTACTACACACCTACTAGAATGGCCCAAATCCAAAGCATCGACAACACCTAACACTGGTGAGGATGCGGAGCAAAAGGAACTTGCAGTTGGGAATACAAAATGGTACAGCCATGTTGGAAGACAGTTTGGTGGCTTCTTAAAAAACTAAGCATACTTTTACCATGTGATCCAGCAATCCCACCACTTGGTCTTTACCCAAAGGAGTTGAAAATGTGTCCAGACAAAAACCTGCATGTGAATGTTTATGGCAGCTTTGTTCATAATTGCCAAAACTTGGAAGCAACCAAGATGTCCTTCAGTAGATGAATGGATAAACAAACTGTGGTACATAATACTGCTGGAATATTATTCAGTTATTCAGCAATGTTAAAAAAAAAAAGCACAAATCCAGAAGAGAGTCCCCACTGTACTTTCACGTCCCCACCGTACTTTCTGCTCCATCTTTCTGTATATCTAAAACTTCTATAAAAAATAAGACAGTACACTGCCCATGGAAAGGGTAAGATATGGTTTGGCTGTGCCCCACCCAAAAGCTCATCTTGAATTGTAATACCCATGTGTCAAGGGGAGAACCAGGTGGACATAATTGGATCATGGGGCGGTTTCTCCCATTTTGTTCTCGTGATAATGCGTGAGTCTCACGAGATCTGATGGTTTTATAAGCATCTGGAATTTCCCCTGCTGGCATTCGTTCTCTCTCCTGTCAGCCTGTGAAGAGGTGCCTTCCGCCATGATTGTAAGTTCCTGAGGTCTCCCAGGCACGCAGAACTGTGAGTACATTAAATCTCTTTCCTTTATAAATTACCCAGTCTCCGGTAGTTCTTTATAGCAGGGTAAGAGAAGAGTAACATAGGGTGTTTTCTCCTGACATTTTGACACGTATAGATACGTGTCTGAGTATTTAGGTAAGAACTGAGTCACCTTGTAAAAGGTATTTCTTAGTGTGGGTTCATGGTCAGAAAAGTTTGAAAGATACTACTCTGAGGGCCTCATGAAACCTACCAGGACTTCCATAAAACTAAATGAAAAGTCACTGCACTAGGGAAAAAACATTTCCATTATCATTTATTGGTACTTATTATTACTCATTATAGTATGGACTTTACACATTCTCAATTGTCATACCATCTTTGTGATATAGGTACTACTCTTCACTTTACAGATTAGGAAAAAGAGGGTCAGAGAGGTTAAATAATTTGTCCCAGATGGGCGTGGTGGCTCACACCTGTAATCCAGCACTTTGGGAGGCCAAGGCGGATGGATCACCTGAGGTCTGGAGTTCACGACCAGCCTGGCCAACATGGTGAAACCCCGTCTCTACTAAAAATACAAATATTAGCCGGGCATGGTGGCACATGCCTATAATCCCAGCTACTTGGGAGGCTGAGGCAGGAGAATGCCATGAACCTGGGAGGCCGAGCTTGCAGTGAGCCGAGATTGCCCCACTGCACTCCAGCCTGGGCGACAGAGCAAGACTCCGTCTCAAAATAAATGAATAAATAAATAAATAAAATAATAATTTGTCCCAAGTCTGCTGAACTAATAAATACTAGAGTCAGGATTTAACCCTGGCCTGTGTGACTCCAAAGCTTAAGCTTTAAACCACTACTCTAAAATGCTTCAAAATAAAAAAGATAAGGCAGTAAAAGTTTCAATGGGCTGAGCCCCGTGGCTCACACTTATAATCCCAAGACTTTAGGAGGCTGAGGCAAAAGGATCACTTGAGGGTAGGAGTTAAGAGATGAGCCTAAGCAACTTGACGAGACCACATCACTATTTAAAAAAAAACAAAAACCGGCGGCGGGGCGCGGTGGCTCACGCCTGTAATCCCAGCACTTTGGGAAGCCAAGGTGGGCGGATCACGAGGTCAGGAGATCGAGACCATCCTGGCTAACACAGTGAAACCCTGTCTCTACTAATAATACAAAAAATTAGCCGGGCATGGTGGTGGGCGCCTGTAGTCCCAGCTACTCAAGAGGCTGAGGCAGGAGACAGGTGTGAACCCGGGAGGTGGAGCTTGCAGTGAGCCAAGATCACACCACTGCACTGCAGCCTGGGCGACAGAGCAAGACTCCGTCTCACAAAAAAAAACAAAAGGAAAGAAAAAAAATAGATGTTTATGTAAAAACTTGGAAATATTTATGGTATTATTCATAATAGCCAAAAAGTGGAAACAACTCAAACTGATGAATGCCTAAACAAAATGTGGTATACCCATACACTGGAATATTATTTGACCATAAAAAGGATTCAAATGAATGCTAAACATGGATGAAGCTTGGAAACATTAAGCCAAGTGAAAGAAGCCAGATACAAAATGTTCACATATTATATGATTCTGTTTTTATAAAATGTCCAAAACAGGCAAATCCACGGAGAGATAAAGTAGATTAGTCGTTGGTAGGAGCTGGGAGGAAGGAGAGAGCGGGAGTGACTGAAAAATGGGTACAAGATTTCTTTTTGGGATGAAAATATAAAACTAGATAGTAGTGATGGTTGCACAATTTGTGAATATACTAAGAACCAATGAATTGTACATTTTGAAAAAATGAATGTTATTGTATGTGAATTATGTACCAATAAAGCTGTTATTTAAAAAACACAAACACAGGCTAGGCATGGTGGCTCACGCCTGTAATCCCAGCACCTTGGGAAGCCAAGGTGGGTGGATCATGAGGTCAGGAGTTCCAAGACCAGCCCAGCCAACATGGTGAAACGCTGTCTCTACTAAAAATACAAAAATTATCCTGCACGGTGGCGGGCGCCTGTAATCCCAGCTACTCAGGAGGCTGAGGCAGGAGAATCGCTTGAAACTGGAAGGTGGAGGTTGCACTGAGCCAAGATCGCACCACTGCACTCCAGCCTGGGCAACAAGAGTGAAACTCCATCTCAAAATAAAATAAAATAAAATAATTTTAAAATAATAAAAAAAAGTACGGCCAGGTGTGGTGGCTCATGCCTGTAATCCCAGCACTTTGGGAGGCCGAGGCGGGCAGATCACAAGGTCAGGAGATCGAGACCATCCTGGCTAACACGGTAAAACCCCGTCTCTATTAAAAATACGAAAACATTAGCCAGGTGTGGTGACGGGCACCTGCAGTCCCAGCTACTCGGGAGGCTGAGGCAGGAGAATGGTATGAACCCAGGAGACAGAGCTTGCAGTGAGCTGAGATCGCGCCACTGCACTCCAGCCTGGGCAGCAGAGCAAGACTCCATCTCAAAACAAACAAACAAAAAACTAGCTATGCCAAGTATTCAACCTATACCATCAGTAAAATATTTTTCTCAATGAAAACAACTTTTTTTTTTTTTTTGAGACAAGAGTCTCACTCTGTTGCCCAAGCTGGAGTGCAGATGATCTTGGCTCACTGCAACTTCTGCCTCCCAGGTTCAAGCGATTCTCCTGCCTCAGCCTCTCAAGTAGCTGGGAATACAGGTGCGTGCCACCACCCCCGGCTAATTTTTGTATTTTTAGTAGAGACGGGGTTTCACCATGTTGACCAGGCTGGTCTTGAACTCCAGAACTCAGGCCAGGTTTCCGGCCAGGCACAGTGGCTCACGCCTGTAATCCCAGCACTTTGGGAGGCCAAGGCGGGCGGATCAGCTGAGGTCGGGAGTTCGAAACCAGCCTGGCCAACACGGTGAAACCCCGTCTCTGCTAAAAATATAAAAATTAGCCGGGGGTGGTGGCACATGCCTGTAATCCCAGTACTTGGAGGCTGAGGCAGGAGAATCGCTTGTACCCGGGAGGTGGAGGTTGCACCACTGCACTCTAGCCTGGGCAACAAGAGCAAAACTCAGTCTCAAAAAAAAAAAAAAAAAATTATTTCCTTTCATATATTTTTCCTTTTCTCAGCCCATAAACATTTATAGCTGTACCTTAATGTCTGCAAATACCAAAAATTCAGTATTAATCCATTTGCCAGTAGCAACTGGGGCTTAAAACAACAAAGATAATTAGAAAAATAATGTTCCTGAAGAACACTTTTATATAATGATGTATATCAATATAGCTTAGTAAATACTATTCATCTGATGAATACAATTTACAAAGGAAAAGTAAATCTAATAGCACCCCATCTTTTTACAAATGACTCTATCCATTTCCTCTTTCAGATCTGAGCCAGCTCTTGAAAACCATGATGCTGCCTTGAATTTGCTTATAATGCTCAGAGTTACTGTTCTTAAAATATTTCTCATCTTCAGAAAATTAAGCAAAAGCGAAGTGTGGAAAACAAAATTGCAAGTGCCTGGAGATTATCTATGTCATTTACAAAGGGAAAATACTTAGATGTCCCTCAGGCCTTGTGGAATCTAAATTCGGGCACTAATGACATGAGCCATGATAAGATGTCCTAATGAAACAAGACAGACCACCGTTGTTACTGCACAGTGACATGGTGGATAAAGTTTCACCTAATTAGGTGAGCTCCAGTGAAGAAAAAATTCACTGATAGCATTGTTCAATAACAACTGTAACCAAGATCTAGAAATCACTATCAAAATGAAGACTACACATAAATTTACTAATCTCCATATAAAACTTGTTATATTAAAAAAAAAAGACTTGTCTAAGCTTGGTTATCAACTTTAAAAAGTGAAACCTAAAGGTTTAAAAATATGTTTTCACAATAAATGCCTTGTTCATGTTTTATGCTTCTGAAAACTATTTGCTTGTTCAAAGTAGGGTACATACAGAGCTAAATTTTTTTTTAATTTTGTTAGTATTGACATTTTAGATAAAATCAGAATGAAATTTATAATAAGACACAACATTAAAGGACTTTTACCATTTATTAATAATAAAAATAGCTAATTATTTTTGCTTGCTATGTTTGAGGATAAGCCCCTCTCCTTTTTTTTAACTCTCAACAGGCCTATGCTAGGTGCTAGGATGATGATCCTGTCACTGCAGACAGACTGGCGTGTCCAAGGCCATGTGACTGAGATGCTTCAGACATGACAATCTAACCCAAGTGTGTCTGACTCCAAAGCTTAAGTTTCTACTCAGATAGTTCAGGAACAAAACAGTGCTAAAGTTTATGAACATTAAAAAAAAAAACCCAACTATTCAAGTTCTTCATCTTGATGAAACTACAGGAAATAATCTTTACCCAAAAATTATCAGATGGGTAAATCAAACTTTTTTTTTATAATGAAAGAACTCACTTCATACATGTAATATACACATACCTTTGAAAAACAAAACATTGTAAGTGTGACATAAAAGGATGAATTAGTAGATATTCATCGTAAAATCCAAAGATTAATGTACTCACAGGCTAGCCTGCCACCATGCAAAACATTTCCTACTACAGAAAGGAAATTAAAAATGAAAACTTTAACGCCTTCCTTCCCACTCTATGAGTTCCCACTCTTTTATGAATGTGGTTTGGGTCCTGAGATTTGGGTCTGCTCAGATACCAGAAGAGCCCTTATAAAACCCATCTACAATTTGTAGAATTTCAATACCATCCCTTTTGAAGACACTACTGATTAAAACATTAGGCTGCATATGAGTTTTCATATTTCTATGACCATAATTTCTACTCTTGCAAACAACAACCTATATTATGGAGAATGACTGAATTTCTCAATGTTAATATTGTCAGGTACCTGTTTTCACACAGGGAGAAGAACGAATATTTTCTTGGCAGCTACTAGACAAATCATACACCAGTTGATTTCGTCCTCATGGCAACCTCAGAGACATCAACTGGGATGGCCTTCAGATGACAATTCTTTCTCCTCTTCTCTGGGCTTCACATTTGGGCAAGTTCCCAGGGGTCACGCTTATTTTACATGGCCCATCCCTCTTGCCATGCTGACTCAACTAAGAAAAACACTTGATGAAAAATGTTCTTCATTATACAAATATTTATTGAGCACCTACTACCTGCCAGGCACTGGAGATTTGGCACTGACAAAATGGACAGGGTTCTGCCCTTATGGAATTCTTACTATATAGTTGGGAAAAAGAGACTAAATAAATAGGCAAAAAATATAGTATACTAGGTGGTACTATATAGTATGGAAAAAAATTAAGCAGACAAAGAAGACTGGGAATGGGGCAATTTTAGTTTTCAATAAGTGGTTAGAAAAAGCCTTACTGCTGAAGGATAATTCTAAGTTGGAAGGGGAACAAAAGCCTCACTGAAGGAGGAGAAAGGATGAGCCATAATGACAGCTTGAAGGAAGACCATTCAGGCGAAGGGAACAAGTGCAAAGGCCCTGAGGCAGAATGAATGCCTGAAGAGACTGAGAATCAATAAGGAGTCCAGCTTGACTGAAGCAGGGAAATCAAAGGGAGAGGAGTAGGAAATGAGAGATAAGCTACTAATTAGGCTTTTTCTCAGAAGGATATTAGCAGCCCTTGGAGGGTTTTAAGTAAGAAGTGGCATATTTTGCCATAAAGGTTTACAGGTTCACTGTGGCTGCTTTGTTGAGAACAGACTGAGGCGGGGAACAAGCACAGAATTAGGAAGACCTAGACATGGTGGTGCAGGCCTGTAGTCCCAGCTACTTGGGAGGCTGAGGTGGTAGGATCCCTTGAGCCCAGGAGTCTGAGGCTGCAGTGAACTATGATCCTGCTACTGTACTCCAGCCTGGGCAAGAGAATGAGAAATCTGTCTATTAAAAAAAACAAACAAACAAAAAAAAACAACAACAAAAAGAAATGAAACAGGAAGGAGTCTCAGGAGGCTAATATAAAAATCCAGGAGAGAATGAGAACCCTAGAGGTAATGCAAAATAGAACCTGGGTACACTGTAAAGTTAGCTCTGACAAGATTTGCTGATGGAGTGGATGTGGACTGTGAGAAAGAGGTCATGCCCTAGAGAGAAAGCCTACCACACCTGCTGCCAAGGTCCCCAGAGCTCCCCTGTTTCTGCCCCATCTGAAGATCTGGTTGTTAGGCTATCCCTCCAGAGTCCTTCCAATAAACCCCCTTTTGAGAGGTTACAAAACAACAGTTGGTTTCTGCCACTTGAAACCAAAAGGAACTTAACCGCTACAATTATTATCATTTTACAAAGAGAAACCTGAGTTGTAAAAAAGGCTCAGTACTTATCCCAGACCCACAGTTACTTGTAGTAGAGTTCAGATATGAACACCAGTCTGACTGGCTCCTAAGCCTGCACTTATTCCATTAAAGCACACTGCTTCCAAGGCCTTGAGTAGTCCTCTACCTGCCAACGGGTACAGAGAGCTTAAAACAAAAACAAGGGGGAGGGGCAGGGGAAAAAGGCCAGCAACAATCAGGCTTCAGTCCCAGCAACTTCCCTAGGGAGGGACGCGTGAGAAGCAGGAATCATCCTATTACGGACAACGCCCCTCCCTTCTCACCACCCCACCAGGTCCAGAGCCTCAGCTCCTCTGTTCAGCAAACACAGGAAAGCCCCAGCTCCACGAAGTTGAAAGCTCTGGCCACAGAAGAGGAGAGAAAATGGGGCCAAATTCGCAGATCACCTTTCCTTTTGTTTTATCATCTTTCTACACTGCTGCAAAATCATTTTCTCTCTCTTCTCAAAAATAGTGTTGTTATTGGCTTAGCACTCAGGATGTTCTCACAAGGACCCGTATTTTTGACACAAAAATAAAACATTCAATAAACATTCACATTAGTCCTTTTTTTTTTTTTAATAGACAGGGTCTCACTCTGTTACCCAGGCTGGAGTGCAGTGGTGCAATTATGGTTCACTGCACCCTCAACTTCCTAGGCTCAAACTATCCTCCCACCTCAGCCTCACAAGTAGCTGGGACTGGCACACATACCACCATGCCCAGGATTTTTTTTTTTTTTTTTTTTTTTGTAGAGACAGGGTGGCCGCTCTATGATGCCCAGGCTGGTCTCCAACTCCTAGTCCCAAGTGATCCTCCCACCTCAGCTTCCCAAGGTGCTGGTATTACAAGTGTGAGCCACTGCACCCAGCCCTAGTCCTTTCAGAAGAAAAGCTTACATTAGAAGCTGCAAACTTAAAACAACACTACATAGGTGCCTCAATTTTTTTCTATAGTCACTAAAGTTGTTTGCGGGGAAAAAAGGGATAACTTTTTGTTTTTCTTGTAATTTGAGTTAGTAAGCAAGAAAGTGATTGCTACTTAGTCCTTTTGAAAGCATTCAATTAAAAGGGTTATGTTGAGATTTCAAGCTATCAAAAAGATCAGTCATAAAATCTTAGAGCCAGATTAGAACCTAATCTATCCAACACTCTTTCCCCATTTTGTAGATGAGGAAGTAGAAGCCCAGAAAAGGAAATAATTTGTCAAGGTTAATAAATCATCTTGGTAACAAAATGAAGACTAAAATCCAGGCTGATTCTCATCCCTGCATGACACATCCTTGTCAGTATTCAGTTACCTTGTTCACTGAATATTAAAGGAGGTCTGTAAAATGTCTAGCAACAGCACGACATACCATATTCTCTCAAATCTAATTTCCTCTTCCTCTTTTTAATTTCAGTACCTGATAATAATGGGCACTGAAAAAGTCGGGAAGCCTCCCCGCAACTTTTAAAATCATAGAAATGAACTGAAATTAAGTCACAAAAGAGACCCAAAATTGACACAGGAACATATCAAGTGTGAATTATAAATACAGAGGAGCACTGGGCACAGTGGCTCACGCCTATAATCCCAGCACTTTGGGAGGCTGAGGTGGGCGGATCACCTGAGGTTGGGAGTTCGAGACCAGCCTAACCAACATGGAGTAACCCCATCTCTACTAAAAATACAAAATTAGCCGGGCGTGGTGATGCCTGCCTGTAATCCCAGATACTCGGGAGGCTAAGGCAGGAGAATTGCTTGAACCCGGGAGGCAGAGGTTGCGGTAAGCTGAGATTGCGCCATTGCACTCCAGCCTGGGCAACAAGAGCAAAATTCCACCTCAAAAAAATAAATAAATAAAATAAATAAATAAATAAAGAGGAGCTGACCACAAAATAGATCTATAATATGATTTGAAAACATAAGAGGGCTCCATAAATACCAACAAGACCCTGGAAAATGTAAGCTAAGTGACAATATTTGTTAAAAATAAATAAGTCCAAGGCATTTAGTTGAGATATAATTGAGCTATCATAAAATTAAGAACTAAATATGCTGCTTTTGAGTGAAAAAAATAAGCTAACAGGACAGAGTGCTAGGACAACAGGTAAAACCAAGACCTTCCCATGCACATCTGGATATATGGAAACCCAATACAAATCATGCCTATGAAAAACTACATTGTTTCATCCACAAGACAATCCCAAGAGATGAGGATCAAAAAGCCACTTTTTTTTTTTTGGAGACGGAGTTTTGCTCTTGTCGCCCAGGCTGGGGTGCAGTGGCACAGTCTCAGCTCACTGCAACCTCCGCCTCCTGGATTCAAGCAATTCTCCTACCTCAGCCTCCCAAGTAGCTGGGACTACAGGCACCCACCACCACGCTAGGCTAATTTTTGTATTTTTAGTAGACACGGGGTTTCGCCGTGTTGACCAGGCTGGTGTCCAACTCCTGAACTCAGGTGATCTGCCCTTCTTGGCCTCCCAAAGTGCTGGGATTAGAAGAAGCGTGAGCCACTGCACCCAGCCAAAACCACAAACTTTTATAAAATCAAGTCTAAAGAGAAAACACCAAAACCCCACAGAATACATTTCTTTGTTCATAAAAATTCACCCTAACTACCTATTTCACCGGTGGCTCACGCCTGTAATCCCAGCACTTTGGGAGTCCAAGGCAGGTGGATCACAAGGTCAGGAGTTCAAGACCAGCCTGGCCAACATGGTGAAACCCCATTTCTACTAAAAATACAAAAAATTAACCAGGTGTGGTGGCGCACGCCTGTAATCCCAGCTACTGGGGAGGCTGAGGCAAAAGAATCACTTGAACCTGGGAGGCAGAGGTTGCAGTGAGCTGAGATTGCACCATTGCACTCCAGTCTGAGAGACAGAGCAAGACTCCATCTCGAGAAAAAAAAAAAGTATTTCCTAATCCTTCCTGCATTGAACAGGAACAAGGAAAAGAACCATTTATGACATGCAAATGAATGAGGTAGGTCATATCATCCCCACGTTACAGATGGAGAAGCAGACTCAAGAGATGCTTGACACCTTGCTGGGGATCAGAATCTAAACCCAGGGATGACCCCAAAAGCCTACTATATCACATTGCCCATAAGGATCCCTAAGTCTCTTAGAACAGGGACAATTTGGCCGGGCACAGTGGCTCACAGCTGTAATCCCAGCACTTTGGGAGGCTGAGGCAGGCAGATCATGAGGTCAGGAGATCGAGACCATCCTGGGTAACACGGTGAAACCCTGTCTCTACTAAAAATACAAAAAATTAGCTGGGCGTGGTGGCGGGTGCCTGTAGGTCCCAGCTACTTGGGAGGCTGAGGCAGGAGAATCGCTTGAACCCAGGAGGCGGAGGTTGCAGTGAGCTGAGATCGCGCCACTGCACTTCAGCCTGGGTGACACAGTGAGACTCTGTCTCAAAAAAAAGAAAAAAAAAAAACAACAGGGACAATTTGGCAGGCCACTGCTCTCCCTCCATCAAGGTGAGCTGGACAGTGTTATTCTCAAAGGAGAAGGGGAGGGATGGAGAAGGGAGAACAGTGTTCACATACGACTTGCACACTGGACCTAGCTTTGGTCTACATTTTGCTTCCTTCACACAAGGCCAGCCAAAACTCATGGGCTCTGGACCCTACCTTGTCACCAAGATCTTATACCTGGGGAATCAAATGACCTTGGAAATTCTAAACCCCAGAACCAAATTTCAACCATCAAAATTATTCAGTCTAGCAGTCTTCCTCCTCCTTGACTGCCACCTCCAACAATAACAGTAATAGCACCCACTTATTGACATTTACTATATGCTGGACTTTGTGCTGATCACTTTCCATGTATAACAACTTTCAAGCCTGCCAGAAATCCTGTTTTTTAAAGTATCTTTCTTATTTTTACAAATTAATATACATACACTTTAAAAAAAAAAGTCAACCAATAGAGGAAATAAAAAATAGCCCCCTAATGACCCACACTTTAAACAGCAGGTACATACATATCCTTTCAAACCCTTTCTACACCACAAAACACTTTCCTTCCTTTTTCACAATGAGGCCACATGAAGTAGAATGTTAGTTTTCCAGCTAACAATATGTTTTGTCAGCTGAAAAACATTCTACCTCATCCTTTTTTTTTTTTTTTTTTTTTTTTTGAGATGCAGTCTTGCTCTGTCGCCAGACTGGAGTGCAGTGGCGCGATCTCGGCTCATTGCGACCTCCACCTCCCAGGTTCAAGCAATTCTCCTGCCTCAGCCTCCCGAGTAGCTGGGACTACAGGTGCGTGCAACCACGCCCAGCTAATTTCTGTATTTTTAGTAGAGACGGGATTTCACCGTGTTAGCCAGGATGGTCTCAATCTCCTGACCTTGTGATCTGCCCGCCTCGGCCTCCCAAAGTGCTGGGATTACAGGTGTGAGCCACAGCATCCAGCCCTCATTCTCTTTTTTAAGGCTATTTCTCTATATGATCACATCATAATTTATTTAGAGACAGGCATTATTAGGCAGGGTGCTGTGGCTCACACCTGTAATCCCAGCACTTTGGGAGGCTGAGGTGGGCGGATCACGAGGTCAGGAGTTCGAGACTAGCCTGGCCAATATGGTGAAATCCCATCTCTACTAAAAAAGTACAAAAATTAGCTGGACGTGGTGGCGCACACCTGTAGTCCCAGCTACTCTGGAGGCTGAGGCACGAGAATCGGTTGAACTGGGAGGTAGAGGTTGCAGTGAGCTGAGATCACGCCACTGCACTCCAGCATGGGCGACAGAGCGAGACTCCGCCTCAAAAAAAAAAAAAAGGAGACAGCAAATGAGTGTCTTTAAGTCCACAGTGCCTATGATCATGTGGGTATATAATAAAAGGGTAATAAATATTTGTTGTATGTCACTTTCTTTGTACTACATTTATCTTCCCTACTGGGCCATCACATCTTTCACAATGCCCTGGCATTTAGTCAGAGCACAAATATATTTGTTGAAAGTACAGGCATATCTTGTTTTATTGTGCTTTGCTTTATTGAGTTCTGCAGATATTGCATTTTTTTTAACAAATTGACGGGCTGTGGCAACCCTGTGTCAAGCACGTCTACTGGTGCCATTTTCCAACAGCATGTGCTCACCCATGTGTCACAATTCTCTCAATATTTCAAACTTTTTCATTATTATTATATTTCCTATGGTGATCTGTGATCAGTGGTCTTTAACGTTACTATTGTAATTGCTTTGGGGCACCACAAATAGCACCCACGTAGAACAGCAAACTTAACTGGTAAGTGTTGTGTGTGTTCTGACTGCTCCACCAACTGGCCATTCCCCCATTTCTCTCCCTTTCTCGAGCCTCCCTATTCCCTGAGACACATTATTGAAATCAGGCCAATTAATAACCCTACAGTGGCCTCTAAGTGCTCAAGTGAAAGGAAAGTGACCATGTCTGTCACTTTAAATCAAAAGCTAGAAATGATTAACCTTAAGAGGAAGGAATGTCAAAAGCTGAGATAGGCTGAAAGCTATGTCTCTTGCCAAGTTGTGAATGCAAAGGAAAACTTCCTAAAATAAATTAAAAGTGCTACCCAGTGAACACACAAATGATAAAAGCCTGAAACAGCCTTAGTATTGATATGGAGAAAGTTTTAGTAGTCTGGATCAATAAAATGAGCTATAACATTCCCTTATGCCAAAGCCTAATCCAGAGCAAGGGCCTCTCTTCAATTCTATGAAGGCTGAGAAAGGTGAGGAAGCTGCAAAAGAAAGTTGGAAGCTAGCAGAGGTTGGTTCATGAGCTTCAAGGAAAGAAGTCATCTCTGTATCATAAAAGTGCAAGGTGAAACAACAAGTAATGACAGAAAAGCTGCAGCAAGTTATCCAGAAGATCCAGCTACAATCACTGACGAAGGTGACTACACTAAACAACACTGTAGACAGTGATTTTTTCTTTTCTTTTTTTTTTTTTTTTGAGAGAGAGTCTCGCTCTATCGCCAAGGCTGGAGTACAGTGGCGCAATCTTGGCTCACTACAACCTCCACCTCCCGGGTTCAAGTGATTCTCATGCCTCAGCCTCCAGAGTAGCTGAAATTACAGGTGCCCACCACCAGGCCTGGTTAATTTTTGTATTTTTATTTTTACTATTATTTTTAATTTTTGTATTTTTAGTAGAGACAGGTTTCACCATGTTGGTCAGGCTTGTCTCAAACTCCTGACCTCAGGTGATCCACCTGCCTTGGCCTCCCAAAGTGTTGGGATTACAGCTGCGAGCCACCACACTCGGCCAAACATAACCTATATGCACTGAGAAACCAAAAAATTTGTGTGACTCACTTTATTGCGATTATTTGCTTTATTAAAGTAGTCTGGAACCAAACTCGCAATATCTTCAAAGTAAGCCTTTATAGATTTAACACCCAGGATATAACTACTTCCCGCTCAGCCCAGGCCACTTGACCTTTCTGGATCTCAGGATGCATACACAATTCAAACTTGAAACCCACCTGCTTCACCAGGAGCTTCCCTAACAGGGCTTTCACATAAAGAGGTCTACTCAGGTATTACCATGAGAAGTCAGCATTACAAAGGATCTTAGCAGTTATTAGTCTGGATTTCTCCTCGCTTTATAGTAAGAGAGTTCATAAATTATGGTTTTATGACAAACTAATAAAGCTTCAAATCACAAGAAATACATTGAAAATTTCAAAACAAAAGTACAAAGCAGTTAAGTTTAGATTATGGTAGGTATAGGCCATGCACAGTGGGGAAGACAGGAGGTTGAGACCAGCCTGGGCAACACAGCTAGACCCTGTCTCTACCAAAAAAAAAAAAAAAAAGCCAGGTGCAGTGGCTCATGCCTGTAATCCCAGCACTTTGGGAGGCCAAGGCGGGCAGATCACAAGGTCAGGAGATAGAGACCATCCTGGCTAACAAGGTGAAACCCTGTCTCTACTAAAAATACAAAAAAAAAATTAGCTGGGCGTGGTGGCAGGCGCCTGTAGTCCCAGCTACTGGGGAGGCTGAGGCAAGAGAATGGCATGAACCCGGGAGGCAGAGCTTGCAGTGAGCGGAGATCATGCCACTGCACTCCAGCCTGGGTGACAGAGCGAAACTCCATCTCAAAAAAAAAAAGGCAAAAAAAAGTAGATTAAGGCTGGGCACGGTGGCACACGCCAGTAATCCCAGCACTTTGGGAGGCCGAGGCGGGTGGATCATGAGGTCAGGAGATCGAGACCATCCTGGTTAACACGGTGAAACCCCATCTCTATTAAAAATACAAAAAATTAGCCAGGTGTGGTGGCAGGTGTGGTGGCACGCACCTGTAGTCCCAGCTACTCAGGAGGCTGAGGCAGGAGAATGGTGTGAACCCGGCAGGTGGAGCTTGCAGTGAGCAGAGATCGCGCCACTGCACTCCAACCCAAGCGACAGAGCGAGACTCCAAAAAAAAGACTGTACTAGATACTTTTTGGGGTGGAGAGTGGAATGTGAAAGCAATGAGATTTTGCAAAAATCTAGATGTGTAGTACAGCCTCCAAAAACATTGAGAAACCCATTTCTTATCTCATGGTAGTGTAAAATTTTGGTTTCAGTAATTCCTAGCACCAGACTTCTCCTCTGAATATTAGCCAATACATCACAAACTGCTAGAAAGTTATAGTATGATATAGTATATATCACACTATAGATCTATAGTGTGATATCTGGTGTATGATATATGGTATATATAATACTATAGATATATAGTATTATAAAGTATATATAATACTATAGATATATAAATATAGATATGATATACTATATCATTAACCATAAAGCTTCAGCTTAAGAGACTTCGATAACAATTGGTTGTCACCTAACAAAAAAAGCTAACAAAACACTGAGGTTCATTTTTCCATTACATTTAATCATGGAACTTAGCTACTGTGACTTTATTACCAAAAGTATAAGCAGCTACTATTGCTATTATAAAAACAGCATTTTCCTCTCCTAGTTATCCCACAGAAGCCTTAGTATCTAACTACCAGCAACTCTCAAAAAGGACAAGAAACCAATTGGACCATAAGGTATTCTCTATTAAGAGTGATTTTTAAGAGTTTGTTCAATTCCAGAGGCAAATAACCAACCACACAAAGAGACTAAAATTGGGCTCTAATGTTTTTGTTTTATGGCAAGACATGGCAGTATAAAAAGCACGGCCGGGTGCAGTGGTTCATGCCTGTAATCCCAGCACTGTAGGAGGCCGAGGTGGGTGGATCACCCAAGGTCAGGAGTTCGAGACCAGCCTGGCCAAAATGGTGAAACCCCAACTCTACTAAAAATACAAAAAAATTAGCCAGACATGGTGGCGGGCACCTGTAATCCGAGCTACTTGAGAGGCAGAGGCAGGAGAATCACTTGAACCTGGGAGGCAGAGACTGCAGTGAGCCGAGATCACACCACTGCTCTCCAGCCTGGGCAACAAGAGCGAAACTCTGTCTCCAAAAAAAAAAAAAAAAAAGTGCAAGAAGCCAAAACCCATAGTGTAAGGCAGTGTTACCTTTTATGTAACATAAATTGGTTACATTTACAGGATCACTCATTCATTCATTTAGGAAAATTTTACTCAGCCCAGCTTGGCCCTGGGCCAGGCTCTGAGCTAACTTCTGCCCTCACTAAACTTGGAGCAGACACAGAGAAAGGACAGCAGAAAACTATGGTACAGAACTGCAGAATGCCACGAGATCCCACAGAAGGGCTGCCTGCTCCAACAGGAAAGACTTCCCAAAGGACGCCACGGAAGGTTAAGACAGAAAGGAGTAAGCCACAGATGGAATGAGAGGGTGGGCAGATTATGTCCCAAGAAGACAGGACAGACTGGAAACAGCAGGGCCGGACTGCTAATCAACGGCAGATGAAAGCAGGACTGAAGAATCCCCCATTAGGAGCTGCTTTCTTCTGTGCCAAAAACTTGACATTCAAAGAACCATACGAAGATTTGGTTGTTTCCAGCCATGCGTCTTCATTCTATAAGGTGATAAAGGTCCTCCTCTTACCTGTCTTCCAAGTACTAAATAGTAATCTTTTTATATTTTTATTTTACTTTTGCTACTCTTTTCTACTCTATTAACAAAGAAGTGGAGACTCTCAAAATAATCCAGTGTGTTAAATATACTGACTGCAAAAAAAGATAAAACCATGAAGTCTCCCCAGACATAGTAGGATTCTAAAGTGTTTCAGAGAGAAAGAGTGGCTTAATTGTAACAGTATTAATTAAATGCTGATAAAAACCATCCTCTCAAAATTTTTCTAATTTTAATTATAAATCTAAATCCTTTATTTAATCACACTACTGCTGTGCTTGTTAATGTTGCAGCGAACAAGGAAACTAGTTACCTAAAGACATCAATTAGAAAGCATCCTCACAAAATGACACTTCAACATTTTTTTCTTCACCTGTGAAAACTTGCTAAATGCCTATGTGAAATTAAGCAATCTCTAAAGCAAGAATGTCTTTGAACTATAGTGAATCAAAATAATTTAATGTTTTTAAAAAAAATTTTTTTTTAATACAGACAAGGTCTTTCTATGTTGTTGCCCAGGCTGGTCTCAGACTGCTGCTGGCCTCAAGCAACCCTCCTGCCTTGGCCTCCCAAAATGATGGGATTACAAGAGTGAGCCACCCATATCCAGCCTGACATTTTAAAGATAATAAATATTTTGAGGATAAAAACACACATCTATAGTGTATAGTTACTATACACAAGGGTCTCACTATGCCACCTAGGCTGGAGTTCAATGATACCATCACAGCTCAATGCAGCCTCAAACTCCTGGGCTCAGGCATTTCTGCCACCTCAGCCTCTAAAGTAGCTGGGGACTACAGGTGAGCACCACCACACCTGGCTAAATATTTTACTATTTTTTTTTTAAACGCAGTCTCCCTCTGTCACCAGGCTGGAGTGCAGTGGCACGATCTCAGCTCACTGCAACCTCCACCTCCCGGGTTCAAGCGATTCTCCCGAGTCAGCCTCCCAAGTAGCTGGGACTACAGATGCACGCCACCATGCCCAGCTAATTTTTGTATTTTTAGTAGAGACAGGGTTTCACCGTGTTGGCCAGGATGGTCTCCATCTCCTGATGTCATGATCCACCCACCTTGGCCTCCCAAAGTGCTGGGATTACAGGCATGAGCCACCACGCCTGGCCTGTATTTTTATTTTTATTTTATTTATTTATTTATTTGAAATGAAATCTCACTCTTGTCACCCAGGCTGGAGCGCTGTGGTGCAATCTCAGCTCACTGCAACCTCTGCCTCCCGAGTTCAACTGATTCTCTTGCCTTAGCCTCCCGAGTAGCTGGGATTACAGGCACACACCACCATGCCCGGCTAATTTTTATATTTTTAGTACAGATGAGGTTTCACCAAGTTGGCCAGGCTGGCCTCAAACTCCTGACCTCAGGTGACCTCCCCACCTCAGCCTCCCAAAGTGCTAGGATTACAGGAGTGAGCCACCTTGCCCAGCCTCTTTTAGGTTCTTTTTATGTAACAACTCATTTAAAACTCGTAAAACCTAATGAGGTAGGTACTACTATGCCCTCCATTTTATAGATGAGGAAACTGAGACGCAGAGAAATTAAGTAACTCACCCAAGATTACAGGGCTAGGAAAAGACAGTGTTGAGATTCAAACCCAGATAGTCTGTTCCAAAATCTGTACTCTTTACTGCCTCCCAGTAGTTTTCCAAACATACAAACCAAGTATTCATAACTGAAAACTACTATAATAAAACCCCAGCCATCTATAATCCTTAAGGAATTAATTCTTATGAATGGCAGCATTCTCTGAATGGCTGGGGATTTAACCCTTCCATCTCAGGCAAAATCTGAAATTGTGTTGTGCATATGATGGCCACTGGCACACATGGCTATTGAGAACCTAGGGTATGGTTAAGCCAAATGAGTTGTGTCATATACGTAAAATATGTTCTAAAATTTGAGAGACTTAGTATTAAAAAAAAGAATGTAAACTACCCCACTAATGATGTTTTAATATTAACTACATACTCAAGTAATTTTTTTTTTTTTTTTTTGAGACGAAGTCTCACTCTGTCGCCCAGGCTGGAGTGCAACGGCACGATCTTGGCTCACTGCAACCTCCGCCTCCCGAGTTCAAGTGATTCTTCTGCCTCGGCCTGCCAAGTAGCTGGGACTACAGGCGTGTGCCACCACGCCCAGCTGATGTTTTGTATTTTTGGTAGAGATGGGGTTTCACCACATTAGTCAGGATGGTCTCGATCCCCTGACCTCATGATCTGCCCACCTCGACCTCCCAAAATGCTGGGATTACAGGCATGAGCCACTACGCCCGGCCTCAAGTAATATTTTTTATATAATGAGTTAAATAAAATATATTAAAATTAATTTCAACTTCATTCTTTTACTTTTTTTTTTTTTTTTAGGCAGAGTCTCACTCTGTCACCCAGGCTGGAGTGCAGTGGTGCGATCTCAGCTCACTGCAATCTCTGCCTCCCAGGTTCAAGTGATTCTCGTATCTCAGCCTCCCCAGTAGCTGGCATTACAGGGCGCCTGTCACCACACCCGGCTAATTTTTGTATTTTTAGTACCGAGAGGGTTTCCCCATGTTGGCCAGGCTAGTCTCTAACTCCTGACCTCAAGTGATCCACCCGCCTCAGCCTCCCAAAGTGCTGGGATTATAGGCGTGAGCCACCATGCTCGGCCTCTTTTGCCTTTTTAAAGAGGCTCCTAGAAAATTTTAAATTGTGGCCGGGCGCAGTGGCTCACGCCTATAATCCCAGCACTTTGGGAGGCCAAGGTGGGTGGATCACTTGAGGACAGGAGTTCAAGACCAACCTGGCCAACATGGTGAAACCCCGTCTCTACTAAAAGTACAAAAATTAGCCAGGCATGGTGACACATGGCTGTAGTCCCAGCTATTTGGGAGGCTGAGGCAGGAGAATCACTTGAACCTGGGAGGCGGAGGTTGCAGTGAGCCGAGACCATGCCACTGTACTCCAGCCTGGGTGACAGAGCAAGAATCCATCACAAAAAAAAACAACACCAAAAATTAGCCAGGGATGGTGGTGTGCACCTGTAGTCCCAGCTACTCAGGAGGCTGAGGCAGGAGGATTGTTTGAGTCCAGGAGTTTAAGTCCAGGACTTTACAGTAAGTCTGTCACTGCATTCCAGCCTGGGCAGCAAAGCAAGACCCTATCTCTTAAAAAAAAAAAAAAAGTTATGTTTCTATTGCACACAGCTCATCTAAAATGTATCCAGTTGCTGTCTACATCATTGATATTATTTACTGTTTTCTTGATGACTCAGTCATCATGAGGAACTTTAACTACTACCCTATGTGTAATCTGTCATCTGTAATTGTGACAATTGTTGGGATGACTAAGGTCAGGCTGCCCACCTTCAGACCTCAACCTCAGGTTGTGCTTGAAGCTATACCTCTGTATGATTTCCAGTCTGAGACCACACTCTCCAGCCAGTCTGTCTGCCAACGACTACCCCTCTAGTAATCTCAGATGCAGCTTCTAATGACTTAGAAGCCTGGTAAATTAGAACTGTGTAACATGTAAGAATAAAGGTTATGTGAAGGATTGAAGAAGTCTACAAACTGAATTCAGTTTCAACGCCAAGTTCCTTGACAACTATTTTGATCACTCAGAGACCCTTCTCTGCCTTGACTATTGTAAGGGACTACTCTCTTCAACTCCAGACACTTAAAGGTATCAATTTTAACTTAAATTGCAGCACTTTACATCTCAGCTTAAGATCCATCAGCTGGGCATGGTGGCCCATGCCTATAATCCCAGCATCCCAGCACTTTGGGAGGCCAAGGGGGGGCGGGGTGCAGGGGGAAGAATCACCAGAGGTCAGAGTTCGAGACCAGCCTGGCCAACATGGCGAAACTTCGTCTCTACTAAAAATACAAAAATTAGCTGGGTGTGGTGATGGGCGCCTGTAATCCCAGCTACTTGGGAGGATGGGGCACGAGAATCACTTGAACCTGGGAGGCAGCGGCTGCAGTGAGCCGAGATCGTGCCACTGCACTCCAGCCTAGGTGACAGAGCGAGATTATGTCTCCAAAAAGAAAAAAAAAAAAGATCCATCAATAGTAGTTTCAGTTTGAGAAGATGCAGATAAAAACGTTCTGGAGGTAGATGGTGATAATGGTTGCTAAACAATGTGAATGTACTTAATGCCACAGAACTGTACACTTAAAAATGGCTAAAATGGTAACTCATATTTTAACATTAAAATAATCCTTCAATATTTTCATATCTTTCTCAGGAACAGGTTCAAATTCTTATGTAGGTAATACACTTCCCTCACATCTGGCTTCTACCACTTTTCCAGCCTCATCCCCTTCCTCTTACCTCCTTTGGCCTCATATCCTAGGCAACTTCCCTCAACATACCATGCTGATTCAGACCTCAACATTCTGCATGTCAATCTTTCTACCTGGCCAGGCGTGGTGGCTCATGCCTGTAATCCTAGCACTTTGGGAGGCCGAGGCGAGTGGATCACCTGAGGTCAGGAGTTTAAGACCAGCCTGGCCAACATGGTGAAACGCTGTTTCTACTAAAATACAAAAATTAGCTGGGTGTTGTTGTGCACACCTGTAATGCCAGCTCCTGGGGAAGCTGAGGCATGAGAATCACTTGAACCTGGGAGGCGGAGGTTACAGTGAGACAAGATCGCACTACTGCACTCCAGCCTGGGTGACAGAGCGAGACTCCATCTCAAAAAAATAAAAAATAAAATAAAATCCTTCTACCTAAAAGTCCTTCCCTATCACCTTCACTCCCTCTTCCTCAATCTTCCAAACCCCACTCAAATGTTGCCTCCTCTGTGAAACTTCCCAACATCCTGAGGTTGAGAAGACCTCTCTGCCACCGTACTCTGCTGCACCTTGTATCCTGACTTTTATCTTTTGGAATGGCATGTTTTAGTTACATGATTGTTCTCGACAATGTGAGCTCACCGAAAGCAATGGCTGACCCAGCATGTAAATGATGAATCCTAAAGGCATGCTGAGTTCCTTCAGTAAGCAAGTACATGTTAAATGCCTACCAGAGACCAACAATGTCCTAAGTGCCAAGGATACTGCAGTGGGAAAAGAAAACAAAACTCTGCTTTCATGGTGCTTCCACAAATAAACACCAGGCTGATATAAGTACTACAAAGAGGAACTGGCTGGGCGTGGTGGCTCACACCTGTAATCCCAGCACTTTGGGAGGCCAAGGCGTGTGGATCACTTGAGGCCAGACGTTCAAGACCAGCCTGACCAACATGGCGAAACCCCGTCTTTACTAAAAATACAAAAAACTAGCTGGGCATGGTGGCACACGCCTGTGGTCCCAGCTGCTTGGGAGGCTGAGGCACGAGAATCACTTGAAACCAGGAGGCAGAGGTTGCAGTGAGCCAAGATCATGCCAGTGCACTCTAGCCTCGGTGACAGAGTGAGACTCTGTCTCAAAAACTAGTAAGTACTACAAAGAGGAATAAAGCACAAGAAGGGGAGAGGCATTTCATACAAGATGGAAGATGCCATCGAGGTAGAGACCCCAAGAAGGGCTTTTCAGCTGACTGACAGGACACTGCATGAAGTGAACCTTATTCTGGTTCTGAGTCAGGTCTGGAAAACAGAAAGCACTGCACAGGGAAGGTAAATTTTAATGTCTTTTTTTTTTTTTTTTTTTTTTTTTTGAGACCGAGTTTCGCTCTTGTTGCCCAGGCTGGAGGGCAATGGAGCAATCTCGACTCACCACAACCTCCGCCCTCCGGGTGCAAGTGATTCTCCTCCCTCAGCCTCCTGAGTAACTGGGATTACAGGTACCCACCACCATGCCTGGCTATTTTTTTTGTATTCTTAGTGGAGATGAGGTTTCACCATGTTGGTCAGGCTGATCTTGAACTCCTGACCTCAGGTAAGCCACCCACCTCGGACTCCCAAAATGCTGGGATTACAGGCGTGAGCCACCGCACTGGCTAAACTTTGATTTCTAAGAAAAGCAAACTATTCTCTCTCTGTCCATATTAACTTAATAGATTTTGCAATTAACCACCTAGCTACTCTCAGCATGAAGGGCACAAGCATTCTGCTTCAGAGTAATAGGGTAATTGTGATCCTTTTCTGACTGAATCTTGTTTGCTAAGAAGAAGCCTCATGGTTGCTGGAGAAAACTTAAAGTACTCAGTAAACATTTGCTCTTTTTTTTCTTTTAGACAGGATCTGTCTGTACTCTGTACAGCCTGTACTCTGCCAGGCTGGAGTACAATGGCATGAAGACGGCTCACTGCAACCTCCACCTCCCAGGCTCAAGCGATCCTCCTACCTTGGCCTCCTGAGTAGCTGGGACCACTGGTGTCAGCCACCATGTCCAGCTAATTTTTGTATTATTTTGGTAGAGATGGAGTTTTGCCATGATGGCCAAGCTGGTGTTAAACTCCTGGGCTCAAGCAATCCTCCCACCTCTGCCTCCCAAAGTGCTGGGATTACAGGCATGAGCCACTGCGCCCAGCACTTTTTTTTTTTTTTTTTTTTAAAGAGACCAGGTCTTGCTCTGTTGCCCAGACTGAAGTACAGTGGTGTGATCATACCTCACTGCAGCCTCAACTTCTGGGTTCAAGCGATCCTAGTGCCTTAGCCTCCTGAGTTGCTGGGTCTACAAAGGCATGCCACTATGTCCTGCTAATTTTTATTTTTATTTATTTATTTTTTTTTTGAGACGGAGTCTCGCTTTGCCGCCCAGGCTGGAGTGCAGTGGCACGATCTCGGCTCACTGCAAGCTCCGCCTCCTGGGTTCATGCCATTCTCCTGCCTCAGCCTCCCAAGTAGCTGGGATTACAGGCGCCCGCCACCATGCCCAGCTAATTTTTTGTATTTTTTAGTAGAGACGGGGTTTCACTGTGTTAGCCAGGATGGTCTCGATCTCATGACCTCGTGATCCGCCTGCCTCGGCCTCCCAAAGTGCGGGATTACAGGCGTGAGCCACTGTGCCTGGCCTTTAATTTTTTTTAATATAGACAGGGTCTCACTATGTTGCCCTGTCTAGTCTCAAACTCCTAGCCTCAAGCAATCCTTCCCCCTTGGCCTCCTGAAGTGCTGGGATTGCAGATGTAAGCCATGGCGCCTGGCCTACTGACTTTTTTTTTTTTTTTTAAGACACAGTCTCACTTTGTTGCCCAGGCTGGAGTGCAGAGGCACGATCTTAGCTCACTGCAATTTCCGCCTCCCAGGCTCAAGCAATTCTCCTGCCTCACCCTCCCAAATAGCTGAGATTACAGGCGCCCGCCACCACACCTGGCTGATTTTTATATTTTTAGTAGAGATGGGGTTTCACTATGTTGGCGAGGCTGGTCTCGAATTCCTGACCTCAGGTGATCCGCCTGCCTTGGCCTCCCAAAGTGCTGAGATTACAGGCGTGAACCACCATGCCCAGCCCCTAACTACTTATTACATATAGTAACAGACAATGCTCTAAGCACCTGACAATCCTAACAGTATCATGAAATATAGTGTTATTAAACCCATTTTTACAAATAGGAAAATAAGGCACAAAGGGGTTAAACAATTTGTCCAAAGTTGGCTGGACGCTGTGGCTCATGCCTGTAATCCCAGCACTTTGGGAGGGAGAGGCAGGCGGATCATGAGGTCAGGAGTTTGAGACCAGCCTAGCCAACATGGCGAAACCCCATCTCTACTAAAGATAAAAAAAATTAGCTGGGCGTGGTGGCACGCACCTGTAATCTCAGCTACTCGGGAGGCTGAGGCAGGAGAATCACTCAAACCTGGGAGGCGGAGGTTGCAGTGAGCCAAGATAGCGCCATCGCACTCCAGCCTGGGCAACAGAGCAAGAGTCTGTCTCAGAAAAGAAAAAAAAAAAAAAAAAATTGTCCAAAGTCACAGAGTTAGTAAGAGGCAAAGCCAGAATATACAGTCTCGGGTCTGGACTTGCTGATAACCACTATGCTCTACACTTTCACATCTGTATTTCCCATCACAAATACTAGCTCTATCACAAAAATCTCTGTTTATACTTTGGTAATTTGTGATGTTGACTATTATTTACTGATACTATTTTCAAGAATGTCATTGGATAGAAATACAAACATGCAACTGAGTAAAAAGCAGGACACAAGAAATCAACACAGACAGAAATTACACCTCTACAAAAAGTGTACATATAAACTCTGCCAGGTGCCTGGAGCACAAAGATGGACAAAGTGAGTCCAGTCCCTGCCCTGAGAACCTTGGTCCAGTGGGCTCAGGGTGACGCTCATCAGGCAAACCGGAAACACAGGGAGGACGTGTGTGGGTGCTGCAGATGCCCAGGCAGCAATCCAGAACCCACTATGCTAAAGCCACTGAACATAGGCAAAAAGTTTTATTTAACATATCTATTTTACCTTAAGATTTAAGGATAACATCTTTCTGGACATGGCAGGCATCTATCTCAAGCTCCACACAGCCAAAATAAAACTCCTTATTCTCACAACCCTTTAAACTTACTCCTTTCTCAAGCAGTATTTTCTATCTTAAAGGAAAGGCAAGCCTGGCTGCTGAAGCAATAAATCTGTTATCCTCAATTCCAGCTATCTCCCTCCCTCCCTCCTTCCTTCCTCTCTCTCTCTCACACACACTTACATGTGCATGCACGCAAGCACTCACTCCCTCACATGCACACATTCACACGCACACATACACACACTCTCCATCCGATCTATTTACTGCTTTTCAACTGGATCTTTCTCTTCTTCAGGTCCTCAAGTCAGGCCTACAACAATTTGTTTCCTAACTACTCTTCCTGTTTATTTTTAATCTCCCTTACTGCACCAACTATCTCTCTTCCAATAATTCTGGCTCTAGAATTATCTTTCTATCATACAAACCTGACTCTATCACTCCACTTTTTAAAAACATTTGGTGGTTTCTGGCTGGGCATGGCAGCTCACAACTGTAATCCCAGCACTTTGGGAGGCCAAGGCAGACAGATCACCTGAGGTCAGGAGTTCAAGACCAGCCTGGACAACATGGTGAAACCCCATCTCTAATAAAAATACAAAAATTAGCCAGGCATGGTGGCGCACACCTGTAGTCCCAGCTCCTCGGGAGGCTGAGGCAGAAGAATCGCTTGAACCTAGGAGGCGAAGGTTGCAGTGAGCCGAGATCACACCACTGCACTCCAGCCTGGGCGACAGAGTGAGACTCCATCTCAAAATAAACAAATAAATAAAGTAAATAACAACAATAAAAACATTTGGTGGTTTCTGATCATCTCTACAGGATCAAGTCTAACTCTGTTATGGCACACACACACACACACACACACACACAGACACACACAGCTCTTCACAATGGGGTCCAACAGGACCTTCCACATCATATCTTTCTTCATTCAACAAATATTTATTTAGCACCAACTATGTGTCAATCACTGGGCTAAACGGCAGTGGTATAATGGGAAACAAAAAGAGAGAGCTCCTGCTCTCATGAAGCTCACAGTCTAGGACAAGAAACAGAAATCAACCAGTCACACAAACAAATGTTTAAGATTACAACTAAGACAATTACTGCAAAGAACCTCCAAATAAAATAATCTGAAATTAGACAGTGGCAATAGTTGTCTCGTGCATATACTGAAAACCAATGAACTGTACACATTAAAAGGTGAATTTTATAGCACATGAATTATACCATATCCCCCTCCCCAGAAAAAGACACGGCAGGGTGAGCACCTCTGATGGTGGAGTTGGCTAAGGCAGAGACGGTGAAAACTTTCCAGAGGAAATAACAGAGCTTACAAATAACATATTTACTGAGCATTTACTACATGCCAGGCAACTTTCACCGTACTAATGCATCTGATCCTCCTACCAACAATGTAAAGTTACTATTATGCTCAACTCAGAGGTAAGTGAGGGGTCAAGTAACTTTAAGGTCAGAGAGCCCACAAATGGCAATGCCAGCATCCATATTTAAGCAGAATAAAGTGAGGGTCTGCACTCTTACCTGCTACAGTAAAGTCACCTAGGCAATGACTATTACTCAGAACTACTTACGATGCAATAAACACAGACCACTGTGTTTCATTTCTTTTTCTTTTTTTCTTTGAGACAGAGTCTTGCTTTGTCACCCAGGCTGGAGAGCAGTGGTGCAATCTCGGCTCACCGCAACCTCTGCTCACCGCAATCTCTGCCTCCCAGGTTCAAGCGATTCTCCTGCCTCAGCCTCCCAAGTAGCTGTGATTACAGGCACGTGCCACCACACCCAGCTAATTTTTTGTATTTTTAGTAGAGACGGGATTTCACCGTGTTAGCCAGGATGGTCTTGATCTCCTAACCTTGTGATCTGCCCACCTCAGCCTCCCAAAGTGCTGGGATTACAGGCGTGAGCCACAGCACCCAGCCCACTGTGTTTCATTTCTGATAAAAGAAATCTCTCGCCGGGCACAGTGGCTCACGCCTGTTAACCCCAGCACTTTGGGGGGTTGAGGCAGGCAGATCACCTGACGTTGGGAGTTTGAGACCAGCCTGACCAACATGGAGAAACCCCATCTCCACTAAAAATACAAAATTAGCCGGGCGTGGTGGTGCATGCCTGTAATCCCAGCTACTCGAGAGGCTGAGTCAGAAGAACCCCTTGAACCTGGGAGGTGGAGGTTGTGGTGACCCAAGATCATGCCACTGCACTCCAACCTGGGCAACAAGAGCAAAACTCTGCCTCAAAAAAAAAAAAAAAATCTTTCTATCTCCTTTGTCATTACAATAGCCTCTAAGGCCCTACAAGATCAATCCTACACTACTCTCTCCATCACCTGACTTCACCTCCTCCACTTTCCCCCTTACTCACTCTGCTCCAGCCACACAGGCCTACTTTTGTTTCTCCAGCATGCTGGGCATGCTCCTACCACATGGCGTTTGCATTTTCTTGAGCTATGATAATTACAATCACAACATGTGGCATAAATCATGATTCTGCTAAAACCTCAGTTAACATTTTCTCTAAACACATCAATAATGCCACTAACAAGATCTTGTACTGAACTGTACACTAATATTTCAAATGTCATAAATTTTAATAAAAACTACCTAAATTTTCCAGTTTTATATTGTTCTATATGATATCACCAAAGATTCTTATTTTACAAAATCCAGTAACAGCAGCTTTTGCTTACCAATTAGTCTGAACAACAGTCATATAGCTATCTCTGCAGTGAAATAAAGCAAAGCAATCAAGCCAAGAAAGTGTCACAATAGAATCTGATTACCACCATTCCTCTGTTTAGCCCTAGAACCACAGTTTGTGAAATAACTATGACAACAGCATTTCAAGGCACCAAAATCCCACCACACTTTTGCTGAGAAAGTATTCTCCATCTGTGCAAACACATACAAACGCATGTTGACAACCAGTTATATAACTTCAATACAATAACCCAGTGATATTTTAAGTTCTTATTTTGCTAAAAATCCTAAGAAACTGTTAATCCTAAAACCGTTCAGAGTAGGATGCTGAGAAAGGAATGAAGAAAATACATTTAACACATTTACATTTAAAACTGAGTTGTCCCTAAACTCCAGGTGGAAAAAACTACCTCTTTTTGGCAGGGCGCAGTGGCTCACGCCTGTAATTCCAGCACTTTGGGAGGCCGAGGTGGGCAGATCATTTGAGGTCAGGAGTTTGAGACCAGCTTGGCCAACATGGTGAAACCCTGTCTCTCCTAAAAATACAAAAATATTAGCTGGGTGTGGAAGCACATGCCTGTAAACCCAGCTGCTTTGGAGGATGAGGCAGGAAAATTGCTTGAACCTGGGAGGTGGAGGTTGCAGTAAGCCGAGATGGCACCCCTGCACCCCAGCCTGGGCAACAGAAGGAGACTTCCTCTCAAAAAAAAAAAGAAAGAAAGAAAAGAAAAGAACATTATTGTGTATTTTGAAACAGGAGAGCCACTGAAATGTTCCCAACACATGGAAATGGTAAGTGCTAGAAGCAATGGATATCCCAAATACCCTGACTTGATCATTACACATTCTATGCATGTAACAAAATATCACATATACCTCAGAAACATATATAAACATATTAATTAAAAATTTTTTTTGCCAGCAGCAGTGGCTCACGCCTGTAATCCCAACGCTTTGGGAAGCTGAGGCGGCATGTCACCTGAGGTCGGGAGTTCAAGACCCGCCTGACCAACATGGAGAAACCCTGTCTCTACTAAAAATACAAAATTAGCCAGGCATGGTGGTACATGCCTGTAATCCCAGCTACTCGGGAGGCTGAGGCAGGAGAATCACTTTAACCCAAGAGATGGAGGTTGCAGTGGGCTGAGAGGGTGCCACTGCAGTCCAGCCTGTACAACAAGAGCGAAACTCTGTCTCAAAAAAAAAAATTTTTTTTAGGCTGGGCGCGGTGGCTCAAGCCTGTAATCCCAGCACTCTGAGAGGCCGAGGCGGGCAGATCACTTGAAGTCAGGAGTTTGTGACCAGCCTGGCCAACGCGGTGAAACTCCATCTCTACTAAAAATACAAAAAAATTAGCCAGGCATGGTGGCGGGCGCCTGTAATCCCAGCTACTCAGGACGCTGAGGTGGGAGAATCGCTTGAGCCCTGTAGGCAGAGATGGCAGTGAGCCGAGATCACACCACTGCACTCCAGCCTGGGCAACAGGTCAACACTCCAACTCAAAAAGAAAAAAAAAGAAAAAAAAATTTTTTTAAATATTGTCCTGTCTTTGGTGTTTGTTTACTGAATTAGGCTGTAAAATCAAGCTTATCAAGTCACCTAATTCTTAATTAAAAAATAGTAGCAAACATTTACTGAGCTCTTACTATCTGCTCTGTCATAAAAGATGCTTCGGAAATGAAAGAGTTTACTAGAAGCCTGCCAAAACAAGTGTCAAGTTGCCTCAACCTTTGATGAAGCGAATATGAATATTAGAGAACTTCATGCAAGTATCTGCTATAAATCAGCTACTGGACCAACCATAAATGCCTGAAAATTACCACATCCACCTCATTTTACAGATGAGAAACTGAGGCCCGAAGAGACTAAGTCCAAAGGTCCTCACTAACAAGTAGGAGCAAGAACCCTATTTCCAGTTCAGGGTTTTGTTGTCAATTACGTGTTATTTGTTTATTTAAAAAAGAGAAAAACCTATTCTAGTATCTCAAAATGCTTCTACATAGTTGGGAAGAAAATGAATACCTAGAATAAGTAAATATTTAATGAAAGCTAAATACTGAAAACAAATTAATGTCATCCCTACCCTGCAGTAAACATGCTGAAAGGGCTCCTAGGACAGAAATAAGTAGAATCATAGCCACACTTCACAGCATCTAGTAGAAGTTAGGTGCCCCATTGCTAACATCACCAAACACCACCACCAGAGTGCCTTCTTTTTTTTTTTTTTTTTTTGAGATGGAGTCTTGCATTGTCACCCAGGCTGGAGTGCAGTGGCACTGTCTCGGCTCACTGCAACCTCCGCCTCCCAGGTTCAAGCGTTTCTTCTGCCTCAGTCTCCTGAGTAGCTGGGACTACAGGCACCCTCCATCACACCTGGCTAATTTTTGTATTTTTAGTAGAGATGGGGTTTTACCATGTTGAGCAGGCTGGTCTTGAACTCCTGACCTCAGGTGATCTGCCCATCTCAGCTTCCCAAAGTGCTGGGATTACAGGCGTGAGCCACCATACCAAGCCCAGAGTACCTTCTTTATGAAGAGAAAACACTTCAGAGCTACAGAACAGTTCTTGACTCGTCGATACTCTTTTGGAAAAGAAAAAGTATGCTGGCCGGGCTCGGTGGCTCACACCTGTAATCCCACCACTTTGGGAGGCTGAGGCAGGTGGATCACCTGAGGTCAGGAGTTCAAGACCAGCCTGGCCAAACATGGGGAAATTCCACCTCTACTAAACATGCTAAAATTAGCCAGGCATGGTGGCATGCCCCTGTAATCCCAGCTCCTTGGGAGGCTATGGTGGGAGAATTGCTTGAACCCGGGAGGCGGAGGTTGCAGTGAGCCAAGATCGCGCCACTGCACTCCAGCCTGGGCAACAGAGTGAGATCTTGTCTGAAAACAAACAAAAAAAGTATCTTAAGCAACATTCCCCACATATATCTCATCTATGCACGAAAAGTTTTACTAGCTACAAAACGTCCACACTCTTTCAAAAAGAAACGATGCTGAGCTAGGTGCGGTGGCTCACGCCTGTAATCCCAGCACTTTGGGAAGTTGAGGTGGGCAGATAACTGGAGGCCAGGAGTTCGAGACCAGCCTGGCCAACATGGTGAAACCCTGTCTCTACCAAAAATTTGAAAAAATTAGCCAGGCATGGTGGTGTGCACATGTAGTCCCAGCTACTGTGGAGGCTGGGGCACGAGAATCACTTGAATCCAGGAGGCAGAGGTTGCAGTGAGCTGAGATCCTGCCACTGCACTCTAGCCTGGGTGACAGAGCGAGACTCTGTCTCAAAAAAAAAAATAAATCATGCTGAATCAAGGCAGTTTTCATCCTTTCTATAATCTAAATTGGGCTTTCCATTTTTACTAAAATTCTTACTTCTATCAAACTTGTAAATGCTTTCAGGGCCAGATCTTAGGGACTAAACAAAAAGTATTATTTAAATGGTACCATTTTTTCCTGGGAAAACATTTTTAAAATGTCATCCATTGATAAAAAGGTGAGTGACTACCAATAACAACAACAAAAAAATACTATTTTCATAAGGGAAAATTCCAAAATATAATTTAGTTTAGAAGTGGAAAGGACGGCAGAGCGCAGTGGCATACGCCTGTTATCCCAGCACGTTGGGAGGCTGAGGCAGGCAGATCACAAGGTCAAGAGATCAAGACAATCCTGGCCAACGTGGTGAAACCCCATCTCTACTAAAAATACAAAAATTAGCTGGGCGTGGCGGCGCACGCCTGTAGTCTGAGCTACTTGGTAGGCTGAGGCAGAAGAATCACTTGAACCCAGGAGGCAGAGGTTGCAGTGAGCCGAGGTCATGCCACTGCACTCCAGCGTGGCGACAGAGCAAGACTCCGTCTCAAAAAAAAAAAAAAAGTGGAAAGGCCAGGTGCAGGGGCAGAGGGGTGGCTCACACCTGTAATCCCAGCACTTTGGGAGGCTGGGGCGGGCAGATCACTCAAGCTCAGAAATTCGAGACCAGCTTGAGCAACAAGGTGAAACCCCGTCTCTACTAAAAATACAAAAATTAGCCGTTTGCCGTGGCGTGTGTCTGTGGTCCCAGCTACTCGGGAGGCTGTGGCATGAGAATCACTTGAGCCTAGGAGGCGGAGGTCGCCGTAAGCTGAGATCGTATCATTGCACTCCAGCCTTGGCAACAGGAGTGAAACCCTGTCTCGAAAAATAAAAAAAAAAAGAAGGTGGAAAGTCACAGCACTTTGTACGACAGCAAATAGAAGACTTCTACAGAGATTTGATTGTGTCAGATGAGAATTTGGCCACTCACTCTCATTTATTCTCAACAGCTGAGAGACTGGGCACTGTAGTACACCATGTGATTAATTAAAAGTTACCACATGGCCGGGCGCAGTGGCTCATGCCTGTAATCCCAGCACTTTAGGAGGCCAAGGTGGGCAGATCACCTGAGGTCATGAGTTCAAGGTCAGCCTGCCCAACATAGTGAAACCCTGTTTCTACAAAAATACAAAAATTAGCCAGGCAGGATGGAGGGTGCCTGTAATCCCAGCTACTCAGGAGGCTGGGGCAGGAGAATCTCTCGAACCTGGGAGGTGGAGGTTGCGGTGAGTCAAGATCATGTTGCACTCCAGCCTGGGCAACAGAGTGAGACTCTGTCACAAAAAAAGAAAAAAAGAAAAAAGTTACCACGACATTATATACTAATTGCCAATTTTCAAATAAAATAAAATATACTCTAAGCCTATGTTGTCCAATATGGTAGTCACTAAGCACATGTAGCTACTGAGCACTGGAAATGTGCTAGTCTGAGCTGAGGTGTGTGCTGTAAAATGCAAACTGTCACCGGATTCACACCAGATTTCAGACACTTAGTACCAGAAAAAATGTATAATATCTCATTAGTGGTTTTTTCATATTGAATACGTGTTAAAATAATATTTTGGATATGCTAAGTTAATAAAAGGATACTACTAAAATTAGTACTTTTTCAACTTGTTTCATGTAGTTACCACAAAATTTAAAATTGCATTTGTGGCTTGCTTTACATTTTTATTGGACAGTACTGCTCTACACAAACTGCAAAATATGACCCAACGTTCCTTTGATTCATCATCATCATGATGAATACCAAATATACAATAAATCGAGAAAAATCTTATTTACATTTTTGGATAGTTTAAAATATTACCAAGTAAGAATGGCATTTCTGAAAACTCCTACTAAATTTACAACCAACTCCAACTGTGTTAATAGAGGAAGGACTCAGTCCTACAAGTAGTATTTTTAGGGATCAAAAAGGAAATACAAAAGTAAAAGCCATACATGAGAGTCTAAGAGAAATACCATCTGTTTCTAAAAGGCATTTTTAAACAAAAGCGGTGTTTTAAACAGGTAATAGACCTGTTTTTTTAAAAAACAGTATTTTATTGTTTTGAGAAATCCGAAGAAATGCCCCAATTCCCAGCTAAACAAACCTCTTAAAAAGGAAACCTGTGAAGGTAGGAACTCAAAACTCTACTCCCGTGGAATAGAGGTAAGATGTCTGAATGAATCATATGGAAAATGTAAGCCAAGTTTCTTAGCAGGATATTTATAATTAAACATTATACAACGACGAAGCCAGCCAAAATTTTTCTAGATATCCTTCAATGCCACCACAGTATGAATGCATCAATCAACTATTACAGGATTTAACTAAAACTACTTTCAAAATTCTGAAACACCATAATGCCTTTCATCAAAATCTAGCTAGTGAGAATTAGGGAGGGAAGTTTCCAAATGCCTTATCTTATAAAGTTAGAAATTGAAAATTCAAAGCCATATTAAGAATAATAAATATTTGTATGACATTCTGTTCAACCATCACTTTTGGATACATCATCCTATTTGATCCTCAGGACAGCGCTCAGATATTGGTACATTTTTATCCCTACTTTAGAGGTAATTCCAGGCTCAAAGACCTTGACTTCTTCAAGGTCACATAGCTAAAAAGTGGAAGAACCAGCGTTTCACCCCAGATCTTCTGATGCTCATCCAATTCTCTTTCCATTACAAGACAATTATTCATTTAAAACCAAATGTTTAGAAACCCAACAAGTCTGATGCTAAAGAAAGACCTAAGGATCAAGTAGATCAAACCTTAAGACTTGGAAAACGCTGAAAGCCGGCTACAAAACATGCTGGAATCCGTTAAAAACGGGGAGAAGAGATTATCAAGAGAAAGGAAATCAAAGAGGAAGAAGGGGGATCTAATCTAAATGTCCTTGGGTGCAGCATAGCAGAATGGCAATATTCAAGTAGAGAATGCAGGGAAACTGCACTTTCCTGTGAAATGTGATTTTCAACGTAGTATTGTAGGTTAAAAAAATGACTGTGTTACTTTACTATAAACGTGTTTGAGAATTTTACTTACGATATAGGCGCTCAGAAAACCAATACCTCTCCAACTGGGTACAACCAGTCCCACATTTTTTCATAAGTCATGATGCTTACCTCCCAAAAAGCCAATTTTTAAAAATCAGAATTCAGCATCCCCTCCTATTCAGATTATAGGTAAAGGGAAGGGTCGGTAGGACGATGGCAAATCTAATGGCCAATGTCTTTCTAGGCGAAAGCATCCTTAAGGGCAGGACAAAGACACCACCACTACAAACGAACCTCGTTCAACCTTCAGAACACGGAGAACAAACCAGTTAAAGCAAAACGAACCAACATTGCAGATACGGGAAAAGGGAATTCCTAAGATGGCTCTCCAAATCCGTGCACTCGGCACCTTTCCTCAGTACAACCGCGAAGGCTACGGGAATGCGCCTGCAGAGTGTGGGAACTCCGGGCGCGGGTGCCCACCCCGCCGACTCCCAGGGCGACCCCAGAACGTTCGTTTCAGGCGGGTCACAGCTGCGCCACCCACCAGACCTGTGCCCCAGCGTCCGACCGCGCACCTGAGAGGACCGAGGAGATGACCGGCCCCAAATGCATCTGCTTCTCCCCGCGGCCGCGGAGGCCGAGCAGGAAGGGCCCGCAGGCGGCCCCGGCCCCGCGCTGACAGCCCGGCGCCGCCCCCACCTGCCCGCCTGGGGGGCGCCGCGGCCGGGCGCGCCCGCCCAGCCACTTCCTTCCCCGCCCGCCCGGCCTCGCACCGGCCCGCGGGGGCTGGGAGCCGCGGGAGGAAGGAGGTTTGGCCAGCGGCCCGCGGAGGAAGCCGCCGCCACCTCCCGCCCGCCCTCACCCACCGGCATCATCGCGGGGAGAGTCCGCGACGCCCTCGGCCGCCGCCTGACAGGACGCTCCGCGCCGAGCTGTGCCCACCGCTCCGGCCGCCTCCTAAGGCCGCGCTCCCGCCGCCGTGCTCTCCGGCCCGGCCGCGGCGAGGCGGCAGCTGCGGCGGGCTGCGGGGCTCTCGCTGGCCCTGTCGCGGCCGCCGGCGCGCTGCGTCGCTGTCCCGGGCACCCGGCCGCCGCCGCCGCCGCCTCAACCTCAGCCTCAGCCTCAGCCCCAGCCCGACAGCCTGCGGCCCGCCCGCCCGGCTCGCTCTTCAGCCCCCGCAGGCCCCGCCCCCAGCGCGACGCCCCGCACGGGTCCCGTAGCCCCCTCTGATTGGCCCGGTGGGAGCGGGGGCGGGGAGAGGGGCGGGGCTTCCCGGCTCCGCCCGCTACCCTCGCTCTCAGCGGCGGCCAGGTGCGTGCGCGTCCGCGCTCCCGGCGGCGGGGGAGGGGCGGACGCGCAGTGGGCACCGGTGGCCTCCCCCGCCCTTGCGTGAGCCCCGACTAGGGAAGACCGCGGACGGTGGGAGGACTGAGGCCCGACAGGGAAGGGCCGGCCCGGGTCCCGCAGCGGATCACGGCAGGGCCGGGACTCGAACCCGGGCTCCCGGGGGCCGACTGTGGGCCGGGAGCGTCCCTGCGGCGACGGCGCGCGCCCGCACTCTGACCGCGGCCTGACCCCCGGCTGCCGGCGCGCCGTGGGGCTGCGGCCCAGAGGCCAGTGGGAGGGGCGCGGGGGGCCCCCGGAGCGAGCATGTGACCCGAGGCCGCGCGCTCGGAACCAGCCCCGGCCCGACGCCCTTGGCTGGCACCTGCTTCTCCCCCACCGGCGTCTTCCGCGGCTCTCGGGGCCGCGCCCCCCGCACCAGCTCCCGAGCCTTGGCCTTCGCCCGAGCGATCTCCCGCCTAGAACCCCGCGCCCACCTGTGCCACCTGTGCCCACCTGCGCCAGCATCCCTCGAGGTCCAGCTCCAGCGTCCCCGGGGAGGGTCCGGTCCTCGTCTCCAGGGCCTGGGTCTCTCCCTGCAGTCCCGTCTCCAGAGGCGCCGCCCCCTCGGGCCTGAGCGCCGGAGTGACAGAGCCCTGGGCAGGGCCCTGAGCAGACCCTCAGTAAAGGCTGCCAGGGGGGTAGGCACCCGCTCGGGGCCCCCCACATGGTGCCATTCGCCCGGACCGCGGCGGAGAGCAGACAGGGGGACTGAGGTGCTCCCCGCGGCAGCACCGAACTCCCACGGGCATCAGAAGGCAAGGTCTGCGGATGGCCCCAGACACAGAAGGCGTAAGCCGCCCTGGGAAGCGCCGGCCCAGTGGAGAAGGCCGCCGCGAGGTCAGGGTCAGTCTGGAGCCTGTCTGGTTCTCGGAGAGGCTTCTGGCTGCTGCAGAGTGGGGGCAGAGCAAGGGAGGAGGCCAGGGAGCTCCCACCAGCCCATTCCTGGGGAGCCACCCCTGTCCCTCAGAGGCCACGGGGGCTCGTGTTTGCGAGTGTGGACTTTCCAGTTAGACAGACTTGGTTCAGCACCGCCTCCGCCACACCCTCGCCTGGGATCCTAAACAAGCCGCATCTTCTCTGCATCGTAGTGTGCTTGTCTCTGTGATGGGAGAGTGTAGGGATAATAGTGCCTGCCTCGTGTCAAGAGGCTTTTTCGGATGCGAGGGATGGAAAGCGCCCAGCACAATTTGTGGCACGTGGTAGCTGTTCCATAAATAGCATTCTGTAGTTGGGCCGTGATTAGCAAGGAGGCTTAGTGTACAGACGTCCCTGGGATTTTTAAACCTATCCACACCTGGGCATGAATGGCTAATGACACCCCTCTTCTGGGAGCAGAGTTTGGAGAGAAGAGGAGGCTCTAGATAATGAGTGATCCTAGGCTGAAAGTCAGAGACATACTTAAGTTCTAATTCTAGCTGCTCTGCTTCTGACCTCCTGTGGGGCCTTAGGCAACTTGCACTCCTTCTCTGGGCCTTGGTTTCCCCAGCTTTGACAGCTGATGTCCCTGAGTCACGAAGGGGTACTTCTGGCCCACGAAGCCTGACAAAGGACAGGTTTTGCCAAGGCTCTTCAGAGAGGTGCCCCCCGGGGTAAGGTGATCCAAATGAGCCTGCTCTTCCAGGAAGGGAAGCATTGGCACAAGGGCTCCCCTCTTGCCTGCAGGACCTGTGGGCACAGACAGTGGCAGCTACCGTGCCTCACACCAAAGCATCCTATATCCTCCAGGTAAGGGTCCATTTGAGGCAGGCTGGTCAGCTCCCCCTCAAGTCCTTCCCGCTGGTCCCCATCCTCCTCTCCACCCAGCCTGCCACCTCCAGGCATCGGCCCATCACCTCCCACCTGGACCAAGCTCATTCATTATAAGCCCACTGCTCTAGCCTCCACGCCCCCACCATTCCCAACACGCCCCTGCCCTCCATCTTCCTGGAGCACACACGGCCCAACCCTGTAAAGCCCTTCTGTGTCTCTCCATTACACAGACCAAAGTTCACGAGCAGCCCATCAGGAATCGCCGTGAATGTTGTTAATGTGCAGTGGCTCACGCCTGTAATTCTACCACTTTGGGGGGCCAAGATGGGAGGATTGCTTGAGGCCAGGCCAGGAGTTCGAGACCGGCCTGGTCAACACAATGAGATCCCCCCATCTCTAAAAAAAAAAAAAAAAAAAAAGGAATCACCAGTAATGATGGGATATAGGCATTAAGGTTACGGAAGAAGATGTCCATATTTTTTAGAGATGCATCCTAGCATATGTAAGGGGTCTGCAATTTGTTTAAAAACAATTCAGCCAGAGGGAAAGAGAGCCAAGCAATTAGGAATAACTGAAACATACGTGGCAAATTCTTGATAACATTTGAACCTGGATGGTGGGTATGTTGGGGTGCATTGTACTTTATACTCTATGTTTGAAATATTTTATGTTAAAAATGATTAAAGGGGCCGGGCGCGGTGGCTCACACCTGTACTCCCAGCACTTTGGGAGGCCGAGGCGGGTGGATCACGAGGTCAAGAGATCAAGACCATCCTGGCCAACATGGTGAAACCCTGTCTCTACTAAAAATACAAAAATTAACCGGCCGTGGTGGCGAGTGCCTGTAGTCCCAACTACTTGGGAGGCTGAGGCAGGAGAATCACTTGAACCCGGCAGGCAGAGATTGCAGTGAGCCGAGATTGTGCCACTGCACTCCAGCCCGGCAACAGAGTGAGACTCCGTCTCAAAAAAAAAAAAATGATTAAAGGGGCTGGGCACGGTGGCTCTGCTTGAAATCCCAGCACTTTGGGAGGCCAAGGTGGGTGGATCACTTGAGGTCAAGAGTTCAAGACCAACCTTGCCAACACGGTGAAACCCCGTCTCTACTAAAATACAAAATTAACTAGGCGTGGTGGCATACGCCTGTAATCCCAGCTACTCGGGAGGCTGAGGCTGGAGAATCACTTAACCCAGGAGGCAGAGGTTGCAGTGAGCCGAGATTGCGGCACTGCACTCCAGCCTGGGAGACAGAGCAAGACTCCATCTCAAAATAAATAAATAAATAAATAAATAAATAAAAGCAAGGCATGGTGGTGCTCACTTGTAGTCCCGGCTCCTCAGGAGGCTGAGGCAACAGGTTCACTTGAGCCCGGGAGATGGAAGCTGCAGTGAGCCAAGATCACGCCACTGCACTCTAGCCTGGGCAACATAGACCCTGCCTCAGGAAAAAAAAAAATAAAGATTAAAGGCTGTAGATTAAAGGCTGGGCATGGCTGGGCATGGTGGCTTAAGCCTGTGATCCCAGCACTTGGGAGGCCAAGGCGGGCGGATCACCTGAGGTAAGGAGTTTGAGATCAGCCTAGCCAACATGCTGAAACCCTGTCTGTACCGAAAATACAAAAATTAGGCCAGGTGCAGTGGCTCACGCCTGTAATCCCAGCACTTTGGGAGGCTGAGGCAGGCAGATTGCTTGAGGTCAGGAGTTCGAGACCAGCCTGACCAACCAGTCTCTAGTAAAATACAAAGTTAGCCAGGCGTGGTGGCACACGCCTATAATCCCAGCTACTCGGGAGGCTGAGGCAGGAGAATTGCTTGAACCCGGGAGGCAGAGGTTGCAGTGAGCTGAGATCGCGCCACTGCACTCCAGTCTGGGCAACGGAGTAAGACTCTGTATCAAAAAAAAAAAAAAGTTATCTGAGCATGATGGTGGGCGCCTCTAATTCCAGCTTATCGGGACGCTGAGGCAGGAGAATCTCTTGAACCCTGGAGGCGGAGGTTGCAGTAGTTGAGTTTGCCCCACTGCACCCCAGCCTTGGTGACAGCAAGACTCTGTCTCAAAATAAAAAAATAAAAGGCTGAGCATGGTGGCTCATGCCTGTAATCCCAGCATTTTGGGAGGCCAAGACAGGAGGATTGCTTGAGCCCAGGAGTTCGAGACCAACCTGGGCAACATAGCAAGACCCCCCCCCATCTCTATTTTAATTTAAAAAAATTAAAAATGATTAAATACTCTTAAAACAGATAAAAAGTCCCTTTAGGGAGGACATTAGTATATATTCATATTGGCATAAATACATTCTGGAAGAATCCAGGGAACACTAATAAAGTGATGACTGCACGTGGGAATGGGAACTGGGTTGATAAGGGGCAGAAATCAGAGTGAGGCTTTTCACTATTAGTTTTTGAAAAATAAACTTTATTTTTAGAACAGTTTTATAGAAAAATTGCAAAGAGTTTGAAATACAGAGAGTTCCCAGATACCCCTTTCTCCATCCAGTTTTCCCCATTTTTTAACATCTTACATCAGTACAGTACATCTGTTACAACAAATGAACCATTATCTATACGTTAGTATCAACTCGGGTCCATACTTTTCCCAGATTTCCTTAGTTTTTAGCCAGTGCCTTTGTTTCAGGACATCACGTGGCGTTCAGTCGTCATGTCTCCTTGTCTCCTTAGACTCCTCTTGGCTGTGACAGTCTCGGCTTTCCTTGTTTTTTTTTTTTGTTGTTGTTGTTTTGTTTTTTTGTTTTTTTTTTTTTGAGACAGAATTTTGTTCTCACTGCCCAGACTGGAGTGCAATGGCGCGATCTCGGCTCACCGCAACCTCTGCCTCCCGGGTTCAAGTGATTCTCCTGCCTCAGCCTCCCGAGTAGCTGGGACTACAGGCACCCGCCGCCACGCCTGGCTAACTTTTGCATTTTTAGTAGAGACGGGGTTTCTCCATGTTGGTCAGGTTGGTCTCGAACTTCCGACCTCAGGTCATCCGCCTGCCTCAGCCTCCCAGTGTGCTGGGATTACAGGTGTGAGCCACCGCTCCTCGCCAGCTTTCCTTGTTTTTTATGGCTTTGACAGTTTTGAGTGCTTGTCAGGTATTTTGTAGACTGTCCCTCAGTTGAAATGTATGTGATGTTTTTCTAATGATTACACTGATGTTATGAGTTTGGGGGAGGAAGACCACAGAGGTACGGGACCATTCTCATCCGATTGTATCAAGGATACATATGATCAGCATGACAGTGCCATTGACGCTGACCTTCATCTCTAGGCTGCTGTTGCATTTCATGTTTGATTTTTGAATCAGGTGACTATATTACTAAATTACAATAACATGTTTTAAAACTTGACTGGGCATGGTGCCTCATGCCTATAATCCTAGCACTTTCAGAGGCTGGGATGGGTGCCTTGCTTGAGCTCAGGAGTTGGAGACCAGCCTGGGCAACACGGCAAAATCCCATTTCTACCAAAAATACAAAAATCAGCCAGGTGTGGTGGCATGTGCCTGTGGTTCCAGCTACTTGGGAGGCTGAGGTGGGAGGATTGCTTGAGCCCAAAAGTTTGAGACCAGCCTGGGCAACATGGTGAGACCCCATCTCTACAAAAAAATTTTGTGTTTTTTGTTTTTAGTTTTTTTGTTTTTTCAGACGGAGTTTCACTCTTGTCACCCAGGCTGGAGTGCTGTGGCACGATCTTGGCTCACTGCAACCTCCACCTCTTGGGCTCAAGCGACTCTTCTGCCTCAGCCTCCTGAGTAGCTGGGATTATAGGCATGAGCCACCACGCCCAGCTAATTTTTGTATTTTTAGTAGAGACGGGGTTTCACCATGTTGGCCAGGCTGGTCTTGAACTCCTGACCTCAGGTGATCCACCCACCTCAGCCTCCCAAAGTGCTGGGATTACAGGCATGAGCCACCGCCGCCTGGCCTCTACAAAAATTTTAAAAATTAGCTGGGCATAGTGGCAGGCGGCTTCGGTCCCATCTTCTCAGGAGGCTGAGGTGGAAGGATCTGCTTGAGCCCGGGGGTCAAGGCTGCAGTGAACCGAGATAACACCAGTGTACTCCCACCTGGGTAACAGAGTGAGACCCTGTCTCAAAAACAAAATAAAACAACAGCAACAAAAAAAAACATGCCTAAGACCCGTATTGG